>NC_000001.11:175608829-175911859 GCF_000001405.40 Homo sapiens | reverse complement strand
AAGGTGCTTTTTCTTCCCATCTTGTCTTAACTAGGCCTTTACCTATATCCTGATCCCTTGGTTTGGGCAAATTATAGTACAATATTTAGGTCTGAAGTCTCAGTTCTCTGATTTTTGAGATATACATTTCCTACCTTATTTGACTTAAGAGTCATCCTATTAGAAATGCAAATTTAGGGTTGCCTAGCTAATGATTGCTTAGAACAATGGAACAGATAATTGGAAGATTGATTGTCACAATGGGGAAAATAAAAAAACTATTTGAGAGCTGGCAAATGAGAATCTTTATGAAAGCTATAAAATTTGCTTCTGTTATGTGTGTCTGTATGTCTATATGTGTTATGTGTATGTAATAATATTTGATTTAGAAAACTAGTTTAAAAATTATTGGTAAAATAAAATAGAAGTGGCCTCAGAATTGTCAGTTAAATATAATTCAGACATTTTTGCCTGGATCTACTGGTCAGACAGGTTTATGTTGTCTCCATGACATGTTTTAAAGTTATGAAACTGGTATCTTTGACATTTGCTTAATTTGTCTGTTAGCTAAAACTGTAAGGCATGGATGCTGGGCTACACTGAAGCCTTGTATATGTCTTACTGCGAGCTTGTTTTTTTATTTTGAGCCTCTGGATTCTGGGATCTGGACAGGTTGTTACAATAGGTAGCTAGTAAGATATGAGCAGAGCAGGAGAGCCCTCCCTCCCCCAACCAGGAATGTCAGGTGACTATCAAGTGATGGTCAGGTGGTTGTTAACTGTCTCTCTAAAATACTAATTGGTTTCAGCCAGTGCCAAGAAAAGGCAGTCTATAGATAGAAAAACCTGAAACTGGTGATCAGCAGCTTCCTGATAAGATCTCAGGAGTTGGGCGTGCATTAAGAGGCAAAATGGCGGAGTTTAACTGGTGTATGACCTTCTAGGGACATTTAGTAGGGGAAGAATGCCTCAGGTGAGCATGCATACATCTCCAGTAAACACACTGCACTTGCTCCTCTTCCAAGTGCTAGCAGTGCCACTGTTCATGTGGACAGCCAACCCAAAGGAAGAATAACAGAAGAAGGGATGCAAGACCCCAGAAGTATGCCAACATATAAAACCCCAAGTCAAAGGTCAAATCATGCACTTGATCTCTCAAGTCATCTCCTTGGCCCTTTTCCAAATAGAGAGGGTCAAGTATTTCCAAATGTATTTTATTTCCTTTTGTTCCTGCTGTAAAGCTTTTTAATAAACGTCACTCCTGCTTTAAAACTTGCCTCTGTCTCTCCTTCTGCCTTATGCCCTTGAGTCAAATTCTTTCTTCTGAGGAGGCAAGAATTGAGGTTGATGCAGACCCACATGGATTCACTGCTGGTAACAAGGTGACCATGGTGAGGCCTAGGAATATGTCCTCAGTGCCTGGACCACTATCTGCAAAGCAGAGCCAACCTCCAATGGCACATTCTCCCTGAACCAGTGTTGCCAGCTGGCCATGCCGGGAGGGGTTTGATCCTCCAGGTGTCATCTTCGCAGTTGTCATCTATCCTGAGCTCTATACCTGTTATGTAAATTCAAGACCCAGATGAGCCCTTCACTATAGAACTGCCTTGGGTGCCACATGGGTACTTAGGACCCAGGATGATTAGAGAAGGTATTAGGGAGGGTATCTATGTCATAATTTAAAAATTCTTTTCAGTAATTAAAAATCTTTAATCTGTTAAATTAACCAATAGATAGTCATAAAATGTTTGAGTTATTTCTAAGTAAGTTAAAATATAGAAACATTAATTATTTAACCTAAGTTTAAGTTTATATATCTTGGCATCTTATTTTTACATAGTATAGAGAAGCTAAATATGTTTAGATCTGTTAATAAACAAGAAAAACTGAAGAAACATCTTTCTTAAAACATTAGGAAATGATTTTCATCTACAAATACTGATATAAAACAGTTCAAAATTACTTCCTAGGTTTTCACTAGAAATTAGGGTTATTAAGAGTTAAAATTAAAGTTAATATATGTCAATAAAACTACCAGATATAATATACAGAATGTATTGTTTTTAAAAAGGAAGATATGTTTTTAGTGAGGAAAGTTGTAAAGGCATGAAGATGTGTATATGTTGAAAAAAATAATTTTGTCTAGTTTAGAAGTTATTTCAAGTTTGTTTCAAATTGAAGGAATAAAATATGATATAGATAAAACTACATGGGTATAAAAATTTGGGGAAAGAAAAAATAGAAAAAGTTTGTGAGAGGCTAAAAAAGATTTATGAAAATCTTATATTGTATGTTCAAAAGCTGCCTGAGGTTGGATGAATTTGTTTGTAAGGTTTTAGTCAAATTAACTTTAGAGTTGATAATACACTAATACAATAGCAAAATTTGGTTTCTCTTAAAGAAGAATTTTATGTAGTACGAATAAGAGTCAGTAAAATATTTTTATTCACCTTTTGAGGAAACTGCAAAAAAGAAAAGGGGAAGAGAAGAGAGACAGATTCTATCTTATGCTGTCTTTATTAGGCCTTCGGATTATTTGGAAAACTGAGCCTCCTCTCTATCAAAGAGTAAAGGTTTTTGCTTTTAGAATCTTTTAATTATCACTTTGACTAAAAGAATGACTATTATTTTATAGTGACATGTGATACTACTTTGATTAAGTGTTTTATACTTTTGATGTATTTGACAGGCTTCCCAAATTCAAATTTCAGATTCAAAATTAAGTCATTTTGACCTCACACTAACTTTGGGATGTTACAGTGGGTGCCTGCAGCATCCAAAACAGGGATCATAAACAGGCTTATTTGACATGTTAAATTACATGAGAAACATTGTCAGATAAGAAATAATGTTTAACCTTCTTCAAGTTATGTTTTTATGGATATGCTATTAATATATGTTTCAAAATTATAAGAGATTCCTAAAATTCTGATATGCCTTGTTATGTTATTGGTTATAATTATGGTTATTATGCAACAGAAATAACCAAATTTATTTGTCATTTTTGTCTTTAACCATGACTATTTTAAGTTGTTTCCACAGTTAACTGCTTAATTCTGATGCATTTTCTTTTTTCTTTCTCCCTTTTTTTTTTTTTTTTTTTTTTTTTAGAGACGAGGTCTCACTATGTTGCCCAGGCTGATCTTGAACTCCTGGGTTCAAGAGATCCACCCATCTCAGCCTCCCAAAGCGCTGGGATTACAGGTGTGAGCCACCGTGCCCAGCCCTGATGCATTTTCTGAAAGCTCTTCAGAAGCAAGTAAATTGCTAAAGTATTGTGTCTCCTAAAACGTTCATGGAAAGGATAGAAAGGACCCTGACATCATTTGCGCTGGGTAAGAATTCCCAGAATTCTAATGAAGAGACTGACTGGTTTATAAAACTGCTAATCCAAGCAAGACAAGAATTAATTGAATACCAAGGAAATACTTTGCCAGATTTTCATGCTAGATAAGCCAATAATGAAATTGTTAAGATCTGCAGTTTCAATAAACTCCATAGTCCAAGCCAAATTACCTCTGATAACTCATCTAATAAACAGTGCTATGCACCTGTATTGGAGAAACAAAATTGGTGTTTACGAGGTTATAAATTAGTTGTTAAATGTGGACTCATGGAGAACCTGGATAACCACATGGTCCCTCTTACATCCTTAAAGCCTCCACTATTAAAAGCTCTGCAATTTGTATATATGGAAGACAATAGAAACTTCTGGTTTTTGCTACCTGATGTGCCATTTGGACATTTATAGAGGGATTTTATTTCTCTGCCATTTTCAGTGCATGTTTTCTAGATGTTTAGAAGCTTTTTCATGCAAGAAGACTGATGGTATAACAGTGGCTAAGAGGTTATTAGGAAATGTGTTTCCCTCATGGGGCATTCTGGAGAAATCTCCAATGATAGAGGTATTTGTTTCACTGGACAAGTTGTAAAACAGTTAAATAAAGTTTACAGATACAACAGCATTAGACAAAGTTAACTGAATTGGCTGGATTTCCTTGGTCAATGGTATTGCAGATTGATTACAATTAGATCCACTTTCAATGGAAAATATAAGTTGACCCCTTATGAAATAGTCACTGAAAGGTTTGTGCCCCTAATAATAGGACCTCATGTATCCTCTGCTCCTAAACTCTGAAATGACTAAATGCTGCAAATCTTTAATGCATTATGCCAAAGTGCACTTTTTTTTTTTCGAGATGAAGGAAGCTTTTCATGATGCACTAACTGAAGACAATGAAACCCATTATGATCTAGAACCTGGAGACTGAGCCTTCTAAAAACATCAGAACCAGCATGGCACATGTATACATATGTAACTAACCTGCACATTGTGCACATGTACCCTAAAACTTAAAGTATAATAATAAAGAAAGAAAGAAAGAAAGAAAGAAAGAAAGAAAGAAAGAAAGAAAGAAAGAAAGAGAAAAAATCAGAAAAAGACTGCCCTTGCCACCTACACTGCAGCAATAGAATCTCTGGTCCATGGAGTCACTCATGCTAAATGTGACATAATCAAACTGAAACTTGAAACTTGAAACTATGGAAGCAGATAGATCCCAAAGCAGACTACGGTTATTTTTTTTCTGTCTCTCTCCTGAAACAGGAGACTCTAGCATAAGAAAGCCCCTTCTGGCCCGGTGCGGCGGCTTACGCCTGTAATCCCAGCACTTTTTGCTTGAGCCCAGGAGTTCAAGACCAGCGTAGGCGACAGAACAAAACCCCATCTCTACTAAACGTACAAAACTTAGCTGGGCATGGTGGCAGTCGCCTGTAATCCCAGCTATTCGGGAAGCTGAGGTGGGAGAATCACTTGAACCCGGGAGGTGGAGGTTGCAGCGAGTCGAGATCGCACCACTGCACTCCAGCCTGGGCGACAGAGTGAAACTCCTTATCAAAAAGAAAGAGAAAGAGAGAGAGAGAAAGAGAGAGAAAGCCCTTTCTGGAGTAACCCTTACAAAAAAGTAACCTGAAGTCCTTGTTCCCACCTTACAAATTCCACTGCTTTGCTATTTCCCAGTGGGATTTGAGTCCAAATAAGAACGTTTATGATAGCGACAGAGTGACATCAATCGCCTAAAGAGAGGATTTGTTAAATTAAGTTTAACCTAAAACTGCCTCCTTACATATTTAAATTTGGTCTAAAAGTTTCTTCATATAAAGTGAACTGTAACCTAACTGGATTTGTAAACAGACTATAACCTACTCTTGTAACAAATAGCTGAATCTTAGCCAATTACAGCAGCCGAGTTTCAGTCAATCACAGGTAGCCAACTGTTCACACCATGTTCAAATAAAGCAAGCACTGAGCTGTAACTAATCTGGCTATCTCTGTACCTCATTTCTGTTTTCTGTTCACTTTCCTTTTTCTGTTTAGAAATCCTCCCTGACCACATGGCAGTGCCAGAGTCGCTCTGTACCTACCGTGGTTCTGAGGGCTGTCTGACTCCTAAATCATGCTTTGCTCAATTAAACTCTGTTAATTAATTAATCATTTAATTTGTCTAAAGTTTCCATTTTAACCAGACTTAAAGTGTATATATATATATGTATATATATACACACATATACACATATATATGTATACACACATATATATGTGTGTGTGTGTGTATAGTCACACTGATAGTAACTATGTCTTTGGTGTCTGTCATGCAACAGAGCAAACAATTTTTTAAATAGAGGGAATAGAACTGAAAAAAACCTCCTATCCAATTGGTAGCTGATTTATTAGGAGTTTTACAACTGCCTGCTCAGGTATCGGTAGTTCATTTTGCTAGCAAAGCTTCAAAAGCTGCTGTTAAAACACAGCAATCTCCAAACTTAAAAAGCTTCATTTTTAACACAATGAGAAACGTTTGTTCATTTTTAAAACAATCCTTTGTAAAAGAAAATAGACAAAAGGATTATAAAAGGGGCTAAATGAAATTTGACCGACTATGGAAACTACCTAGCAAACTAACTCCTATGCCACAGTACGCATTTGCTTGGTTAGTATTGTCATGTCATCAACAAAATCACCTGAATAAAAGAGGGAATTTAAAGACACTAAATTCTTTCTACACCTACCAAAAAGGGAAAAGTATTCAAAACGTATGGAAAAGAGATGTGCTCTTTGTCAGCAGAATTCTATACAGGCCACTCCCAAGGTAAGCCGAAGAAGTTCTCCCTGGCCAGCTTTACGAGGAACCTGGTGGCATTTGATTTCATAGAGTTAATGCCTACAGAGAGTGCTTTTGTCTACTTACGGTGTGTGTAAGGTCTAGATGGCCTGAGGTCTTTTCCTTTTCCAAAGCTGATGCTCAGGCAGTGATAAAGGCTCTCCTATTACACATAATTCCCACTTTTGGGATACTAAAGCATATTGAATCAGAGGAAGTCATTTTACTTTTACTCTTGTTGAGAAATTATGCAAATGTTTACAGGTCTCTAAAAGTTCCAGTCTTCTGCACAAGCAGAGCAAATAAATGCAAAAAAAGCAAACCAAAAATCAAAACCAAACATTCCTTGGATAAGATTCAGCAATCTATCGGGTTAAATTGACCTAGAGCCTTATCAATTAGCCTTATTACAAATTAGAATTTAAAAAATAGAATAACCCCTGCAACAAACATGGAATCTCTTCTTTGGACTTATATTTGGGAAGCCTATGAATTTGAGTCTGAGGCCATATGATATGCCTGACTTAACTGAATCCTTTCATAATCGTATTCAGTACTTTAACAAGCTTCTCTCTTCTCCCCAGAAACCCTGAGACAAAGTCAGAAAGATCTGGAAAGACCTGCCAGAGGAAATCTGCCACCCCTCTGGACTAGGAGACTTCATCTACATAAAAGTGGGCTGTCACCATGCTGGGAGGGACCCTTTAAAGTGCTGTCGATGACCCATAAGGCTATCAGTGCAAAAGGCAAACTGCTGAATCCAGGCTTCCTATGTGAAGCTAGCACCACAGGACAGGTGGACTGTGCTTTCTACAAAGGACCTAAAACTGAAGTTTTCTACTCAACTGAAAAGAAGTATTCTAGAAAATGTATTACTATTCCTATAGGCTGCCTGGCTGTTCTGTTCATGACGGTGGTTATTCCAATTACTTTGAGAATTATATTTATTAGAAAACAAACAGTATTATTTGTTGCACTTCTTTTTTCTTCTGCACTCCCAGTAAATGTTCCCATAACCCCACATCACCAATCAGCTTTAAATTATGCTCCCAGGATTAACATGATCTGGACTTACAAGTCCAACAATTTCATTTTTAGCAGAGTGTAAGTGGGGTCATTTTCACTAGTACTGTTCAATAATAATGAAAGTAATAAATATGCATCCAGACACTCAAGCTCTAAATTTGACACCAAGAAAAGTTAACTGGTTTGATTGGAAGGATGATGTAGAAAGGCATCTAATGAATAGACAAACAGAAACTGCAAAAGACAGTTTTAATGTCACTAGATTCACAATGGGATGCAAGTTCTCTCCAATTCCAGTACAGATGAATAAACAAAAGTGAATGCCTGTTATATTTAAAGGTTATTCCTCCAAGGCAAATATTATACTGAATTTTAAAATTCATCATACTGTGATTCTGGTAATTGCATTGTTTGCATTTTACTATAGATTTGCTGAATTTTCAGGCAACTGCAAGTTGCCCAGAAAAAGGTACAAATAATTAGGAGATTGTAATGTGATTTTTGTAGTAACACAGGGAGGTGATTGTAAGGGCAAATACAAATTAAAAATAAGAGGCTTAACTCTCCCTGTTGAAAATAAGAGAAAATATCTCCCCTCTTTCTTTTCAGAATTTCTTTTTCTATTCTTTTCAAATGTGTATAAATCTCTATGGCTAAATAAGTTTCTCAACTCAGGAATGTTTCCTGCAGGGCCTGGGAGTCATCTTTTTGAAATGCAAACATCACGGAAGATAGTGTCCCTATCTCAGGTAAGAGCCTAACTTGGTGGGCTCCTTGCTCCAATTTGCAAAACTACCTTCTGTCATAAAGATATGGGAAGTTTGTTTTTCTCCAAATAAAGCCAACACAGGTGGTCTCCCCAATTACCAAAATAAAGTTAGGACAAACTCTGTGTGACAAAAGGTGTTGTCAAGTCCTCTAACTTGAGGACTAGTGATTGTTAATCTTGAGAACACGTATGCACTGGGGTGTATCTGCTGCCTATGTAAGGGGATGAGATTCCTTTCTGTCTTTGGAATCTCTTGGCAATTGCCTGTGAGACCCATCACATCCTGGTTTATGGTTATTCAATAATAAAAGTGGCTTGCATAAGAGCGTGAAGGATAAACTTAAAAGAAAACTAACAGTAAAGGTGGTTTGTTTCTCTACTACCTTTGTGGAGAAGATTTCTGGTTAATTATATTTCCCCCACACTACCCCAAAGCATCAGCAAGTATGCCTTCTGTTGTGTTCTATGGTATTACTGTTTTATTCCTGTTTAAAAAAAAAAAGTGGGAAATCTGCTCCAAACAGCCCTATGGTGGCGTAGCCAGCAGTGATTAATCAAACCTATCTGTGCTTTAATAAGCCACCCCCAACCCCTAGCCCCCATCCCCACCCCCTAAGGACATCAGTCAACAGATGACTTGAGAAGAGCACTGCATCATTGTTTTCTTTCTCTCTGTGTGTGTATTCAGATACTGCTTAGTTCACCAGAAGAGCCTTGTCCAGCTCCTTCTGCCAACCTTAGGTGTGAGGCACTTTATCTTTCTGTGGCAGGACCAAGCCCCTGTAGTTCCTATAGTCCAAAGGATTGATGAAAGACTCTCTGTGCCTCCTCTGAGAGCTACTGCAGCCACAGTTTCATTTGTGTTATTAACCTTCTGCAAAGTTGGCTTTCCACAGAAATACAATGGCTCCTCCTGAAATGACACTGTGTCTGTGTATCTTCTTTCTTCCCTTATTTAGGATTTTTTTTCCAAAGGATCAGGCTGAGGTCCCTTGGAGGAAAGGGTCTTATCCATTTAATTATCTTCTACTGGTGCATCTTTGCCCCACCTCTCCCACTTTGTTTAAAGACACTTGCTTTCTCTGCTTGATTTTTAAAGTCCTCATAAAATGGGCAAGCCTAACCTTTCTAGCCTGATTCTACTGCCCCTTCCTCTGACATTTAAGCATCTAGTACTCAGCACTGGCAGATAGTTGGCACCCAGATTTTTGTTGAAAAAAAAAGAGATTTCAGCTTCTAGAACATCCTGGAATATCCTTTGGTAAGCCTGCCTACAACTTAAGCACTCTTCCAGGAATGTTCTTTCACCATGGAAACCTCCCAAGATTTCATAGTGAAATGGGAGAGTTCCCTGACCTACCCTGCAGGACGTGTGATGGGTGTGGCTCGTCTGTTCGGCCGCCATGCATGCTCAAACCACTTACAGGATGAGGAGCACACTGATGGGCAAGTGCAGGAGCTGGGGCAAGCACTTTTGGGCTCCGGCCCCACGGTAGCATCTAGGGGTGGGTGCTTGGGACTCCCGAAGCCCAAGTGGGTGCATGTCACACTGTGCTTTTTTAGCTCTGTCATCTACAAACGGCTTAAGTGTTAACCACCTCAGAGCCCTCTTGGTACCCAGGTTCTTATCTGGCATCCAGGAAGAATCAGGTCTCACACGGACTTGAAGAATGGTGAATGCAGGGGTTTTATTGAGTGATGGAGGTGGCTCTCAGTGGGATGGATGGGGAGCTGGGAAGGGGATTGAGTGGGAAGATGATCTTCCCCTGGAGTTTGACCATCCAGCGGCCAATCTCCCCTCCCACCACCCCAGCCGAACTCCTCTCGATGTTCAGATTCTCCTTCTCTTCTGTCCTTCTCTGCCACGCTGTTCTGCCACTCTTCTGCTCTTCTGTTCATCTGCTCATGGAGCCTGGGGTTTGGGGTTTATATGGGTACAGGATGGGGGGTGTGGTGGGCCAAAAGACAACTTTTGGGTGTGAAAACAGGAATGCCTATTCCCATTTAGGGCTGTGGGTTTTCAGGCTTGAGGGTCAGGCCTTTGCCAGGGAACTGCCCTCTTCTACCCAGTATTTCCCTTTCTCCTGTCCATATCAATAGCACATGCTCCCTAACCCCGCCCCTGCACTACCACCACCACCACTATGGAAATCAATCTCTGCCACATACATCCACAGCACTTTGATGCATGCCATACTAAAGGTATCACTAGTCTGCCTGGATCAGTGATTTATGTATGTGCACGTGTCCTTACCACACTGGAGCCCTTGTGGGACTCCACCTGCAACTGATTCGCCTTTAAATCTCTGTATGCCTGTGCTTGACAGAAGAGAGGTAAATGTTTGAATCGAAGTCTTGCTCTCTTTAGGCAAGAGAAAGAAATATATCTAGCCCTCCCTACCTCCCCTAACACCCCTCCCTCTCTTCTGACCATGCAGCAGCCAGCCTGTGCAGGAGCTGCCCTTGAGAGGGGGGAAAATGAGAGATTATGACAGTGTCACAGCACTGAGGCACATAAATATTTACAGACTGGGTTTGTTTATAGACTAGAGGAGTGTGACAGTTCTGCTTCAGCCCCTTCACTTTAGCCACTTGGTGTGAGGCAAGCAAAGCAGCCTTACCCACTTTCAGCTCCCAAGAGGACCAGGGAGGTTCTCCACAAGCCCCCATATGTGGTGCTGACCATTCTGGGCCCCCAGGTCTTAGGCACCTGGGATGCTCATGAGGCTGCTTGGTATCTGCATTGCCTGATTCACCTGGAGAGAGGAGGCTCAGTATGTGTAACCTCACCTAGCCAACCAGCAACTCCTATTCATGACTGCATTTTAAATCTATTGCATCGGTAAGAATGGACTATTCTGCCCACAAGTCCTTGGATGTAACTCATTACAGGCAGGGCTTTGCAGCTTCAAGAACAGATAGCTACTTTGCAGAGGCTTTTAAAAAGCATTTGGTCTCATTCAGGCAAGTAAATATTACTGAGTCCCTTCTTTTCCTCCTTTTCATTCATTCTGAAACCCAGAGGGTTGAGAGGAAGTGGACAGTAAAGGACAGATAGGCCCCAGGGGAACCTCTAGGGTCTCATACCCTAAACTTCTGCACAGACAACAAGGCTTTGCATTTGCATAGTAATTGTTTATTGAGCTTTCCTATATGCCAAGCACTGTGCTGAATACTTTACATGCATTATTTCATTTAGCTCTCAAAAACAACAAAGACTCCACCAATAAAGTGCATGTGTTCAATGTGTGAGGGCTCACTGAGTTGCACAATGTGCAATTGGATTACGTGCAATTTTCTGTATATATGTTATACTACAATTTAAAAAGCCCTGTGAAGTACATGCTGTTATCTTTTTTCAAAAAAGAAACCAAGTGAGTTTGATCCCTGAATCCAAACTCTTTACCACAACGCACTACAAAGTATCTCTAAGAATTTTCCCTAAACACAATGGTTCAGAAGGAATGGCAGCGGCCTCAAGTTACCATCCCCACACCAAGATCTGGTTAGATGAGCTCAAGCCCACTGGACCTGGCCGGTCTCTCGCCTACCTGCCTAAGTCCTGGGAGGACAGAGACCTTTATGAATTTCTCACCCCACCAAACACAGCTGGACCCTCCAGGTTCTACTTTCAAAAGCCATTCCTAAGCTCCCAGCCCTCACCAGGGATGAATCAGGGGTGATGATTCACTTTATGAATAGATAATTTTTTTTCTTAAACAAAACAGTTCATTCTCTGACTTCTTTCAAAAGTAGTGGGCTTCCCTAAGGATACCCTGATACTGCATACATAAGTAGCCACCTATTAGAGATCCTGAGGACACAGAGCAGGTGGGAGAAGTGAACTTGCCCTTTACTTGGAAGTCACTGACACTTGAAAACTAAACAAAAAGAAGGCTGAGCATCTCTGAAATTTCAATTTAATTGAATGGGGAAATATTTGTTTCACAATAATTTTATGTGCATAATAACCCTTAAGGGCAGTTTCTATTGTTCAAGATGAGGGAGCAGGCAGAATGCAGAAGTGTTGGATTAACCATGTTGGTGGATTGGCAGCTCCTGCCTCAGGGCCTTCGCACTGGCTGCTCCTTCTACCTAGAAACTCTTCCATCAGATAGTGCCGTGGGTGATCCCTTGCATCCTTCAAGTCTCTGCTCACACTTCACCTTCTTAGAGAGACCTCCTGGGGCCATTCTATGTGAGATCCCCCCATCCTCCCTCTGTCTCCTTTACCTTGCTTCATCTTCCTCCATAGTTAGTGTCCCCATCTAGTGTGTGCATACGCACATGATTTCTTGGCAATGTGTTGTCTCCTGACATTGGAATATAAGCTTCACAAGAGCAAGCCCTGTGTCTCTTTTGCTCCCTACTCTACTCTCAGTAACCAGAACAGCATCAGGTCTACAGTAGCTGTTCCATAAAATGTGTTAAATAAATAGTTGCTTCCAAAGTAGGTTTCTCCTTTTGGGAATTCTGTGTGTTCTGTTCTCACAGCCACCTGAATGATTAAATTACATTTCAGTCTGTCCCTACCTATATTGCCAGTAGTCTCCTCTTTTGGTTGTATCCTCTTTGGGAAATGAGAGTTGCTGATAGTTTCATGAGAGATGAGAAGGCATCAGTTTTAGTCTGGGAGGGACCAGAACTGATAAACCCCAGCCCCGCAGCCATATTCCCCACCAAATTTCACACTTTCAGTGAAGTGCTCCCGAAGGGCAGACACCGTATTTATTCTTTTCTTTTGTTTCACTTTCTTCCCCAGCACCTACTGTTGTAGTCGGCACATTGCAGGTACTCAAAACAATTTTGTGAATGAGGATGTATGTCTTCTTCAGATGGGATCATTCCCTTGACCCCTTTGCAGGACTTGCAAAGATGTTCACCTGTTTACTCAGCCTGCAGCTCTCAACCCCTCATGGAATGGGGAGCACACAGGTGAGTGGGTGCAGGAGCCAAGACGAGTGCTTCTGGGTGCTGGCAGGAGTAGAACTCTCTGTGGCCCCATGGCAGCATCTGGTACCCCTGTGACCCCTGGAGCCCCAGAGGGCATGTGTTACAGTGTGATCTTTTAGCTTTGCCATCCATGGACACCTTAAGTGTTTAACAGCTCAGTGGAGGGTCAGGGTAACAGCTTTTTGCACCTACCCTCTGGGTACCTGAGTTCTGGTCCAGCATCCAGGAAGAATCAGGTTATGTGAACAAATTGAAGGGTGGTAAATGTGGAGGATTTTACTGAGCAGTGGAAGTGGCTCTCAGCGGTATGGGAGCTGTAAAGGGGATGGAGTGGGAAGGTGGTCTTCCCCTGGAGTTTGGCCGTCCTCAGCCGAACTCTTCTCTGTCTCTGAAGTCCTGCCATCAAGCCCTCCCTCTGAAGTCAAGCTGTTTCTCTCCGACACCTGGCTGCTTCTTCTTTTTTCTCCTCTGTGGCTCTGCTTCTGGGGCCTGGGGTTATTATGGGTGCAGGATGTGAGGAGAGGAGAGCCAGGGTGGTTTTGGAAAAGGCAACATTCGGGTGAGAAAACAGGAATGCATGCTCTCACTTTGGGCTGCAGTTTCAGGCTTAAGGGTGTGTCACTTGCTGGGACCACCCTCTTCTACCCAGTATTTCCCTGCCTCCTGTGTGTATCACTCTCAGTTTCACACACCAAAAAGTATATTCCTCCATGCCAGACTGCTGGACACTGGATCCACACCACTCTCTCTCCTCTGAGGATGCTGCTGTCTCCTCCCTCCCTGCAGCTCCAATGTGACATCCTCAAGAGGGTTCTCTTACCACCCTAACAAAAGGAACTGCTTGCCCCCAACACACATGCATACATGCACACTCTTTTCCTGGTTTCTTTTCTCAAATCACCTTGCACTAACTGAAAGTATCAATTAAGATCATCAAGTTCAGTTAGTCCATTTCATAGATGAAACCTGGGCAGGTTAATGTGCATTTACCCACAGATAACAGCTAGTTACTGAAAGAGCAGAAGCATGATTAAAATCTTCCTGCTAGGAGGATCTTCTCCCTCAGCACCCTGAGACCCCTCATTGGCCCTGTGTGTCTTCCTGGAAGGTGAGCTGTGAAGCAGCCCACCCCTGGTCAGCTGTTCCTGGTGGAGCCAAGGCAGGGTAAGGCCCACAGCTTGCTCCCTCCCGGTCCTCCATCCACTCTGGGGAGAGGGCCTGGGCCCAGCCCCCTCACACTCCCTCAGGGATCCTTTTGGCTGCAGCTTCTCCTGCACACTAGCATTTTTTAATTTTTGGCTGGTGGGGGTAGGATTTCTGAGTTCCAGTTTGAAGAGGGAGAATCTGACAGACCTGGCTAAGAACTAACCTCTCTGTCCATGTTAGGGGCACCAATCAATCAAAATGTGAGTTGGTTACCCTTGAGTGAACTGTCCACTCCAGCCTCACTCATCTGCCACTGGGGGTGAGGGTAAGGGCGGAGACAAGAAGAGTCAGGGGTGCATGATTGCCCACCTGCCCTTCAGCAGGGACTGGCTTTGTCTTCCTTTCTTCTGGTCCTTTAGAAATTGCAGAGGAAGAATTCCAGCTCAGATCTGTCCACTCCCTCAGGGTCCCAGACTCACACACTTTTTACCACACCTTCTCCACTCTCATGCCTCCACCCATCCCTGCCTCCTAGAGATCAGGGAAAGGGCCTCTGAGCACTGGCCCAAGATCTCTCAGGTAGGGCCTGTTTTAGAGAAAAAAGGTTGTTTAAAAACATAGCCAAACACAAATAACTCCTGGCGCAGATGATTAGTATTCATTTAGCTCTGCCTAGACTTATAACTCCCAGGGTGTCAAGGAGCAGGACAGTTTACAAGCTTTGGATTCAAACCCATCATTAAGGCCATTATTAATGATGAGTTTGGATTCAAACCCATTGTTAAGTCAAGAAAGGGATGACCAGATAGTAGATATTCCCATTACCTTTATTTCATTACATGAATGTATAAAATTATCACATGTACCCCCAAAATATGTACATCTACTATGTATCAATAAAAAAAGAAGTCATGACCACCTTAGATACCCATATATGTCTTCTGAATCTGGATTGGGAGCAGAGACATCTGTTTCTGCACACCTGGAGCTGCTCTCCTCTCTCTGACCCACTAAGGAAGTGTAGCAGAGCAGTAGTGATAAAAGTGACCTTATTATGCACACTAGGCTGAGTGGGCTCTAAGTTCCTTTATGTGTATGTCTGAAATATATCTTTGTTTTGTTTTGTTTTGTTTTGTTGAGACAGGGTCTTGCTCTGTTGCCCAGGCTGGAGTACAATGGTGCAATCATGGGTCACTGCAGCTTCAACCCCCTGGGCTCAAGGGATCCTGCTGCCTCAGCCACTTGAGTAGTTGGGACTACAGTCATATGACACTGTGCCCAGCTAATTTTTTTTTTTTTTTGTCAATAGCTTATTGGTTTCATTAAAATATTTCCTCTTAGAAGTAATTCAAAACACCCATTTAAAAAACATATTACATTCCTGTTGCGTCCACTTACTATTATTGAAAGAAGAGTCTACATTTGATTATGCACCCAGCTAATTTTTTAAGTTTTTTGTAGATACCAGGTCTTGCCAGGTTGGCTAGGCTGGTCTCAAACTCCTGGGCTCAAGCAATCCTCCCACCTTGGCCTCCCAAAGTGCTATTACTACAGGTGTGAGCCACCCCATCCTGCTTGTAATATTTCATAATTTTAAAAAATTGTTGCTAATCTGGATATTTAAACTATTTTTACTAACTACTCATTTGTGACACAGCTCACGAACTTGATACCTTGCAACCTGGTTGAGAAAGATGCTACAAAGAATTTCTGTGCCCCAAGGACATACATGATATAGCAGGGTTGTATGAAGGCATTTGAGTCCTAACACTCAAACAGTAGGTGCTGGTGAAAAAAAGAGAATAAATACAGTGCCTGCTCTTGGGGAGCACTCTACTGAAGGTGTGAGGTCTAGTGGGAGGTGTCTCCCACCCCCTACCATATGCAATTCAAGTTAAGCAATGCTAAAACCATAAAGTGACAAATAACAAAAATTTACTTGTATGTTAAAAATCAAGTCGCTTCTTGGATGGGCTCTTCTGGCTTTCCTAGATCCATGCTTTGTCTTACTGGTGGGTAAAGTCTAGACCAGTGCTGGTCTAGACTGTAAGCTCCCTGAGGGCAGGACTGGGGATTACAACACCCCATGTGCCTTACAGCTCGCCTCACGCACAGCCTGCCTCTAGTGTGTGCTGCCTCCATCTCTGTGGAATATAGAGGAACTAACTGTTTCTGGGTGTCTGGAATGGATGCTTGAAGGACAATGGGCTGAGAAGCCTCAGAAGTCATTTTTTTCCTCATCTATGGAAGTGCTGAAGGAACCCTAAGGAGGTGGGTCGTTACAGACCTGCTTCCATCTGTAACTCCTGCTCATGGACACATTTGCTGGGCACCTCATCTGGGGATGAGGACAAGGTTGGCTCACCACTGAGCACTGACACAGTTCAGTTTGAGGCAGGACCAGATTTAACATTTTTATCCACCCACCTGCTTTCCTACTATTTGCGGCTTCATATCTTTATGTCTTGAAGGCTGTGATATTGTGATATAATAAGAAATATATATTTGGTCTTCATCCGTGTCCAAGGCACAAGAGCTCCTAAAACCCTTGGAATTTTCTGAGGGATAGGTGTGAGAGGAGTGTCTTTGTTATTTATAATAAGCCCCTTTCAACCATACCTCAGTTTGTGCAAGTGAGGTGACTCTTTGAGGATGGGGGTTGGTTGCAGAAAAACCAACCCTGTGATTAGAGGGTTGGAACTTTCAGCCCTGGACACCATTCCTGCCTCCACCCCACATCTCTGGAGAGGGGCAAGGGGCTGAAGATGGACTTAATCCCAATGACCAAAGATTTAATCAACCATGCCTATGTAACGGAACCTTGGTTAAAAAAAAAAAAAAAAAAAACTAAAGAAAGGGGTTCAAAGAGCTCCAGAGTTGGTGAATGCTGGGAGGGTGGTGCAACCCAACTCCATGAGTACAGAAGTCCTGTGCTTGGAACCTTCTTGGACCTTGCCCTATATGCCTCTTCATCTGACTGCTCATCTGTTTCCTTTATAATTAACCAGTAACAGTAAGGAAAAGTGTTTCCCTGAGTTCTGTGAGCCCTGATAGCAAATTATCAAACCTGAGCAGAAGTCATGGGAACGCATGATTTGTAGCTTAGTTGGTCAGAAGTACTGGAGGCCTGAGACTTGTGACTGTTGTGTGAAGTGGGGACAATGTTGTGGGACTGAGCCCTTAGCCTGTGGGGTCTGTGCTAACTTTGGGTAGTCAGTGTCAGAAATGACTTAAATTGTAAGTCAGCTAGTTGGTGTTCACAGAGAATTAGTGAACTTCTTGATGGGGAAAACTTGTGTGTCTTGTGTTTAAAGTGTTGAGTATAGAAAATAGTTTTCTTTTAAAGGTCTTCGGATTACCTGAGCCTCCTCCTTAAGGGGCAGCCACCTTAAGCTTTTGTTAACCTACTCTTCAGGTACCAGGAGCCTCAGTTAGGCCTAGTAGGAATAAAAGTGGACATAGGATAATATGACAAATAATGTGGCTTGGCTTACCCAAACCCCATTTCCAATTCACTTCCTACTTGCCGCCTTTCCCACAGGGGTGGCCAGGAAACACAGTTTTAACTAATGAGACATAGATGGAGCTCTGCTGTGAGGTTCCTGGGAAATCCTTTGCTTTTCTCATTCAAGCATCACCCTGATTCTTTTATAATTGAGTCCAAAGCTCATACTACTCACCACACAACAGCCAATAAGTAGAGATACAAGGTGTTGGGGCAAGGAAAGCAACTTTTATTGGGAAAGCCAACAAACTGAGAAGATGGTGGACTCGTGTCCTAAAGAACTGTCTTAAGTTAATACAAATTTTAGACTCTTTTTATGTTAGGGGAAGGGAGAAGAGGAAGGGAATTGAGGTCAAGAGATGACTGATGATCACAGACATCTGGGTGGCAGTGAGGGTCCAAGGAGGTTGTGAAACTTCTGTGTTCTTGGTCAAGTCACAGTGCTCCTCTAAATCTTTAACATGGACAGGGATGGTGGCTCATGCCTGTAATCCCAGCACTTGACGGAGGTTGAGGCAGGAGGATCTTTTAAGCCCAGGGATTCAAGACCAGCCAGGGTAACAAAGTGAGACCTAGTATCTACAAAAATAAAAATAAGAACAAAAAATTTGTCAGGCAAGGTGATGCATGCCTGTAGTTCCAGCTACTTGGAAGGCTGAGGTAGGAGGATAACTTGAGCCCAGGAGGTCAAGGCTGTAGTGAGCCGTGAGTTTGCCACTGCACTCCAGCCTGGGAGACAGAGTGAGAAAGACCCTGTCTCAATCTTTAACATACTTGTGCATACACCCTCCGTATCTCCTTGAAGGTTAGCTGGGGAAGGGACTATTATCCTTGCTTTAAAGGTAAACTATAAGCTAAATTCTTCCCACAGTTAGCTTGGCCTATGTGCAGATAAGCAAAGCAGTTAGCCCAAAAGATATCACTCCGCCTGGGGGATGGGGAAATAGCAGCAAACTGGAGTTAGTCATGCTAGGCTTCCTTTTCATGGGTACACTTTCCCTGTTTTTCCTGCTGTGATTAAAAATTTGACATTTACTGCTTCAGCAGCCATCCTAAAATCACGAGGAAATGATCAAAAGAACCCCAGAGGTTTCAGTCCTAACTGCACAGAGCCACTGGATCAGCAGCAGCAGTAATCGCCCACCTCGACTTCCTGTTAAGTTAGAAAAATAAATCTTGATTTGTTTAGATCTTTATAGTATGCTTTGCATTATTTGCAGCCAAAAGCACTATTATGAATACATATAGACCCCTGGGATACAGGAGGGGAGCACTCCCACAGCCATGCTTACCTATAGGGACCTGGGTTCGGATCTGCTGGATAAAGCGCAGGTTCCTGAGTGACTCAGATCCCAACTGCTAGACATGGTTTCTAACTGGAGACTAGGACTCTAAGTCAGGAAACAGGGCAGGATGGTGAGTGTGCTGAATTTCCTGGACGACTGTCACTGTGGGGTTTAGGGAATAGGTGGGCAGAGTGCCCATGGTCCTATCACCAGACTACATTGCAATCCAGCTGTGCTGGTGTATTAGTCCGTTCTCACACTGCTATGAAGAACTACCTGAGACTGGGTAATTTATGAAGAAAAGAGACTTAATTGATTCAAAATTCCTCGGACCTAACAGGAAGCATGACTGCGAAGCCTCAGGAAACTTACAGTCATGGCAAAAGGCAAAGAGGAAGCAAGTACGTCTTAGCATGGCAGAGCAGGAAAGAGAGAGAGGAGGGTAGTGCCACACACTTTTAAACCATCAGATCTCATGAGAACACACTCACTATCATGAGAACAGCAAGGGGGAAATCCGCCCCCATGATCCAATCATCTCCCACCAGGCCCCTCCCCTGACATATGGGGATTACAATTCAACATCAGATTTGAATGGGGACACAGAGCCAAACCATTTCAGCTGGCCTCATAAGGAGTGAAACCAAGAAAACACTGCGGGACCCCCTGGAAGCTGGGCATAGAGAGGGTCACGCTCTACCCAGCTGGGTCACTCAGGAGACTAGGGACTCAGATAGCTCTTTTTCTTCTGAGTTGGGTCTTCTGTCTCTGCCCAGCAGTGGCAATCAGCCTTGTCAAGTCCTCCGTGGAGAATGATGATGGCTTGAGGTGAACAAACACTACAGTGTTGTAGAAATGGAGGAGACAGAGCTGCCGTTGGCATGGGTCCTTGTCATCCCCTCCCCTGCTTCCCCTCCTAGTATCATCCCCTCTCCTGCTACACCGTGTGACCACCCACCCCTCGGGCAATTCCTCCAGCCTCCGTGTGAGGCAAGGAGTTGAAGGTGGAAGCTGGATGAGCTGGGGGTGTGAGAGGTGGAGCGTAAGGTGGGCAGGGACTGTGTCTCATCCAGCTTGGTGTCATCAGCACCTGGAACAGAGTGGGTGGCAAAAGATGTGTGGCTTATGAAGCAACATCGGGACGCTCATGGTCCAGTTTCTGAGCAGTGCGCTGTTTAACAACCAATGTGTCATTTCAAAAAGACTCAAGTTCGTTACTGTCTTTTCTTGAACTCCTTGGAGGGAGATATGTAGACCACAGCAACATTCCTAAAACATCTTGAAAGTGCTGCCTGCCGCTGTGTCTCTGCTTCCTCCCTGCAGCTCATAGGTCCCAGCGTGGATCACACATGTCCATCCAGCAGGTCCTTCCCCTCCTGCCTTCTGGAAAGCTGTCCTGGACCATGGCCCTCTGCCTGCTCCCCCTACCTCACGTCCATGCTGCACACCTCCTCTCTGTACCCAGTGCTCCTGTTAGAACCCACTGTGTGTGTTCTGCTGGTTTCTTTGATTGTCTCTCCCCACCCACCCTGGCCACCACTAAGTTGTCAGTTCCACGTGGATAGGGACAAGCCTTTTATAGCCTAGCATTGTGCCTTGGTACATAGTAAATGCTCCAAAAAAAAAGTTTGTCAAATAGAAGGTATGCTCCTTGCTTTAGGACTTGCTTTTTATTGAAAGAGATAAGCTGTAAAGACATCCTTACAAATAAAATGTGTAATGTGTCGGAAGGGGAGTGAACCTTACAGAGGGGCCCTGAGGAGTGTGAGGAGGAATCCCAGCACAGGAGCTGGACTTGTTCTAGAAGTGACATCCCGGTTTCTCCGTGGAGCCGCAGGATGCACATTCCCTGTGACAGACAGGGCCAGCAGCTGCCCAATGCGCCATCACAACTTTAATGTAAATGTAGCTGTGTTTGTATGAACGAATACACAATTCAGTGGTGTCACATGATGCTGAGAGGGAAAATGGCCTGATGGGACAGCCTGTCTGCAGCTCCATACCAACACATGCCCTCGTGCCATCTTCTCCTCAGTGGAGGTCCAAGGCCTGTTCTTATTAAAAAAAATAAAGGCTGTATGCGGCCGGGCGCAGTGGCTCACGCCTATAATACCAGCACTTTGGGAGGCCGAGGCGGGCGGATCACAAGGTCAGGAGATCGAGACCATCCTGTCTAACACGGTGAAACCCTGTCTCTACTAAACCTACAAAAAAATTAGCCAGGCATGGTGGCGGGCGCCTGTAGTGCCAGCTACTCGGGAGGCTGAGGCAGGAGAATGGCGTGAACCCAGGAGGCGGAGCTTGCTGTGAGCTGAGATCGTGCCACTGCACTCCAGCCTGGGCGACAGAGCAAGACTCCATCTCAAAATAAATAAATAAATAAACAAATAAAGGCTGTATGCAAGCTAAGGAGTGGCCTTCATGTCCCAGATCTGCCTGGCTTTGCCCTTTTTAGCTGTGTGATTTTTTTTTTCTTTTTTTTTTTTTTTAGACTGAGTCTTGCTCTGTCACCAGGCTGGAGTTCAGTGGCTTGATGTTGGCTCACTGCACCCTCCACCTCCCGGGTTCAAGTGATTCTCCTGCCTCAATCTCCTGAGTAGCTGGGACTACAGGGGTACGCCATCATACCCAGCTAATTTTTGTATTTTTAGTAAAGACAGGGTTTCACCATGTTGGCCAGGGTGGTCTTGATCTCCTGAACTCGTGATCTGCCCGCCTCAGCCTCCCAAAGTATTGAGATTACAGGCATGAGCCACCGTGCCCGGCCTAGCTGTGTGATCTTAATTCTCTATGCCTTGGGTCCCTTATCTCTGAAGCGGGGATGGTAATAGCATTGACCTTATGGGGTTATTGCAAACATTAAATGAATGAATATGGGTAAAACAGGTCAGCGCCTGGCCCATCTGAAGACCTGGAAAGTACCAGGTGTTAGCTGTGATTGTACTCTGTGCACAAGCCCTCTGTGGTTTGGAGCATTTGTTATCCTCTCTGAGCCACAGCCACTGCTGTACATGTGTAAACACTCTCTACAGAATTTGGAAAATGCAGCCTGGGTGGCTTCCTGGGAAACATAGATTAGGACTGGATGCCCCAGGGAGGTAAGGTTGACAGGTGTAGCAAAGAAAACTACAGGGAGCCCAGTTACATTTTAATTTCAGATAAATAGCAGATACTTTCTTTGGTATAGATATTTCCCATTCAGTACAGTATTTGGGATATAAACTTGAAAAATTTATCACTGAAATTCAAATTTAACCAGGTGTTCTATATTTACTCTGGCAACCCTGCTGGGAGGGTTTCTTCAAGGCATTGCCTTCTGATCTGGTAGCCTACAGCCTGCCAAAGTGAAGGGGAAGACAGGAGCCAGGGATTAAAACCAATGACCCATCCTGGAGCCTCTAAATCATGCCTTTAAGTCTCGCTACCCTCAGTGGCCCATTGGCCCATCCTGGAGCCTCTAAGTCATGCCTTCTGTGACTTCAGACTTTGCCAGGGCTCTTCAAGGTGTCTGTGCAGCATTGCATGGCTCCAGCAGGCACTGAGAAGAAATCGTATTGACTTGACTGATTGAATGAATGAAGGAATGAATGGGGTTATAGTGGGTCTGAAGCCTGCGGAGTGTGATTGGAGGGACATCAAGAGGCTCCATTCCTCAACATTTGTTAGCCACGCTTCCCCGAGGTCTGCAGACTTTACCATGAGAGAGCCATTCCTCAGAGCTAAGGAATTTGTCCACTGGAGCCTCCATTAAAGTGGAGTAGGCCTGGGAGGGGCCATACTCAGTGCCAGCAGCCCTTCCCACATTGGCAGGCTCTGTGAGTTACACAGGGTGTGTGTAGGTGGGGACACTCAGGGCTCTGCAGTCAGGATGCCTGGATTTGAATCCCAGCTCCATTCACTGAAACAGGCATTGATTCTCCCTATATTTTCTCCATCTCCCATTTCAGTCTGGCAGCCTTGGAAGTTGCTCAAAGGCAGCTGTTCTCCATGCCTTGGTGCAGAACTAAACACATTGAAGAGCTTATGCCAAATGCCATTGAGGGTAATGAGAAAGAGAGAGATAGACGGAAAGAGTGATGTTTCCCCATAATGGGTTGAGAGAGAGTGAGGATCTGGGAACTATCTGGTGAAAGCAAATTGGGGAGAAGCAAGAGCTTAGAGGAGACTTCTGGCTACTTTCTGAAGGTTCCAGGCCCTAGGAGTTGTGTGGGCCTGGAAGGACATCGTGGGCAGGATAACGGGTGTCTCAATAGCAGACAGTATAGACAGATCAACAGCAACGGTAATTGAGTGCTTTGTGCCTGGCACTGTGGTAAACGCCTTACAGGTATTCATCCATGCTTAGAGTAGCCGCTTCTGTTTCCCCGTGAGAAGTTGAGGGGCGGAGAGTTTAACTTCAGAACCACCAGGAGGTCTTCTTTGAAGCCTGGGCTTGCATTAGATCTGGGGTGAGAGATTTTATGGTGACTGAGGGTAAATTTCTCTCAAGCTGGAGGGGATGAAGACTCATACTTGTATTTGAGTCAATTTAAAGAAAAAAAAAAAGAAATGTGATATTTGGTTTGTCACTGAAATCTGGACTCCTTGTACACCTTCATTATGGAGATTTGTTCGTTGGACTCCAATGTGCTCCAGCCTGACCCGCTCAGGCCCCTCCGAGGCAGGAGGATGCGCAGGCATCGGACTGCTCCTTAGGGAGTGGCGGGGAGGGGTTCTGCTCGATTTACCTCTTGGCAGCCATCAGAGCCTCCCTGGGGGAGGAGGGAGCTGGGAGAGAGTGGCAGGGGCTTCACGTGCGAGCGCTAAGTCCGAGCCCTGTGCCCCAAGCTGCCCGGTGCCTGCACAGCCTCCCCGGCTCCTCATAAAGGCTCTGAGTCTAGCACAGTATCTCCAAAGGCCACTAGGGGCAGTGTCAGCCTGCGCTTCCCAGGGCTAGCCCAGTCGTCGGCCTCCGGAGAATCCCCAAGAGGTTCCCAAACAGGCAGATTCTGGTACCAGTGCTGGAGGTTCAGTGGGTCTGGGGCAGAGCCCTAGGAATCTGTATTTTCACAAGCACCTCCAGTCGATTGTGATGGGCAGTCAGGTTTGGGAACCACTGATCCTGGCTTACCTTCTACCCATTTCCGGCATCCTCCGTCGCCTCCTCAGGCCCAGCCCCTGACCACAGCTCATCCAGCCTCAGTTGGAACTCTCCTTGTTGTCGATTGTTCAGAATGCCTGACAGTTCTTTCTTCCACTGAGCCAAAGGCTCGCCTCCCGCTGCTGTCCTCTGACCCACATCCTCCCGCAGTGCTGTGCTGTGCCTGCCTTCGCCAGCATCTCTCCCCTGCCGGGCCCAGCACGGATCACCTCTCCCTACCTGCTGCCCTCGGTGCGGCTTTCCTCCTGGCGGCACAAGGCTCCCGGACGGCCCACCCTGTGCTTGTTCGCTGGACGTGTCTGTTGACGCCTCTGTAAATACACAGCCACGCTGGAGCCTTAACCTCCAAGACGTCTGATGGGGAGAAGAGGCACAGAGCCCCCTTTCTCCCTGGGAAGCTGCTGCCTTTCGTGGGGGACCTATGTAGGTCTAAGAGCTAATCATACTAAAGGGAAAGTTAAGCACAGAATAGTCCTCTCCCCACTGTCACACTAGCCCAATTCCACAACTGTTGTTACTTTTCTTTAAAAAAATTGACCTGGCATGGTGGCTTATGCCTGTAAACCCAGCACTTTGGGAGGCCAAGGTGGGTGGATCACCTGAGGCCAGGAGTTGGAGACCAGCCTGACTAACACAGGGAGTCTCATCTCTATTCTACTAAAAATACAAAAATTAGCTGGGTGTGGTGGTGTGTGCCTGTAATCCCAGCCACTTGGGAGGCTGAGCCACGAGAATCACTTGAACCCAGGAGACAGAGGTTGTAGTGAGCCGAGATGGTACCCCTGCACTCCAGCCTGGGAGATAGAGTTAGACTCTGTCTCGAAAAAAAAAACAATTTACCTTAACATATTTATTCAGTTGCTACTAGGGTATGTATACCGTTTCATATTCTGCCATTTTCATAAAATACTATTTCCCCACATCTCTGCATAGTCTTCCTAATTCCATTATAATGGCTGCATAGTACCACATCCTGTGGCCTGGGTTCAAGTCTCTGTCTTCCACCAGCATGCTGCAGGCACCCTAACATGCCATTGTTCCTCTCCATGAGCTGATCCTGTCCCCATGGGCCTGGCATGCTTGTCCATCATTTTGTTTTATCTTCTAGCCCTTGCACTAGATATAACCATACAGTATCCCTGTCATTTGGGGCATAGATAGGCTAACACTTGCTTTATGGCACTGTCCATAGGGGGCTGCAAAACAGAAGAGCTATTTTAGCTGTTATCTGTTAGACCGCTCTTTGCTAATCACCACTACCATTTATGGAGCTATCATGGGCCAGTCTTAGATTGGGCATTTGGTGCGACTTATCCCAGGCAATTCTGAAAGCAACTCTATGAGATATCCATACACCAGTCCACATTACAGATGAGAAAACTCAGGCTCAGAAAAGTTAAGCAAGTTATCCAAGATTACACAGCATTTACAGGACAGAGAGGGATTCAGGCTCAGGTCTGGGGCACTGCTAAGTTTCTGCTTATGTCGCTCTCTTACATTTCAAGAAATGTAATCCGTCTCACGTGTATTTGAGCCCCTGCAAAATAAGCCTTAATGTAATGGAGTTGTAGCAAACCTTACTGATTTTGTATTTCTCCAACCCAGGCCTAGTGATAGGCTTTTTCTCTCTTATGTTGGTTGAAAAACATGCCCTCTCAACCCACTGTGCAGACTGAGCAATTGATGCATAGGCACAGGAGGCCACTAGGCCAGAGAAAGGTGGGGGATTAGAACTCAGGTCACATAGTGTCAGAGAGCAGATGGAAGGCCAAGAGGAGAAAGGGGTCATCGGGGAGATGCCTGTGGTAGGCAGGTCTGTCTGCAGTTCAGCTCCTGTGAGGTCCTGGCACCAGGGTCAAACCATCTCCCATCTGTACCTTCTCATTCTACCTTTCAGGAATAGCTTTTGCCCAGGCTCTGCAGCCCAACATTGCCCTCGCTGTGGGCCCAGCTCACATAGCCCTCCTGCCTGGCCTCTCCTGACCTTTCCTGCCCCACAGCAATCATGCACTCCTCTGAACTCCTCTGCAATTACAATTTAAATAATTCATTTGGCAATTAATCATATCTTGCCTTGTGACATCTCTTCTGTTCCACGTTGAGCTGTTATTTAGAAGTGCAATTGTTTAACTTCCCATGAGCAGCATATGCTGCCTTGCTAATCTAGTCCAGTTTTTTGTTGTTTCTTTCCTGGCAGTCAATCAAACCAGGGGTAACAATTTGAGGCCCCATTGGTGGGGGGTAGGCAGTGGGCAGAGATCCCCATTCAGGAGGCCATGGAGCAGGCAGCCAAGAGCCCTCTGACAACAGCCTCTTAGAGAGCAAGACTGCCATCACACTCCTCAGCCTCCTTTTCTCCTGATTCCCCCAGTTATGAAACAGCTCTGGATACAAACAATCTCAGGAATTTTCCATGCATTTGTACAGTCTCCTTGACTGGATTAGATTTCCTGTGGGCAAGGACCATTCATTCTATTTTCAGTGAGGCTGCCTAACATGATGTGGCAAATCCTGAAATGAGGGAGAGAAGCCTGAGAATTGAGTCCCAGCTCTGCCACTTACTACCCATCAGCCCAAGTAAGTCATTTTACTTCTCTCAGCCTCAGTTTTCTCATTTCTAAAAAGGGGGAAAATACCCATCTCATGAAAGTGTTAAGAGAATCATGGAACAAGTGCTTATATTCACACTGTATATGTACTCTAAGCAGCTTGCACACATCAACTCCTTTAATACTCATATTCACTCAAAGTAGATTCTATTATTATTTCCATTATACACAAAAAGATTAACAAGTGAGGAGCAAAATAAGTGGGGGTGTGTTCTTTAGGGGATACAAGGAAGGCCTGCCAAGAACAATGGCGAGGGACGAGTTTCACGCCTGTTGGGTGTCTGGGTGTCAGTGGGGGGAGATGGGTGGAAGGAGAGGTAGATGGAAGCAGGCACTGGGCAGGGTGTGGCCCTTGAATGTTCCCAGGAGTTTCCAGGCTTTAGGCCTGAGATACAGAGGGGAGAATGGGAGTTGGGATGGTTCCAGGCTTCAGTGAATTCCAAGATCAATGTATTTGCTTGAGGTGAACTTGACCTGGGAGGAGAGGAGTAACCCCAAGGCAGTCACAGATGTCTCTGGAGAGTGAAAATGAGAAAAACGTGTCCAGAGGGTTTTATCCATCCCCATCCCTCCTAAAGGTGAGGGCTAGAAGTTATTTTACTGTAACTCAAGCCTGGGGAGGAATCATAAGTCTTTTAGCACCATGAGTGTGGGAGCTGCACTAACAAGAAGTCTTCTTTTCCCTGTAAAAGATCCCATTGTTTGTAGATGGTCTCAGGGAACATAGCCCAGCTGGAGGGCCTCTTCTCCGGCCCTGACACTAGTCCGGCCCTGACAGTAGTCCTCCTCTCAGGATCGGTAGTGCCTCCTTCTCCCCTCCCAAATGCAGCAACCTAGCTAGAAAAACAGACAGGGACTGATACAGCACACCAGGTGCTGGCCAGGAGCAGATGGGATCTCAGGAGAGGAAGACAACGGGTTAAATGGAAGAGGGGAGGGAGAGGGTCTGGGGGAGGCTGTCCATTGACCAAGGACATGGCCAAGTGTAGGCTCAAGAATTCTGGACCTCTAGCGGGGTGCAATGGCACCTACCTGCAATCCCAGCTACTTGGGATTGCTTCAGTCCACTAGTCTGAGACCAGCCCGGGTGAGACCCTGTCTCGGGAAAAAAAAAAAAATTGTGGACCAAAAAGGGCTTGGAAACAATTGGATAGACTAGGAAAGCTGTTTCTGACCCCTGCATCTTTGGGGTTCAGCATGGTAGCCACTAACCACAGGCGGCTTTAAGTACCTGAAATGGGACTTTTCCTGAGATGTGCTGTAAGTGTAAAATGCACACCAGATTTCAAAAACCTGGTATGAGCCAACAGAATGTAAAATATCTCATTATTAATTTTTAAATATTGATTACATATTGAAGTCATATTTAGGATAATACTGGGTTAGGTAAACATTATTATTAAAAATCCCTTTTACCCGTTTTTTGAAGTGTTTTTCCTGCTTACTAGAAACTAAAACTACGAACATGGCTCGCATTATATTTTTATTGGGCAGGGCTGCTCAGCCCTTTTGGTGCCCAGATGGTTACAGGCTGAGGGGAAAGCATTCTGTTGTAGACTCTACCCCATCCCCCAGCCTTCTGAGTGGGGTCACAGGAATCCCAGGACCCCTAGAACATGGCCTTGACCTACAGGGGGAGAACAGTGGGAGAGAAACAGGGAATAAGTGAGGGAAATGAGGCCAAAAAGGATGATTCTGGTTCTTGAGTCTACCTGGTTGGTTAGTGGCAGAATCTAAAGCACTATTGTAGAAACTATGGGGCTAAAGGGATGAGGGAAATACAGCCGCTCGTCTTCTGGGGGCTCACAGTCAAGTGAAAGTGGGTGAAACTGAGGCATCTTAAATGAGCATCTGTAGGAAGTGATCAAAAAGCACTGCCATACAGCCTGGGGGTCCTCATTGATGAAGAAGCCTCTCAACCTGAAGGCAGCGTCTGGAGAGAGCCAGGATGCTGGAATCAGAGGGAAAGAAGAGAAGAGGGACTCAACATTTGTTCAGAGCCCCTTTTATTCATTTAAGCCTCAGAAGATAATCATGTTTGGTGCTACTGCCCCCAATTGTGGATGAGGAAAACTGAGGCTTAGACAGCCAAAGTACCTTGTTCAGGGTCAAGAGCCACTACCTCCCAGAAGATGAGCTGTTTGAGGGGCTCTGCTACTTGCTAACTGTGTGGCTTTAGGAAACGTGCAGGACTTCTCTGAGCCTGTCTCCACCTCTCAACAGGCTATTATGAAGACTAGATGAGATGATAATTGGGAAATGCTTCATAAATGGGAACTGTAATGCCTTCGTATCCAGCTCACAGGAGATGCTCAACATGCTGACTATTCCCAAATGTAGATCTCTAGCCTGCACATTTTCACTTGGATGTTTAACAGGCATCTTCTTAAACTCAATGCACCCAGAATTAAACTCCTGATATTCCCCTCCAAATCTGCTCCACATTCTAAGTTGCCAAATCCTTAGAAATATGTTTGAGTCTTCTTCTTTAGTGTACCTCTATATCTAAGCCACCAACAAATCTTATTGGCTCCTACTTTCAAAATATATCCAGAATCCAAGTGCCACTACCATCGTGGTCTGAGCTGCCATCCACTCTCCCCTGGCCCTCTGGGCAAGCCTCCCAATTCCTCTTCCTGCTCCCACCCTTGCCCCTGTACAGTCAATACTCCACTCAGCAGCCAGAGTAACCTTTTTAAACATAGGTCAGATCACAAGCCTCCTTAAACAATCCGGTGGCCCCCACTGCACTCAGAGTAACAGCCAAAGTCATTGTGTCAGCCCACAGGCCTGCATAATCTGGCCTCTCACCTCCTCCCCTCCCTTCCCTCCTGCCACTGTGCTGCCCTCACTCAGCTTCAGGCCCCACCCTTGTTGCTCCTCACTATGGTGGCTCCCACCTGCCACAGGGCCTTTGCACTTGCTGCTCATGCTTCCTGGGCTGCTCTGCCCCCAGATGCCTGCATGGCTTGGCTTGAGCTTTCACCTCCTTTACCCTCACTCCCTCACCCCAGGACTCCCTATCCTCTGTCTGCTTTATTTTCCTTCAGAAAACTTAAAACTGCCAATATATTATGTTACTTATTTGTTTTCCCCCTCTGCAATTCCTCTACTCCCCCATAATACTTAAGAATTTTGTCTGTGTCTCTGATTTTTAGAACAATGTCTAGATACAATAGGCTTTTTGAAAATGCTTGGTGAATAAATGAATGAATGTGGAATGATTGACCGGGCCACCCTACCTCCACCACCACTCCAGACTTGTTAGGAGGGTAAAAGAAGACACTGCAGTCCTAGGAAGGGGGTGGGCTACAGTGGAAACTCAGCACTTTGTCACTTAAACCTTGAGGCCTTTTCATCTCATTCTTTATCATGAAAACACATCTCTCGCCTTCCAGCACAGTCTGTTCAAAATCAGTAAAACACAGCCTGTTTCTTGCTCTCTGTAAAAGCCCCATTGCTTTGCCATGTCTCCCTTGAGGCAGGACAGGTCTGCACCCTTGGTTGAGGCTGGAAACTCAGCAGACCAGGGATGTTTTCCTGTTTCATTTGGAGCAGGGAGCAGAGGTGTCTGCCCTCAGGAAGGGGCCATCGGAGCTACTGTATCTGAATGGGAGGGCTCTGGAGAAGATGGCTCGGGAAAGGCAGCAGAGGCGGCTGCTCACAGTCCTCACAGGACAGCTCAGGAAGAAAGATGCTGGCAGGTGGGACAGAGGGACGTCGAGGTATCTCCCTCAGACAGGTAAGGCAGCAATAAATTGGGACCATCTGTGTCATTATTAGACATTCTAAGTAGAGCTAGGATCCCAGAACAAAGAAAACAGCCCTTCAAAGGGAGCGGGGGGGAAGAGAGAGAGAAAAAAAAGCAAACCACAAACACAACAGCCAGCGATCTGCTCTCACACACACACCCCTCACCTAATCATAAAAACATATTCCAAACAGGTTCCACAGCTGTCCTTGGGAGGGGTATTTGAAATACATATCCCTGATACATCCCTGAAATGTTAACTGTCAGATCTCTCAGGAAATGGCTCTGCCTAAACAGACTTTCCTGGACTTCCATTTCATGAATGTTGAAAACAGAATTTTTATGAGACAAAGCCAAACAGAACCGGTGACAATTGTTCTTGAAATTACTTTCCTGGTCTCTTCCCCAGTATCCTCCCTCCCCCACACCATCATCCCCACACCAGCCATGCCTCCCTCACTCCCCAGAGACCACTCATGTCACTTGTGGAGGCTCAGACGTTGTTGTTTTTATTATGTGGTGCCAGGCATATAAGGAGAGGCAAGTGTATGTGGGGACAGGCTCAACCTTGGGGATAGCAGCAAAATATAGACGTTTGAGCCCAAAGATCTGTGATTGCGAAGGCCTAGTGCTTCCAGGGCTGGTGAGCTTGTCACTCAACCTTTCTGGCCTCAGTCTTGTCATCTGCATGATGGGACTAATGGTGATCCCTGCCCATGGTTGTGGTGAGGATTTGAGGAGATAATGGATGTAAATAGGTAGCGTGTCATTAGATCCTTGAGGAGGGCTTTGAGGACCCTTTTCTTACTGAGCCTGGAGGCAACCACAGAAGGCTTCCCTGCCAGCTTCTTGTACCTGAGCCACATTGCCCTAGGATCACTGCTATTCTCGTCTTTAAAATGTTTTATTTCTCCCAACTTCTTGACAAAAAAAAAGAGGTGGGCTCGATAAGAAAGAAGAGAGAAGGGAATGAAATGAAGGAGTTTGGTGCAGTTGACAGGGAAGAAAGAGACAGAAAACAGACATGTGTCAAGAGGTTTCTCTGTGTGAGACACTGAGTGAGACACTTTATGAAATTTCAGCCAGCTCTCCCAACCTCCCTGCAGGAGGTGGGTGCTCTTAGCCTATATTATAGAAGGGAAGCCAAGGCTCAGAGTTGAAAGAATTTGCCTAGAATTATGGAGCTGGGATTGAATCCAGACCTATCTCCTCTTGGCCCTTCTGTTGTATCTGCACTGGAAGGTCAACACATTTGGGCTCTAGTCCCTCCTCTTCCACTGATTTGCTGCGTTAGCTCAGGCTAATTATCTCATGTCTCTGGGCTTTTGTCCTGTCACCTGTAAAATGAGCAGTATGGACCAGAGAATCCCAGTAATAAGGCTTAATCATGGGGTAGATTGTGTTATTGTCAAGATATTTGAAGAAAAATTATACCTCCTGTCCTACCGACAGCAGGCTGGCCTGTGTGACTTGCTTTAGCTGATACAATGTAAATGGAAGTGACATGGACTTGGTTCAAGCAGAAGCTTGAGGATCCATCACATGGCTCTGCCATTGGTTCTTCCTCCATCAGGTGAGACTTCTCAGTTCTGGGATGAAGAGGATGTGGAACAGGCCTTGCCAACCTGCCATGCACATGAATATGAGCAAGAAATAGCTCTTGGCTATTGTAAGCCACTAAGATTTGGGATCATTTGTTACCATTGCTGAACTTAGCTTAAGTTGACTGAAACAAGGATTATGTGAGAAAAAGGGAAGGAGGACAGGAAGGATTATGCCCTAAGGAATGAGCCACCTGGGAAGAAAATGGCTCATTGAGCTACCTGAATACCTAAAGCCCTATCAATCTTCCAGAACATGATGCCCAAAGAATGCAGGCAGATTGAGAGCACAGGGGGAGTCGGGGGAACCCAGAGGCTGGTGGTGGTGGTGAGGGGCACTAACATCTCAGGATAAAGGAGCACTTTGGCAAGAAGTTTGGGAGTCAGCCGATCACGCATGAGAAGAGTATGGAGAGAAATACGGGATATAAGTACTTATGAAGATTTTGCAAGATGTTTCTTTTGTTTCTAAAATAAAACAATTTTGTAGGGTAGGAGAGACTCTTAAAGCTCTTTTAGGACAGCCCTCTTCATTGACAGGTAAGAGAATTGAGGCTTTGAGAAGCTGGACACCTTATTGAAGGTAGCACTGCAAGTTAGCATCAGGGTTGGGACTTGGGCCCAGGCTTAAGGAAGGCTAGTTTTAGTTGCACCTTTTTGTTTCCCTTTAGTGATAACAGTAAAGCCTTTTTAGAAGAAAGGGCAGGTTGTTTGATTTGAAGGACAGCAAGCAAGGTGGGCGCTGGGGCCTTCTAGGGAAGGAAAGCAGGTGAAGTTCCCCGAGTCAAGGGAAGACAGGCAAGGGAGACAGGCACCTGGTAATGGTGGGCAAGTGAGCCTGAGGGTTTAGCCAGAGGCGTGGGCTTCCTGGTAAGAGAAAGGAGGCTACCAGTACACAGCAATTCAGCTTTTTCTGTTGAGGGCCTCACGTGCACAGGCTTTGTGTTTCCCACTTGCCGTACTTTATCTCACGCCAGTCTTACGACACAAGCATTCTAAGTCACATTTAGCATATGAGTCAATAGAGGATCAGGAAAGTTAAACATTTGCCAAGATCTCACAGTTGCTCAGCGGCAGAGCTGGGATTTGAACCCACGTCAGTGTGACTCCAAAGTTCCTGCTAAGGGAAGGAAACAGTTGCTAAGGTGTAAGCAGAGGAAACAGTTGCTTAGGGCCAGGACTCCTAGGCCCCAGTAGCCCTGACTCAGTGTGGTTGCCAGAGCTTTCTGCCAGCAGTTTCCCAGGCGAGGGCCCCTGGAGCTCACAAGCCCATGGCCAGGCCTGCTTGGGAACCCTTTGTCACATTAGCTTGCATTGCCAACTCTCCCCAGCAGTGCCCTCCCCACTTGCACCAGCCAAGGAATGAGTCAAGGTTGCCAATGTGTTCTTGGCTGCCTGGAAGCATCCATGTGGATTTCGGCATCTCCTGGGCCACCTTCTCGTGACGAACACCAGCCTGCAGATCACCGCTATAAGAGTTCTAGAGGGAGGGCTTGGGCGGAGGGAGGGCTCCACAGGACCTGGCTGTGGGCCAAATGCTCGTTTGTGGCTGGGCATTTCCTCCCAACAAATAAACAGACAATCATTATTTTTCTCTGGCCAAATGGAAGCTGGCCTCAGCGTGCGCAGCACAAGAGCAATAATAGGGGCTTATCGACAGACAGGGAGCGCTTAATAGGCCACAGACCGATGAGGATCGAGATGGATGGAGGCTGCGCTATCGATCGCCAGAACCCCTCCGGCTCTCCCAGAGGGACTCCCTGCCCCCTGTTCTCTCTCGTGGGCACGCGATTAGCTGGACTGTGGGGAGGGCTGTGCCCTTCTACCCAAATTCCAAGGGGAAGGAGCATATTTGTAATTGGGAGAAACATAACAGACTATCAAAAGTACATGACCTCAGCTACAAAACTTGGGTACATAAGCCATGGTTCTATTTTCCTTCTACACCAGTGCAAAAATAGCAGATTTTTCATCAAGATAGAAAGCAAGACTACCATAAAAGTAGTCCCCCTATTCTTATCCCTTTATAGCCAGAGTCAAATAGTGGGAAGGAAATTCCCTCTGGTCAGGTTGAGCTCAGGGTCCTTGAAGCCCCTATTACCAGAAGCTGGGGCAAAAGAAGAGAGGTAACCACTGGCCGCACCCGTCTGTGGCCTGTGGCCTGTGGCCTGTGGCCAGAGCACGGAATGACAATGCACCAGGAACAGAGGCCAGCCCAGCCCTGTGGATCTAGGTCCACCGGACCCCTGAGGGTCAGTGACAGCCTTAAAGTTGTGGGAGACGTATGAGTGATCCATAGCATTGATGAGATTGGCAGAGGAGTGGGCACACATGAAGTACCTGGATCTTGTGCACCATCCCCCCTTTCCTGGTGTGGACGTGGGGGGCTCCTTTTTGTGCTTGTCAGCACAGCTGTGAGAAGAGGTCCCTGCATCTCACTTGCCCTCACCTTCTTTCGGCCTCCAGTGCCAGTGAGCAGCCCCATGCCCTGTTTCTTGAATGCAGGAGCACGTTGTGCTGAACTGATAAGCCTGCAGAGCCCACCAGGCCCTGACCTCCAGCCCCTCCTGGGGAGGCAACTCTAGCCCCACTCATTCACAATACCCATCACATGTAAAGGGACTGGCCTTGCAAGAGCAGCTCCTCCCTGCCAGTGTGACCTCATCTAGAGTGCATCAGGATGCCCCATGAGCGGCCCAGGCCTCATTGTCACTGTGGACAGGATGGGCAGGGTGGCCTGCAGGTAGTGCTCCTGCCTAAGGAACTGCCTAGTGGCTTTGATGATGCTGAGGATTAATTGGTCTCCACTCAGGCCTCCTTGAGGGAATCACAAGCCGGGTTTTAGCAGGGCTTTCTGGAGTCTTCAGAAGAGAGTCACTGGATAATTGGGGGGTGCCTAGAAATGGTCCCAGGGTGAAGTGAAGAAGCTGGAATTAGCCTGAAGATGGGGAGGTGGCAGGGTGCTGAATAGATGAGGGTTTTCCAGAGTATGGATGGCTGCCATTGGCCAGAAGCATCTTCTGCCAGGAAAGCCTTGAGTTTGACAATAAACTTTGGAAGCCAGGGATTCCTGAGGGAGATGTTTGCTTCTAGGTGGGGTCAATGAGGTGACTTGCTGTCACCCTTTGGGAGCCACCTTTACCTAGGTGAGAGCACCATTGCACTAGAACTATGCGTGTGCGGGCCTGGTGGCCTGGGGCATAGACAGGATAACCTCTCAAGGCTTCTGTCAGTCTACGAGTGAGCTTTCCTGCTCGGCTCAGGGGTCAGGTGGCAGCTGCGGGAGTGGTCCCTGGTAACAGATATGAGGGTTGCCACACAGTATGGGGTCAGCGTGTGGCAGCTGCAGGAGCTGGGAAAGCCAGAAAGACAAGCCCAGGGCCTTTCCCAGGGAGAATAGGAGGAATCAGGCCAAAGCATGAAGCTAGGCACATGCTGCACAACATCTCCAGCTGAACTGAGGATCCAGAGACAGGAAGCCAGGCTAATTAGGGGGCCAGGATGTGCCGGGATTGGAGCTGACTGTAGAAGAGGCTAGTTTTGCTGAAGGCCTCCTGGGGGTAGCAGGATAAAGTAGAGGAACGAGCCCAACCTTAGGAGCTGGGAGGCCTGAGCTCTCACCCAGCCCAGCCACTTCATAGTTCCGTGGCTCTGGGCATGCTACTTCTCCTTCGTGAGCCTCAGTTTCTTAGCTACAAAGTAAGGAGAAATACTATATTGTTGAGGGGAATGTAAAGCCTATAGCACCGTGTCCGTTATTCAGGAAGCACTCAACAGAGGACAAGATGCTGAGGTCAAGACACCCTCTCTTCCATCACGGTCTTCTCTGACCTCAAACATACCACTTCCCAGTGTACTGGGTCAGCGCCTGCATCCAGATGTCCCTGGTGCAGAAGCAGATTGGCTGGGCCATCACACACCCAGAGGGAGCCGTGAGGCCAGAAAGGTAGACGGGAAAGGTACTCTGGTGCTAACTTGAGTTGGGTAGATGTGGGAAAGGAGACCTGACTCACAGCATCTGAGTTGGTGGAATAAAGCGATGCTGTATTAGCGACCCAAGTCTGGCCTTGTGCTGGGATTTTTTTTTCCCCTGATGAAGGAAATGTTTATTAGATTTAGATCTATCCAGCTGGACTCTGTTAGCTAATCCTGATTTTGTTGTCAGCACTCACAGTGCCACCATCTAACATGTGTCTCCTCTCCATCAAGCCTGGGTGGGGTGGGATCCCCTCCGGAGTGGTGTGTGAGCCTCCCCAGAGCTTACCCAGCTGGGCGCCTGTTCCCTGATGAGAACCCACGTGGCATTGACCTGTCTTCTTTATGGTTCACTCTGTGGCTGGTGGCATTGGATTTGCATCAAGGTGGTCTCGAGGATGGTCTTCTGAAAGTTCTTAGGGTGTCTTGGGTCCTGGAAGATGGGTGACATATGGATCTATTTCTTTCTTATGGTTATAGGCCCTTTCAGCACAACCTCTGTGGCCTTCAAAGCTTTTGCCTTGGTTTCAGTTTTGGGAAGGGCTAGGGCTTCCTTCTTGCTTTGAGCACCATATTGACAGAAAGGAGTGTCTGAGTCTATCTGACAGCCTGGTATAGCAGCGCCATCCCGAGCTGGTCTTCATTAGAGACAATGTATTGGCAAAGACTGAAGGGGCTTCCATGGAAACAGGAGAGGAAAGGAAAAGACTTCACGATACTGTCTGAGACCCTGTTCCCCTGGCCCAGTCCTGCACCTAAGGCAATAGAAGGGAGTCTGCAGTGGAAAAAGAAGTCGCTGTTTTCCTGGAGCCTCCGTGAAGAGGAGGCAAAAGCATCCTCAAAGACAAACTACATCACTTCACAGCAGTGGTCAATAAGGCACCATGCTCCACTGGCTTCAATTCGTCGACAATGGAGGGACATGTGGGAGAGCATGAGAAGGCACTGCACAAGCTCCTGTGAGACTTCGCAGGGGTCTCCAAAATACATCTACGAAAGACCTTGTGAAAGAAAGGGGCTGAGGAGGCTGCAAGTGCAGGCAGAGCCCCAGCCAGTGAACCCCAGATGATTGCAGGGAATGCTGCTCCACTGGTGCCACTGGCTTGTGAGTGCTGGGGATCTCCAAGAATCATGTCACATTAGGGTCCTCTCTCTGTTTCACATCTAAAGACAAAATGAGGCCCAGTGGCCACTCCAGGGAAGAAGCCAATTCATGAATTTCTTTTTAGTCTACACTAGATAAGTTCATTAACTGGCCACTTGTTCTACTTGTAGGCTGTGCTTCAATCCCTGCCATTAATTGTCATGAATAAGTCATAAAGGTTGACCTTCACAATTCTGATAGTTTATCCCAGGGAACCAAGCCACAGACAACACTTAGATTTGTAGACTCTTGCGAGTTAGACCAACAGGTCTCCTTGCCACTATCCAGGGTCCTTCTAATGGCTCTTTGCCTGGACTTTGTCAGCACTAGAGTCTTTGCCCCATCTTTTTGTCTGTTCCAAATTGCACCAGTAGTATGCTCCATCTAGAGTGATTTTCTGGCCAGACATCCCCCTACCAACCTCTTACCAAAACCTGAGATCTAGTATATGATTCAAGAAACTGACAAAGAGGCCCAGAGGCTGGTCAAGGCTTAGTCATCCTGCCTGATGCCCAGTTCCCGCCTAGACTCTTGCCCTCATTCCTGGAATCCACCTGGAATCCTTGGCAGGTGATCTGCTCTGATGTGCATCAGGTTTCTCTGATAGGGAATTGCAGGCTGCTGGTGTCTTCAGGAACAACCAGTCATGTCAGGCATCAACATAACCACACGCTGAACATTTAAACTTTAGGGACCAAATTACAAGTAAAAGAATAATTAGCACATTTCTAATTGCTCTTTCTAACTGTGAACAACAGGCACAGACATAAAGTGCTTGTACCAAACATGTAAGCCTCACTCTGAAACAGGAGAGGGGAGTCTTCTCCCTCCAGGAGCCGGCAGAGCACCCCATGTTTATAAGTCAAGTCAGGCAAAAAGGAAAGAGCTGTGACCAAATCTAACCGACTTAACATTTCCAGCATGTCTCTCTTTGTGGTTATTTTCTTATCAAAGATTTATATCTGTCTCATAAGTATCTTTAAATCCTTGGTCTCTTGTGAGGCCTAAAGCCAGGAATTGACATTCTTTAATGTAAATAGGAAATATTACAGAATGAGTTGAGGTCGGTTTTTAAAAAAATTGCTTTCTTGACTTCTAACCCTGCAGTCTTGCTGACGATTTAATTCTACTTGCAGTTGCTCAGGAACAAGCCTGTGATTTCTTCACTGTGACACTGGGATTTAAACACAAACCATCCACCACTCCAAATAGTGGCTCAGGTTGGGTCTGCCAATGACAAGTCACAAAGCAGACCTCAGAGATACTAGGGGGATGGAAGATGGGTCAGTGACAGTCACATGGGTGCGAGGAGTCCCCGGGGAGCCTGAAAATGAAACCTATTCACAACTCTAGTTTCTTGGTCTTTCCCAGGGAAAGCATTAGTAATGGGTATTGGGTCCCCGGGCCAGTCCCTAGGCACATATTAAATCCACAGTGTCTTCAGGCTAGTTCTGCTGCAGCTCTATATATTGAACAGTGACACTGTGCTATTTTAGAAACATTACCTCTCCTGATGCTCACTAGCCCCTAGCAATAAGGCAGACACTGAGGCATAGGGAGGCTGAGAGTCTGACTGAGGTCACGGAGCTCTACCCATGAGGACAACTCTGGGAGTTTTATCTGGAGAACAGGGCCCAGCCCATGCCCTGGCTTTCACACCTGTGGTGTGGTGCTGGATTCCAGGGGGTAGAGACTGAGTGTTGGGTGGATGTGTGGAAGAGGTGGGGGGCTGAAGGGAGGAGGGGGATGAGGGGAGAGGGGACTATGGAAATGGGATGGAGAGAGGGGAAGTGAGGGCCGTTTACCTCCCTGTTCTCTTTAGTTTTTCCCTCCTTATCTCACGCTTCCTTGTCCCTTCTCTCTCCCTTTCTCTCTGGCTTCCTCCCCGTCCTGCAGTTGCCGACCCTGCCTTCTGGGAGGCCAGGAGATGGAAAGGCAGTAGAGAGGGAGGCATCTGGCATGAGTGAGGAGGGCCCCCAGAATGGTGGTGGCCCGCTACCACCAGATCACAGGGGACCATCCAGAATGTGCAGACTGTGGGGCCCAGGCCTGGAGTGGCAGCTGCTAGAAACTCATAGCAAACCTTTTAGGCTGATGAGACAGATAAAGAGAGTGTGTGTGTGTGTGTGTGTGTGTCTACAGGCATAATCAGCTCCATCATAGACAAGCTCACCCAAAGTTACCTTAAATATGGAGCTCTCCTGGCACATTTAAAACATCACTCACACAGTAGACATTCAATTTATACACCTATTTACAGACAGACTGCACAAAGTGAGAAACACCAACAGACAAGAGAACTGAAGAAATAACATCTGTTTCTTTGCTTTTCTGGGAATTCCCTCCCCATCACTCCCTTTTCTCTTCAGGCTCCATTTTTCCAAATAGTAAGGGATTCAGATTTCTATGCCTCTCTGGAGTATTGCCTGTAGACTCCGAGCCCCCGCCGAGGGCACGGGCTGTGTCTGTCTTTACACTGTCCATCCAGTGTCCGGGACATTGCCCAGCCTTGAGTAGGAGCTTAGGAAATAGTTAATGAAGACTGAAATCATTTCCCTTCCACCATGCCTTGTCTTCTTCCCTCCCTGCCCCTGACCCCAGTCCCTCAGTCCCCCAGTTCCCCAGTTGCCCATTTCCCCAGTCCACTTGTCCCCCTGTCCCCCAGCCTTTCATCCTGCAAGCTCCCACACCATGATTCTATCATTTGTCTTTTGTCTTCTGGGTTCATGCTCTCAGGCTCCACAATACAACTGTGAAGTACAGCGGCCTTTGGGGATACAGAGGGGGAGGAGGACAGAGAAAGGTGGGGCCCTTCTGTTTCTTCTCAGTGTCCAGGGCGCTTTGGGCTCCAGGTGGGCCTCAGGAGCTGGTATCTGGGAGCTTGGAGGGCTACTGAGAGGAGAGACTATTTCTGGATCACAGCAGAGAGAGCTCCTGAGGCTGGTTGGGAGGGTATTTATAGAGCCAACCTTGGAGAGCAGGGATGCTCATATCCCTGGAACCTGCCCCCGCGTAGAAGTTTCTAAAGATAGATCAGTGTGGCATCTGGTATGAGACAAGGTACACTAATTCCTTTTAAATCCACCACCAAGAACTTTCTTCTAATAAATGCCAGCCTATTTTCTCAGGGCTACTTCTTCCTTCTCCCCTCAACATCCCGCCCTGTCCTGTCAGTAGTCTTGGTTACTGGTGGGTAACAAGGGGCACTGAGGGAGCAAGCCAGGGAGCGACTTGCTTAAGGTGACCCAGCCTGTCTGTGAAGGCCCCCAACCAAGGGCTAGAATCAGCAGCAGGTGGAAGAAGGGGAAGGCAACTCACATTTTTGAAAGCCTGTCATATGCCAGCACAGTGCTAGGTGACTTATGCACTGTGTCATTTAATCCTTGCACCACCTCTGTGAGGCTGGTGGTATAATGCCCATTTTACAAATGAAGAAATGAAGACTCAGTGACTTGCCTAAGACTGCTCTAAACTGATGGAGTAAAGATGCTACTCACCCAACTCAGCCTAAGGGACTGGGAGAAAAGTAGGTGTATAGTGGTATTTATTCCCAAATTTCAGATATGCATTTAGATTCATTATCCAAAAAGCTAATGGGTTTTAAGATATTTGGTGCCTGCTATGTTACTGCTTTTCTCTCTCCCCTTTTGCCGTGAAATGAGAACAGTTTCTACAAATCAGGTCTAGGGGCACAGCTTCTCAGGTGTGGGGACAGATTCATTTCTTACCCCAAATGCAGCCCCTTCTTAGCTGTCCTATGAAATGCCCCTCCCACTACTTATCCATCACCTTGGCTGAATGAGGAATTAAATGAATGGGAGGGTACTTGTTGAGCACCTATCATGTGCTGGCTGCTATCTCTATCTCATGAGTCAACACATTGTTCTATCTCATCTTACCACTATGGCAACCCCATGAGATCAGTGTTTTCTCTTCTGTTCGCAGATGAAACTTGGGCTTGGAGAATGAAGTAAGTTGCTCAGTGCCCCACCGATAGTAAGATCAAGCTGAGATCCCACCCTCTGGAACGTGTGTGCATAGAGCACCTATTGACTTCCTTGCTCCAGCTGCATCTGGACGCAGTGATCAAATCCAGTGGCAGCCTGTTTGGTCTGGTGTTTTCGCTGCTTCTCTATCAACTGCTCCACATCCGATGCCTCACCTGTGCAGTGGGTAATGGGATTTGATGGTTAAGGTGACCACAGCTCAGCCAAGCCACAGGCCATTCACCCCTATCCCACAGCACATGCTGCTTCTGGCTTAGGTTTGTAGGGGCATCATGGTCCTCAGTGTTTGAACGTGAATGGGGTGGCCAGGGCTGCTGGAGGCCTACTCCTCTCTAAGCCTGCAGAACTCCTCTGGAGGCCTTGGCAACTCTAGCTCCAGGCCCTGATGGGCAGACCTTGGCACTTTTCCTGGGAAGGCAGGAGCAGGAGATCAGCGTGACAGAACTGGCTCATGAGAAAGGGAACTCATAGTCTGCAGTATCCCAGCTGAGAACGTTCCAACCTGTCCTTTCTGATAAATTTAGCTCTATTCACCTGTAAGGGCCTATCTGAGTCCTCCTTCTTCTGGAAAACTCATTTCTTTTTCTCAACCTACCATTGCACGTGTTGTGTGCTCTACACACTTTGGAAGTACAATGAACTTTAGAGTATGCAGTCCAACCTCCTAGCCAATTCTGGAATCCCTTCTTCATCTTCTCCACTGTATTCATCCTCTGCTTGATTCCCTACCTTTTAAAGTAGCCCATTCCTTGATGAGATAGCTCTAAGCAATCAAAATTTTTTCCTCTCTTTGAGCAGAAATATGCCTCTGGACTTGGTTCATGAGAAGTCTTCAGATCTTTAAAGAGAACCACTGGGGCCCCTTGGGGGTCTCCCCTTCTCCAAGAAAAACCTGAGGAACCTCAAGTAACATGGTCTCCAGACTTTCAACACCCCCTGAGAATAGCTTCTTCATGTCCCTGTAAGTGGTTCCCAGACCTTAGTATAAATCACAATCGACTGGGGTGCTTGGTAAAAATACTGATTTTGGGGGCCTCATCCTGGAGGGAGGTGGGGAACATGTGTACTTTTTCAGCAAGTGGAGAAAGCAAACCCCAAACAGTGTGTTTCCTAAATGCTGTGCCTTCAGAAGACAGTGCCAAATGGGGCTATTTGCAGTTGTATTGGGGAATGTATATTCAAAAGGTTTAAATGACATCATTTGAGCAGTAACTCATAGAACACTAGGATAGTCTCCATTACCCTTGAAAAAATGACCAAGGCTCATTAAAAGCAAATTTAAGCTAGAAAATATACAAATTAACCAACCATAGTTTTGAAACGCTTTTCTTGCTAACATATTACATCTGCTAGGCTGGAGGCTTGGAATTACCGCATGAGGCATGTGCAGAATTGCAAGGGCCAAGATCTAAACGAAGACCCCTGCAAAGCTACCCAAAAGTCAAGTGGCATGGCAGGAGACATCCTGAACTTCTGGGGAGAAGCAGGTGGCAGGGGGATGTGGAAGCCCCACCTGGGGCTCCCTGCATTTATGTACAGTGTCACAATTAATCCTCAGAGCAGCACTGACAGAGAGTTCATTCTCATTCTATAAGGGAGGAAACTGGGGCTCAGTGTGATTAAGGCACATGATTACAGCAGGTCTTGCAGTAAACACTCCAAACACATGCTCCTTTCCTTCCACCACAATGCATTATTATTCATTCTCTTTTTGTTTCATGTGTGAAAATCTCAGGTCCCCAGGAAACTATGTAATCACAAGGCCCAGACCATGCCTCTGACCTCTCCCACCCTCACCTTACCCCACAGGCAGGGTGGGCAAACCAGTGGCACTCAGGAAAGTGTGCCGAAGTGAATTGCACTGGTTCCTAGTACTGTGTGATTCATGAGGATGTATAGGGAGAGAAAGTGAGGATGATGCTCTATGACTCCTCTTGCTGCTCTGTGGCTACAAATACCTGCCCCCTTGCCCAGCTGCCCCTGCCTATTCCTCAAGAATGTTCAGGGAAGGGTCCCTAAAGAAAGGTACTAGATATTGCACCAGCATTATTATAATTATTATTAAAATCCCCTGGTTTTGCCAGGGCCCCATTGTTACTCAGAAGGAGTCTCTCAACCTAGCCCTGGCTTTTGACCTTCAACTCCCTACATATCCTGGTGCTCTTTGCTTGTGGAAATGAGTTAAATGCTTGAGCTCTTGCATAGGATCATGATCAAACTTTATATTAGGAAGCAGATTTAGCAGTCAGCTCTATTTTCCTTTGTGTGAACTTTCTTATCTTGTCTGCGTCCTCACTGTGACCACTCTAGTCGTGCGTTTGCTATGATGTGGAGAAGAAAATGGATGATGGGAAAGAATCCAGTGGTTTTGCATCTGCCCCAGCAGAGCTAGGGGTAGAACCTGCCATACAATTGTCCCCATGGTTCCAGTGGAGCAGCACAGGGGTCAGTAGGGGTGAGCCCAATTTCAGGAGGTTATGCCTTGCAATTGAAGGAGGATGGGCAGGGGGTCAGGGACTCTAAAATCCTAACAGTCTACAGCAGTGGTTCCCAGACCTTAGTATAAATCACAACCGACTGGGGTGCTTGGTGAAAGTACTGATTTTAGGGGCTTCATTCTGGAAATCCTGCCAATGACAAGAACCTGCGCTGTGTGCTGCTTACTACACCAAGGATGATGCTAAGAGCATTATAGGTACCAACTCACTTGGTCCTCATAACCACCCCCCAGTGAGCAAGCACTCCTCTCTCCATAGCCCATATGAAGAGACTGGAGGATAGGGAGAGGTATGGCATGTCAAAAGGCAGAGCCAGGACTTGAAGAGTCCCTGTTCTTTCCTCTCTTCCCGGGCTGGAGGTTTGTGAAGGGCCTGGGAAGCTGCATCTTCTAAGCTAGTGCAGGCAGTCTAGAGACCACACCTGGAGAGTCTGAGCTCTGAGGCTGGGGATGCTCATCACAGCCCACCTGCCCTGACACACCAGGGAGGTGTCCGTTTAGAAATTTAACCTCCTCTGTAAAATGCCCCAGGGACCCCTATCTCCTTGGGATCATAATCTTCTCAGTGACACAGTAGAGGCTGCAGAGAAGAGTGAGTCCAGGAGGGCCACATTGGTTTAGTCTGATGAGCATTGCCCACACTCAGCACTGTGGGAAGACCACCATCGTCTTTGTCTGCATCAGCAAACTTTGGATGAACCATTGAGTGCCGAATTCCACTGGGCACTGGGGACACAGAAAGGATAAGACTGGGTCCTTGAGTTTATGTGGGGGTATCAGGGGATGCTCAGTAAATGAAACCCACTCAAGTCTTTTGTCTCAGGCAGCAGAAACTCTCGGGCGTGGCCTATGAAGTCTATTCTTTGTCTTTTTACCTTTGTGGTCTCATAGCCTCCGACTCCTTGATTCATGCTTTGTATGTTAGTCCAGGTTTTCTCAAAGGTTGGTCTTTGCATATCATCTTAAAGAGACTTTCTACTATATGAGTATCACCTGCACAATTATTAACTTAATATATTTTAAACTGATTTATGCTTTTTTACTTACAATTAATTCTTTTAAAAGGAAATTTTTGTGTTAGTTACATATTTTTTTCTAATGCACAGAACAATGATTCTCAAGCATAGGATCCAGCCAGGGGTGAAATCCTGTCACTCAAATGTCCCTGTAACCCCAGTGGAATGAAGGGAACAAAGGGAGGGGTCGCCAGAGTGGGATCCCAGTGGAAGGAAATTGTAATTGAAGGAGAGAAGGAGGGGCATCCTGGTACCAGCCAGATTCATCTCAAGTCCATGTTCCATGCTTTTGGAAACACCGCTCAGGCCACTCACCCCAGCCTGTGCTTTCTGAAACAAGCTATGCTATTCTGCTCCTCTGAGTCTTCACACACCCTGTTTGCTCCTCCTGGAGGTCCTTACCATGGCAAGATACTGGGAGAAAAGAATGCATTATTGTCCATTGTACCACCTCTTCCCAACACTTTTCTCCACCTGCCTTTCTCCTGCTCACATACATTTTCTCATTCTGCCTAAAGAATATCCACTCTTCTTTGAGATTTTGCTCCACAGTGGACTCCTGGTGATGCCATACTGGTCACCCCCAGGCAGAGTTCTTCTGCCTGTCCCACTCCCACAGCACTTTGAGCATGTCTGCATGCTCTGTTAGGAAGCAGGGACTGGACAGAGACACTTATGGGCATCTCCGTATCTCCGGTGCCTAGCAGAGTTGATTTTTTTTTAAATGACAATTTTGGAACGGTCATCATATGCCAGAGTTTGTGCTAAGAGCTCCATGTATATTACATCATGCACTCCTGCAGCAACTTTTATCCCCATTTTAAAGGTAAGGAAATCGAGGCCCAGAGAGTTTAAAATTGCCCAACATCATACAGAAAGTACAGAGTAGGGATTCACACCCAGGTCTGTTGGATTTCAGGGCCTCTGCATATTAACACTACACCATTCAACCATGGTCATTGGAGGACAACGTATGCTTGGTGAATAAATAAATGGTACAAATGAATGAATGAATGAGTGAATGAAAGAACACAGAATGGTGTTTTCTGGGGCTGTACATGTCCAGCCTGAGTGACCAGTTGTACGCTGGCCCAGATTTATTAGGTGGGAGGTGATTGTAAAGTGTGTTAAGAATGAAGAATAGCATGCTCTGGTTTTGGAATGCCAAAAAAAAAAAAAAAAAAAAAAAAAGCCCAGAATTTATGGGCCAGTGGAAGTAAGAAAGGAGACAAACATTGAAGATGGCATTTTGCTTCCTGTACCCCAGCTGCCTCCAAAGGATTAACTTCTTGAGAGCAGGGCCTGCTTTGTGTCCTCACTTTATAATCCTGCTCCTGGCAAAAAGTGGGTGCTCAGTGAATGCCCACACAATTCAGTCATCAAATCTGAGCTTATTCCTTTTATTCATTGGTTCATGGTAGGCTTGGTTCAGAGCTTGGTTTCACTGTCTACTTCTGCACAGGGCTTCATCCTGCCAGCACTCAATGGAGAAACGTGGGCCCCGGCACAGTGGGAACGACCCTCTTCTGGGCCTTGGTTCCCTCTACTATAAAATCCAACTTGTTAGACTGGATTCTTGGAAGTCCTTCTTGATGCGACATTTGCCAGCCTAGGTCCAGCCAGGGGTGGGGCTTGCAGACCCAGCTCTCTGAGACACAATTGCAGGTCTTCCTGAAGGGGAGGGGGCCATTACAAACACTGTCCTCACGCCTCCAGCAGGTGACTCCTGGCACAGCTGGGAGAGTGAGCTGCTTCTTCTGCTCAGACAGCAGGCCTAGGAAATTATTCAGGAATAACAAACAGGCCAGAAACATTTGCATAAGGAATCACACAGAACAATGCTTGTTATTTAAACCATCTCTGGTTGGCAACAGAAGCAAAAAGCAGCTGAGATAAATCTGCAATGCAAATCAGCCTTATTTGGAGCGGAGCCTCAGCTTGTTTTGGGGGTGGGGGTGTTGCAAGAGACTGGGAGAACAGAAAGCATCATTGTTTCTATGTACCCCCACTTCCCAACAACACTTTTCTCCGCCTGCCCTTCTCCTGCTCACGTACATTTTCTCATTTCTCAGCTTCCCTCCCTTCTTCAGAGATTAATGGAAACAATTTGTCTTCTAATGTGACTACAGCTTATGAATTCTTTGTCTCACTCTAATCCTTTAAATTATCCACATAATAAAATATGTATCCAGTGATTTCAGGTCATAATTTGATCTTCTAGGGAAAGTGGGGAGGGGGAGGTGAGCTGAAGCGAGCCCTTCTCACAGTTTGTTTCTCTCCATTTGTCTTTATTTGTCATCCGTTTTTTGCTTAATGGTCTTCCCCTTGCCTCCTCTCCTCCTGTGCTCACTGCACTTCCTTAGTGTGCCTGGGGCCTTGGGGTACAGAAGGGTGCCTTGAAGAACCTGGCAGGTAAGAGGCAGCTCCCTACCCAAGGCTGTGTGATGGGACCACTCTCCTGCTCCCCTTTCTGACCTGCTCCACGCGGGATGGTAGCTTCCCTCCTGATTTCACCTCTGCAGGGGCAACCAATTCTGGAGAACTAGGCTGAGGGCTGCTATAACTGCCTGAGGTCCAAAGGGCCTTTAAACCCCCTGGGCTCCTCAGTTTGTGGGTACTAAGGGGGTGATAATTCAACAGTCACTAATCTGTGTGTCACCCCTCATCTGCAAAACACACCCCACCAATCCTCCAAGATTCCCAGTGTTGGCTGTCCTCAAAGCCATTTAGGGGTTGACTTCCCTACTGCCTTTCTGGAAAGAGATGCTCCAGGAGCTGCCAACTCTGGTGGGCCGTGCACGCAGCCCACCGTCCCTAAAGACCACCGCCATGCACACAGCCCTCCCTCCCTAAAGCCCTCCCTGAAGTCCATGTGTAGGATGGGCAAGGCACCACTGGGGGTCACAGTGTACAATATGATTTGTGATCCACACAGGGTGCTGAGCCAAGGCAGGAGAGAGAAGGGCTGAACCCCGTGCTGAACCATGGGTCTTCTGGCCTCCCCTCCTGGAGGGGAAGCCTTATTATAGTTTGCACAACAGCATTTTATAATTCATACAAAAGCTAGCCTTTGCCCTCGTCGCCATTCTGATTACATGCTGTGTCCTGGGCCCCAAAGTCGCCTTGCCTATGTTCCCGTGACTCAGGACATCCTGGTGAAAACTGCTCCTTCAGTGTCCACCCTCGGGCCTCATGCGGAGGGTACAAGACGCACACTTGTCCACCAAACAGGTAGTGACCAGGATGAACACCTGAGACAGAGCAGCTCTGCGCCATCCACCCCACTGTGCAAAGCACTTTCCTCAGCCTCCTCGAGCGACTCCTCTATCTGAACCAACAGCCTGCACTTCACCTCACCATAAACTTAAAACCTCATGTCACAGAGGAAGAATACTGTCCAGCTTTGTGCCCGGAGAAGCCTGTAAAATGAAAGGCCCCATTGATGGGTCCGGGGGCCCAGCTGCACCTGGCGCGTGGGAGAAGCAGCTGAGGGAGGCACGAGGAACTCAGTGTTCTTCAGGGTGGTCTAAAAGGTCTCGGAGCAGAGGGTGACAGGAATGGAGGAGTGGGCTGCAGGGGTCCACTGGTTGACCACAGGCATGTCTGTGGACTGGAGGTGACAACTAGGAAGGGAATGGGTAACAGCTCAGGTATAAGAGGAGGCCAGGACTGAGTCCAGCCCTGACTGTTCTACCCGCAGGTTTGAAGTACAAAACCAGAAAGCAGAGTCTGTGTGTAACTCATTGGAAGGCAAAGCCCGCCCTGAACCGAGGCTATTTATAGTCTTTTATTTATCCCGCTTGGTGTGAATATTCATGCCTCTGTCTGCAGAGGTATCAAGGTGCCTGATTGCAGGGAGTTGCCCAGCAAGGGCTGGGATGGGACATACCACAGGGGATAAGCGTCACATCATTGTTCTAAAATCAAACCCTTCCAAATTCTAAGACACCTTGGGCCCCCCAGGTTCTGGATGAGGAGCTGTGGGCCTGTGACATGTGGATGCACTGTGTGAGGGGTGGCCTTGGGGACAGAAGGGGAGGAAAGAGGGGACTGGACCTGGGAATGAGGAAGAGGACCAGGGACAAAGGGCGGGGGTGGGGGGTGCTCAGTCTTTGTGACTGGAGGGCGGGGCAGGAGCTGTTTTTTACTTTTCCAGGAATGGTGATGAGTCCAGTTAGACATTTTCTATCAGAGACCGTATTAGAAAGGGACCTCGGACTGCCCTCTCTCCCCCGAGAAAACAGGTGTGCATGGCAGAAGAGGTCTGGGCCAGGCCTCTGGAAGATCTGCTGGGGTCATGACTGTTGGGTGACCTGTGGCTCAGGGGGCTAGGTTTGTGACTGCTGTCCCACCCGTCCTGGCTACAGGCCTGTCCTTGGCCTCTCTGGTGTGGTGGGGCCATCCCAAATGCAGGGCTTCGTGGAAAACAGATCAGTGCGTGAGGACAGCAAAGCCCTCCAGATGGTTTGATCCCACGCCCTGAGAAACAGCTGGCAGAGGCAACACAGGTGGGGTATCCAGCAGCCTGGAAAGGAGGAAGGTCCACCTGGAAAGGAGGAATGTTCACCAGGAACCCCCAGAAGAACTCAAAGAGCTAAAAAGGGTGTGCTGTGGAGGACAAGGGAGTGGGGAGGGCGTGGGAGAGAAGGAGCCTCACAGAGCAGGAGGCAGGGTTGCAGTGGCTGACAACTGGACTCTGGCCTTGGGTGCACTCCTGGCTCCCTGCTGACTGGCTGTGTCGTTTCAGACAAGATGCTTGACCCTCTGTGTCTTATCCTCTGAAATGGAGATACTAAGTGTCCTAACCTTATAGGGTTGTCCGTGAGGAGGACAGGAATTAGTATTTGTAAATGCATATAGTGGTGCTGGGAACACATTTTATTCTATCAAAATGAAGAGTCCAGCCATAAAAAGGAATGAGTTCTGCTACATGTTACAACATGGATGAACACTGAAAACATTATCCTAAGGGAAATAAGCCAGAGACAAAACAACAAATATGATTCCATTTATGAAATACCTAGGGCAGCAAATTCACAGAGACAGAAAGTAAATTCTATGAATAGGTTACCAAGGAGCTGGGGGGAGGGAGGAACGGGGAGTTATGGGTTAATGGAGACAGAGTTTCTGTTTCAGGTGAAAAGTTTTGGCATAGATAGTGATGATGGTTCTACAGTATAGTGAATGTGATTAATGCCACTGAATTGTGTACTTCAAAATGTTAAAATGACAAATTTTATGTTATATATATTTTAACACAATTTGGAAAAATTGAGAATGTAATATACCAAAACCCATTGAATTATATGCTTTAAGTGGATAAATTATATTGCAATACACTGTTTAAAAAAAGAAAAGGAAGAGAGGAGAAAAAGGGCCTGGTGAGGAGGGTTAGAGAGCCTTCCCCTGCGCACCTGTCTTCCTTCACACCTGAGACCACTATTGTTCCAGCTTTTATGGGTTTACAGCCTGGAAAGTGGCCTTGCCCTTTGTCCTCACGCAACCCATGTGAGGTGGGCATTGAAATATCGTTATTCGCGCTTTCAGGTGAGAAACTAAGGCCCTGAAAGGTTGAGTGACTTTCTCAGGTGGTGATTTTGGCTTTTTCACTCTCTGGGGTCTTTCCAGTGACCCACAGCTCTCAAACGTGAGCACCTGCGAGATTCACTCTGCACTTGTTTGGAAAATCAGTGTCTGATCCTCTCCTCGGGACTGCTCTGAGCGGATGGGGCCCAGGACCTGTAGCTCAGTGGGTCACACGTTGGAAAACAAGGCTTCAAGGAATGCTCTTTTCAGAACTAGGATGAAATTCTTCACAACGGGCCCTCTGCCTCCCCATCCTACACAGCCTGCCACCCCTGAACATTTTCCAGCTACAGTGCACTGCGAGGCAGGGGCAGGGACTCTGCAGAGAGGCTGGAAAGTGCCCAGACGCCAAGTCAAATGGCTGGGATACTCCAGTCCCTGGTCCCCTCACGGTGAGCTCCGCAGGAGGCTGTTCCTTTCTCTACCTCCCCTGAGGGACAGGCAGTACCTTGCTGTCGGGATGCAAAAGTTTTAAAAAAGTTTTCCCCAAAGAATATTCTAGAGTTGCATTGGATCTTAGGATCTTAGAGAATATCCAAACATCCAGTCCTTTACAGGAAGAGAAACTGAGGCAAAGCAAGGGAAAGCGGCTCCAGACCTGACTTCCAGGTGCCTTCTAAATTTGATATCACTGCTTCCCACCAGCCAGCCCCCATCACTGCCTCCCCCTCCTCATTCCAGGCCAGAAAAATTCTCCTTCCTGAGGACTCACACTTTTTAAATATTTGGAGACTGTTGTCATGTCACCCTGTGGCTGTTGCTTAGCCCAGCAATCCAGCAATGGATAGGTGGGCGGTCCTCAGGGGAGCCGGCCACAGGGAAGGGCCTCTTGCCACCTAGACATGGACCTGGAGCTGCCCCTCCACTCTGAGCCTGGATGCTGAGCATGGGGCCACCCAGGGGTTCCCGAAGCCCCTTCACACAGCTGAGGAAGTTGGAGGAATGTGGTCGATGGATCTAGGCTACAGGCAATGGAGTCCAGCTCTTGTGTGATCTTGGGCCTCAGTTTCCCCATCTGTACTCCAGGATAACAATCTCCATCTTAAAGGTAGGTCAGAGCTAGGACCTCCACAGTTACCCTGACCTTGTGTACATGTAGTATATTCTGATCCCCAAAGTGGGATGAGTGTGACAAAGCAATTTAGGGGGACAATGAGGGGAGATCATTTGAAATTGAATTTTTCTTGAAAAGTCCATCATGTACAGTTTGGTTGTTGTGCCCCTTGGTGAAAAAGGTATTTAATTATAATTATTAACCAACAAAAGTAATTTTCACTTATTCAGCATGTTATAGTTTAGTTCATATATTTTCTTTTAATTCCTACATGTATTAAGGCAAATATTATTATTATTACTGTTATTATTCTTGAGATTCTCATTTTACAGATGAGAAAATTGAGCTCAGAAAGGTTAATTGACTACCAAGGGAATCTAGTGGGAAGTACTAGGACTAAATATCCAAGTCTTATCTTTAAGACAAGTTAAAGCTTTCCTCAAATTATTCTATCTTAAAACAAGGAAGATGTTACTTTCTTTCCTACCAAACCCATTGCCTTGTGAAGATTTTATGCTTTCCAAAATCAGAATTAGCATGAGAAATAAATTATAGTATACTCATATGATGGTGTAATATATAATAGTACAAATCAATACCCTAAAGCTACATATATCAACATGGATGAGATGGAGGGAACATATGTTGAGTGAGAGAAGTGAGTTACAGAAGAATATACAAACAGTATGTTATCATTTTATGTTTAAAAGAGGTGAATCAGTGCCATATTTTAAAAATAATAGTATGTGGGCCGGGTGCAGTGGCTCATGCCTGTAATCCTAGCACTTTGGGAGGCTGGGACAGGCAGATTGCTTGAGCCCAGGAGTTTGAGGCCAGCCTGGGCAACATAGTGAGTCCCCATCTCTACAAAAAATAGGAAAAGTAGCCAGGCATAGTGGTGCATGCCTGTAGTCCCGGCTACTCAGGAGGCTGAGGCAAGATGATTGCATGAGCTGGGGAGATGGAGGTTGCAGTGAGATGTGATGGGGCCACTGCACTCCAGCCTATGCGACAGAGTGAGACCCTGTCTCTACAATTAAAAGAAGAAGAACAGTATGTGCTTACCATACAACCCAGCAATTGCAGTCTTGACCATTCACACCAGAGGAATGAAAACTTATGTTTACACAAAACCTCTACACAGAGGTTCCTGGTAGCTTTATTTGTAATAGACCCAAACTGGAAACAACTCAAGTGTCCTTCAAAAGGTGAATGCTTAAATAAACTGTAGGCATCCATACAGTGGAATAACAGAATACAGCAATATAAAAAGAACAAACCGTTGATACATGCAACAAGTTAGGTGGACCTCAAGACTATTATGCAAAGTGAAAAAAGCCAGTCTCAAAAGATTATATACTGTATGGTTCCATTTTTATGACTTGGAGTGGCAAAATTACAGAAATGGAGAACAGGTTAGTAGTTGCTCAGGGCTGGGGAGCAGCCCTTTTACTGTTTGTAAAAGGGATCCTTGTGACAACTGTTCTATACCTTGGCTGTGGTGGTGGTCACACGAATCTACATGAGATAAAATTGTGTAGAACAAAATATGGACATGTAAGAACTGGTGAAATCTGAATAAGCTCAGTGGGTGGTATCAAGACAATTTTCTAGTTGTGATATTGTGCTATAGTTTTGTAAGATCCTACCGTTTCATGAAACTGGGTGAAAGGTATATGGGCTCTCTATATTTTTCTTACATCTGCATGTGAATATGTAATATCTCAAGATAAAAAGTTTTAAAAAAATAGTGTGAAGGGTAGACACATGAGGCCTGGCCCAGTGGTTCACATCTGTAATCCCAGCACTTTCGGAGGCTGAGGCAGGAAGATCACTTGAGCCCAGGAGTTTGAGATCAGCCTGGGCAACATCGACCATATCTCTACAAAAATAAAAAATTAGCTGGGCATGTGTTACATGCCTGTAGTCCCAGCTATTTGAGAGGCTGAGGTGGGAGGATAGCTTGAGCTCAGGAGTTGGAGGCTGCAGTGAGCCATGATGGTGCCACTGCACTCCAGCCTGAGCAACAGAGTGACACCGTGTCTCTAAACACACCCCCTCAACACACACACACACTTACAAGTGGGGTAGAAGAAAAGAAAATGGAATTGGCTTACATTGTTAGTTTTCAACACATTTGGTAATATTTCATTTTTTAAGTTGGGTGGTAGATACACAGTTGTTCATTATATTATATGTTCTTTCTTTTGGTATGACTGAATTATTCCATAATTAAAATAATGATAATAACCATACAATTAAAAAAAAAACCCACAACTCTATTTTAGGAAAGAGAACTGAAGCAGAGCAAAGAGGTTTCAAATCTGTTTGTGAGTTTGTTTTATCTTATGTCTTGTGTAAGGACCTTTTTGAGTGAAAAGCTGCCAGTTTTTTTGCTGTTTGGCTGACATTATTTGAAGCAGCCCAGGAACTCAGTAAAATTAAAAAGGTGGATCCGTATGTGCCAGCCCTGTCACCAGTTGGCATAATTGGAGCCACTGGATGAAGCTCTGTGGAACAGGTGATGTGATTTTAAGCAGCATAAATCAGGGACTGCCGTATACTGTCTGACCAGCTTCTCAGAGGGCTCTGGGAGCCTCCCTCAGTCTCCCCAGCTGAAGCAGGGAAGAGAAAGCAGGCAGGGAAGGGTTAGGAGGGGAGGAGGGGCTGGAGGGCAGGACCGCGTTCAGCTGGGGATTGTTGGCAATCAGTGAGGACCAGCTGAGCAAAGCCTGGGAGGTGATGGAGTGTTTCCCGGGAGCCCGAGGATTGGAGCAGCAAGGTTTTGTTTGGAAATTACAAGGATTTGGTGTCTGTCAAGTGTCATTAGTGCATTGGGAGCTGGAGCGGCCTTGAGAACTAGGCTGTGTCCTGCCTTGCAGGCTCATCCAATAGAATGACTTGGGGATTGAGATTCAACAACACTTAAATCAAAATAGCAACAGCAGCCTCCCCATCTTTTTTTGCTCAGGCTTTGCTGAGAGTAAAGAACCTGTGATCCCTTAACATCCTTTTTCTACCTGATGGCCACTTTTTAGCCCGCCCAGACCCCCAAGCACCCATGCTGGAGAGCCCAGACCCAGGGCCAGGGGCAGAAATCAAGCCACTGGTCCTAAAAAATGATGACACCAAAGATTTAGGTAAACTTTGTCACAGAGGAAAGGCAGCAGACGGTCCTCAGTTTTGTCCACACTGCCTTCCTAGCTGGCTACACCACTTAGGCTCCCTGTCATTGGGGTAACTTCAAGGGGGAAAGAACAAGTGAAAAGATAGGAAAGTCAGCTGAGAGTCAAAGTCATAAGGGATACCCTGGAGTAGTTTGTGTCTGTCCCAAATAAGGCGCAGACTCTCAGCAGGCCTCTCACATATGGTGGTGCAGGATGCGCATTGCCCAAACCCAGGAGGAAACAATGTTTTCTGGAGTTGGGCAGTGCATGGTTGTATATGGGCAGGTTTGAGAGGGGTCTCAATGCAGTAATATACAGTTAACGTCTGTTAAGCAGCCATTCTGCATCAGGCACTATGAGAAGGATTTGTAGGCAATTTGATCCTTACAGCAATTTGATAAGTAGGAATTTTTTTCCCCACCGTAAGATACACCAGGAAAGATACCAAGTCTTCAGTTCTCATATAAAGGGAGCTTGCTTTCCATCAACTTCAAGTGCAAGTTTCTGACAGTTTTAAAAGTGTGCGTTCTGCTTGTTTTAGGTGATGTCTCTGTAGGTATTCATGTGCACACATGTATGAGAGGGAAAGGTGGAACAAGCCACAGGCTGAGTCTGGATTTGTACTGGGTTTTGTCTCAGAGAACCCCAGGTCCTCACTCTTTCCAAGCCTATGATTCCTTATCTGTCCATCTTTCTCTAGACCTGAGTTTCTTTCCTGTTTCTTTCTTTGTCCAAATAGAACTGTGAAGCCAGTGAGCTCACGTACAATGATGATGGCTGTGTTTCTTGAAATCAGGGTGAGAAGCCCACAGCACATGGTGTCATGTTGGCAGTTTTCCTGCATGCTCATCCACACCCAGGGAAGAGAAACTTCTCCGCTGCTCCAGCTTTGTCCTCTCTCTGGCTGAGCCGATGGGAGCTAACCTCCTGGGGGCCGTGGGGCTGTGTGTGCTGGCTCAGGCTCTCTGACTGCCTGCGCCATGGCTGGGTTTCCTGGGACAGCTAGCCTCCTGGAGGAAGGCATCAGGAATCCCATTTTATAGCTAAGGTGGCAAAGGCTCAGTGAAGTTAAACAGTTTGCCCGAGAATATCTAACTAGTACATGCCAGAGATTGGACCAAATCTGGATTTGACCCAGTTCAAACCCTTTATTGCTTGCCTGCTGGCGGCTCTAACTCCAAGTTGGAAAGACAGAGGAGCCGGCCCTTCACTCTGAGAGCCCCCAGTCCCTGGAGCCACCATCTTAGTACCTGAGACCCCTCCTCCTCAGAGCCACTACCTGCCTCCACCTGCCTCCAAAGCCAGGCCCTCGTTTACAGCACTTGCGGGAGGGGCTGAGTGCGATATACACAGTTAACATCTGCTAAGCAGCTATTTTGTGTCAGGCAGTGTGTGAAGGGTTTTAAGAATGTTCTTTAATCCTCATAGCAATTCTTCAGGTAGGGATTTTGCTCACTGAGTAGATGTAGCAAGGAAGATGCCCAGGGTTTGCTTCCCATGTGAAGAGCCCAGCAGGACTCTCGCTGCCTTGGCATGTCTGACCACTCTTCAGATGGTGGGGGAACGGTGGGGATGCTGCAGCTTAAGACAGTCACAGATCCTTAGAGATCTACCACTCACCAGCAGCCACCTCCTAAAATTCCACTGTCCTGGAACATCATAAAAGCCCATGAGAAACCTAGAATAGTCTTGAACCAGAGTGTCCCTGCACTAGCTAGAGGTTCCATTCACTGGGGGAACCCAGAAGCAGAGAGGTTCCCTTCTGTAGAGCAGGCCCCTAGACCACCACCTTATTCTCAAGCTCCTCTTCTGGATTGAGGGACCCCAAGTGCTATCCTCTGAGGCAGCTATATGCAAAGCAGGAAATGATGATGGGTCAGGGAGCCTTGGAAAACAGGTCACAGCTAAATTCCTAGCAAAAGGCAGGTATGCAGCGTTGTTGTCTCCAGGTTGGCCCATCTCAGACCTGTCTGATGTCCCTCTGTAAACCTCCACGGTTTATTCTCCAGGCCAGCAGGGCTGCCTTTCAGGGTTCTTGAGGAGTCTAAGGTACTTTCTGCCTACCCTCTGGGAAAATCCTGTATTTCAGCCCCAAATGCCTGCTTTCTGTTTCCTAGATGCTCCCACCCCTCAAGTTCCAGCAGTAGCTCTTCCAAGGGGGCACTTTTGTTCCCACAAAAATAACACCCATTCTCTTACTTCTCCTCAGTCACATTGACTTCAGCCTAGTTCATTCCCTCATGGCTCCACTACCCCTTCCAATGCCTCATCTTGGATTTCAGACATGGCAGGATATCTGTTTCCATCATTTTGTTTTCAGTGGGTTAATTTCTGCCTCATGATGCATCAGTGTTTCCCAAATCTTCAGGACAGCAGCCTCTTCATGGTCACGGGCAATTCTTTTAAAGAATTCGGGCTGGGTACAGTGGCTCATGCCTGTAATCCCAATACTTTAGGAGGCCAAGACAGGAGGATCACTTGAGGCCAGGGTTTGAGATCAGCCAGGGCAACATCGTGAGACCCTGTCTCTACAAAATATTTAAAAATTAGCCAGGGGTGGTGGCATGTGCCTGTGGAAGCTGATGTGGGAGGATCACTGGAGTCCAGGAGTTGGAGGCTACAGTGAGGCATGATGATGCCACTACACTCCAACCTGGGTGAAAGGGTGAGATCCTAAAATAAATAGTTGAAACACATTCAGGTGTAGAACCTCTGACTTCCCTCTGTGAGCTGGGGAGGGATGGGGAGGAAAGAAAAAGGGAAGATTTCTATTTCACAGCATTGCTTGCCAAAGCATTAGTCAGTTATTTGACCCCAGATAACATGATAATTAATAATGTAATAAGGTGCAATTTATAGGCACTCATGCCTGAAGGTCTTGGGTCCCAAGGTCCTTGGTAAAAAGCAAAATTAAAAGCATTTATAATCTCAAAGAAGACAGCACTACCAGAGTTCATGAGACTGAAGATAACTGAGGCTGCTGTGCTCCACACTCAGTGGACAGTAGTTCAGGCTCTCAGCTCTGAAGAGAATCCCCACACCCCCATATTTCCACTCAGCAGGGTGGGAAGTTGGCCACATGCATTTGACTGTAGCATCCCCCCAACAGACCTCCTAAAAAAAAGCCTTTATTTTTATCCACTCTTTATCTCTGCTATTGAAAGATGGGGAAGACATACACAGGCATAAGGTGAAATCCTGGATCTCTATTTAATGGCTACTGACCTTGAGTGTCTTTCTACACCTCAGTTTCCACTTGAGAGGATTGTTGTATGGGAGAATGAGAACAGCCACAAAGCCCTTTTGAGTTTACAAAGTGCATTTTGGCATGCATTATCTCCTATCATTCTTTAACAACTCTCCAAAGTTTTGGAGCATAGACTACCTACCCAATATCTATTCTCATCTACTTTGTTTCTAAGACTCCCCATTTTATTCCAGGTGGCAATGTGCAAAACTAAAACATTTCCCAACCTTCCTCACAGAGAGAAATGGTCATTGTAATGTAAGCGAGAGTTGTTGAGGTTGAAAGGAAGTCCTAGGAAAATTCTTCAAGGAGGCTGACTCACCTAAGAGTATGCCCTTTTCCCCCATCCCTTCTTCCTTCTAATTCCTGTCTAGAATTCAGACATGGTGGTTGGTGCTGTGGCAGCCGTCTTGGATTATGAGGTGTACTTGAAGTTGAAAGCCATGTGTCAAGGACGGTAAAACAGAAAACAAGAAAGATCCTGGAGTCTCCAAATGACTGTGGAGCTGTCGTAGCAGCTTGGAACAATCTGTCAATTTTTTTTTTACATGAGAAGATAATAAACCTCTGTCTTGTTTAAGCTAATGCAGTATATCTTATACTGATATGTATGATTATTCTGTTTTTCGAGTGGAGAAATTGTGGCTCAACACAGTTAAGCAACTTGCGCAAACCCATTTCTTTAGTAAAAGAAGAGGTTGCAGTCACATTCCTGAGAGAGAGCACTGTCTTTCCACATTCCCAATTCTTCTTCGGTTTGCAAAGATCCGTAAACATTAAGAATCAGGTGACGTTCTTCTTCTGCCTGAAGATCAAAGCAGCTTGCTGCCTTTTGGCACCAGGAGCTCTTTTCTCCCAAGGGCTCTTTCATCTCTCTGGCTTCCCTTTTTATTCCTCCCTTCTCTCCACCCTTGCCTCTTCTGCCATTCAGTGCTTCCCACAACCATTTTACCTACTGGTGCGACATACTGTGGCAACCCTAAGCCCCAGGTCAGGCATGGGAAGTGGAGGACAGGTTACTGCCCCTGCTTTTGCATGTCCCTGGTAGAACCAAGACAGAGCCATTCCAGCCCTGGAGCTGCCTCCTCTTGGGTTCCCTAGCTCTGGCTTCTGAGTGTTGCCAGGCAATGGAGGGCCTGTTCCATGCTGTCCTTCCAGCCCTCAATCAGCCTTCTTCCACCCACTTGAATGACTAAGAAGTGGGCAGGTATGTTGTGCTGTGAACTTCTTGGAAGTCTGTGAGAGGTTGGCAGTGAGATGATAGATTCAGCCTGTCCCAGGTGGGTGAGCTGCAGTAAATCAGCTGCACCTAATCCTGGACCTTTGTGCCAGACAGAGGAGCCGGCTTTCCATGTCCCAGGAGGATACACAATTTAAGAAGGAAACACAAATCTCTATAGTGAATATGAAGCTTTAGAATGGACCTGTGTCTTTTGCCATCCTCTGATCCATCCAGTGCCTAAAAAACTGAGTGTTGATTTCTGGTTTGGCAGGATGGATTCAAGAATGCTGAGCTAGACAGAGATGACATGAGAGAGCCCCTGAGAGCAGAGCTGGCAGTCCACAACATGTGAGGGAGCAATCGCAGTCCTGGGCCTGGTTGGAGTTCTAATAGCCATGTGGACCTGGATGGAGTGGTGATGTCCTCAAAAACTAGAGACTCGAAACATAATACAGACTTTTTTTGGTCTTATATGCAAATTATTATAAAGGGTGAAAAGAGGTCCATACTGAGTTTTTCAATCCTTCCTCAATCCGAATGCAGAAGAGCCAGGGAAAATGCTTCTCTTTTCCACTGATCAACCAGTTGATTGAAGCAAATAATGATAATAGCCAATACTTACATACTGTTTACTATGCCATGCTCTGAGTTAAGTTGTCACATATAATAACTCAATCCTTACCATAACTATCTGCTATAGGTACTATTATTGTGCTCATTTCATGAAGGAGAATGCTGAGAAACAGAGCACGTTGGTAACTTGCCCAAGGTCACAGAGCTGGAGAGTGGTGGGGTCCCAAACTTAGGCAGCCTGGCTCCAGAGTTTGTGCTCTTAGCCATTACAGGCACTGCTTCTCAAAGGATGCTGGACCTGGGGCTCACTAGAAAAGCATGGAGACAGGATTATTTTGGTTCTATTTCTAGCTCTGCCATTTACTAGGATTGGTTTATCATCAAGATAATTAGGACATAAATATCTATTTCCTGTGAGGGAAGTATGTAAAATGCATGGATCCTCCCACTGCATGATAATCAAGTACTTTCGCATATGGTCTCTTTTCTCCAAACATATCTCATTGCCCATTCAATATGTTCCTCTGGGCATCACAACCCTTAGTGAGAGAGCAAGTCTGGGTACAATTATCCACATTTTATGTAGGAGAAAATTGATGCCTAGCAATGTTTCCTGGACTCCTTCCAGGACGTCCCACTAGCTCTCTTTCTTGTCTTTTAGCTATCTTCAAAAATTTTTATCTATTTTCAATGGACAAATAAAATTGCACATATTTATTAGGTACAACATGATGTTTTGAAATATATATGCACTATGGAATGGTTAAATCGAGCTAATTTTTTTTTTTTTTTTTTTGAGACAGAGTCTCGCTCTGTCGCCAGGCTGGGGTGCAGTGGCACCATCTCGGTTCACTGCAACTTCTGCCTCCTGGGTTCAAAAGATTCTCCTGCCTCAGCCTCCTGAATAGCTGGGACTACAGGCTCGCACCACCATGCCCAGCTAATTTTTGTATTTTTAGTAGAGACGGGGTTTCACCATGTTGGCCAGGATGGTCTCCATCTCTTGACCTCGTGATCCGCCTGCCTCGGCCTCCCAAAGTACTGGGATTACAGGCATGAGCCACCGCATCCAGCCAAATCGAGCTAATTAACATATGCATTACCTCACATACTTATCACTTTTTGTGGTAAGAACACTTAAAATCTATTCTCTTAGCTATTTTAAAGAATGCAATAGATGGAGTGCAGTGGCTCACGTCTGTAATCCCAGCACTCTGGGAGGCCAAGGAGGGCAAACTGCTTGAGCCCAGGAGATCAAGACCAGCCTGGGCAACATGGTGAAACCCCATCTCTACAAAAAATATAAAAATTAGCCAGGTGTGGTGGCACACACCCGTAGTCCCAGCTACTCAGGAGGCTGAGGTGGGAGGATCCCTTGAACCTAGGAAGTCAAGGCTGCAGTGAGCCAAGATCACAAAACTGCACTCCAGCCTGGGTGACAAAGTGAAACCTAGTTTCCAAAAAAAAAAAACAAAAAAAAAATGCATTAACTATTGTTGCTATGTTTTATGATAGCTCTCTTGAACTTATTCCTCCTACCTAACTAAAATTTTGTGTCCTTTCACCAACATCTCCTACTCCAGATCCCACAACTCCCCCTCATCCCCCACAGCTCCTGGTAATCATCATTTCAAAACTCTCTATTTTTAGGAGTTCACTTGTTTTATATTCCACATATAAGTGAGATCATGTGGTATAAATGTTGTCTTTTAAATGATTCAAACAGTACAGAGGGATACAGAGTGGCGTTCCCACATTTTTCTTTGGTATCCACCACTATTAGTATTTTTGTATTGTTCTTTCAGTACTTTCGGTAAGTGTAGTGCATATGCACTTACAACGTTTAAAGAGCATGCATGTGATTGTTTTGTATTCGTTGTCTGCCTTGTGTGCCTCACAATGTTACTCTCTAGAGGTCTGCTCCATTTTTTTAATGGTGTCATGATATTCCATAGTATACATATGTCAGTATTTGTTTATTCCCTCTGCTATTATTGGGCATTTAGGTTAGTTCCATTTTTTGTGATTATAGTTAATGCTGCAATGATTGCCCTTATTCATATGTTTCAGTGCACACATGCAACAATTTTCATAGAATGGGTTTCTAGAAATATAATTATGGGCCTGATAGTATGGTTATTTAAAAATTTTAAGTACTACCAGCTGGGCGCATTGCCCCGCACCTGTAATCTCAGCACTGAGGCGGGCTGATTGCTTGAGCCCAGGAGTTCAAGACCAGCCCGGGCAACATGGTGAAACCCCATCTCTACAAAAAATACAAAAAGTGGCTGGGCATGGTGGTGTGCACCTGTAGTCCCAGCTACTCAGGAGGCTGGGGTGGGAGGATCACTTGAGCCTGGGAGATTGAGGCTGCAGTGAGGCATGTTCATACCACTACACTCCAGCCTGGGTGGCAGAGTGAGACCCTGCCTCAAAAAAAAAAAAAAAAAAAAAAAAAAAGAGAAGTAGTACCAAATTGTAATCTTGTAATCTGATATATTTTGGATATTTGTTCCTGCCCGAATTTCATGTTGAATTGTAATTGTAATCCCCAATGCTGGAGATGGGGCCTGGTGGGAGGTGTTTGGGTCAGATGGGGACCCAAACATGGGGACAGATCCTTTATGGCTTGGTGCTGTCTTTGAATAGTGAGTGAGTTCTTGTGAGATCTCGTCATTTAAAAGTGTGTGGCACCTCCTCCCCCACTCACCTGTTCCTGTTCTCTCCATGTGAAGTGCCTGCTCACCCTTTGCCTTCTGCCATAGTAAAAGCTCCCTGAGGCCTTCCCAGAAGCAGAGCAAATGTTGGTACATGCTTCCTGTGCAGCCTGAGGAACCATGAACCAGTTCAAACTCTTTTCTTTATAAACCTCTTTTCTTTATAAATTTTGCAGTCTCAGGTGTTTCTTTATAGGAGTGCAAGATGGCCTGACACATAATCTGAACCAGTTTTGCCAAATGACATGTCCACCAGCAGCATCCAAGAGGAGCCATTCCCCAACTAGCTTGCCAATGCTATGTATTTCCAATTTTCTAAATTTTTACTTTTCTAGTGAATAAAAAATGACACCCTATTCGTGGTTTAAATAGAATTTCCCTGATTACAAGGTTGGGCATTTAAAATATTTATTAGCCATTTGTATTTCTTCTTCTATAAAATTTCATTTATATTCTTTGCTTCTTCTCCACTGGGTTTTGGCTTTTCTCTATTGATGTACAGTAGCTTTCTATATTCTAGATATTGACTTTGTTTCTGTTGCATATTTAGCAAGAGTTTTCCCACTGGTTTTTCTCTCCTGTCTTTTAAGTTTGTTTGTGGTATCCTTTAATGTATAGAAATTTTAAATTTCTAAGTAAGTATAGCCTCTCATTATTTTTCAAATTATGGAAGGTTCCAAACTAATAGACAAATATAAAGAATACCATAAAATCTGTATACTCACAACCAGCTTTATAGAATTTTAACATCTTGCTTCATTTGAACACCCCCACTATCTTATAATTTTTCATTTGGACTTTTAATTTTACCTTTTAAAAAACAAACACAAATATTTATCTTTTTACAGTAAATTGCAATTGCATTTACTGCCATGTTTTGTAAATTTCTGTGTTCATCATTGCTTCTTGTGATCTTCTCTCTGGCTTTATTTTATTTCTAAATAAAATACACTCTTGCTAGTGCTTTTAGTGAGGGTCTGTGGATGTTAAATTTTTTTAGCATTTTTATATCAGAAAATGTTTTTATTTTGTCCTCATTCTTAAATAATAGCTGTGGCAGTGACTGCTAGTTATCCACTCCGTGTCCTTATTCTCCTTCTTCCTTAGAAACAGAATTGGAATGCTGGTTTTATTTGGGCACGGTCATGTGCTCAGCAGAAAGACTACATTTCCCAGACTCTCTCGTAGCTGTGAGTGGCCAATGAGATGTAAGAAGAAAACACTGAGTGCAGGGAGCCTTCTTAAAAGGGGCTGACTTCGCTAAGAGGGTCACACTTTTGCCCTCATCTTTCTTTCCTTGAACATAGAAGCCTACACGAGACAGTGAAGAAAGAAGCTACTAGCTAAGGGAGACAGAGTGGAAGCAAGGAGAGGGGACCCTTCAGGCTCTGTGATGCCCCATACCACTCCTAGGCTGCCACTTCCACACCCTTTTGATGGGAGAGAATTAATCCTTTATTTAATTTGTTTTAGCTTCTGTTATTAAGTCTTTGCTGCTAATAGCAAAACTCAATCTAGGTTAATGTTTGTTTTCTTTTCACATTTTGAGGGGATATTCTATTGTCCTTTGTCATCTGTTATTGTGGACAAGAGGTCTGCTGTTAGTATAATTGTTCTATCTTGGTGTTTCGGTAAAGATTTTCCCATGATCCTCGTTATTCTTTAATATGTCTGTGAGTGGATTTATTTTTCTTTAACTTGCTAGATAGTTAGCATACACTTTCCATTTAAAGACATGTCTTTACCCAATTTTGGAAAAGTTTCAGCAATTTTCTCTTCAAATATTGATTTTCTGCCATTGCTTTCATTCTCTCTTTTCCTGGAATTAGATGAATGTTAAAATTTCTCTCTCTATTGTTCCTTCTTGTCTCTTAACTGCATTCCAAATATATATGTATGTATATACATATACACATACACATATATTGCTATATATAAACACACAAACATGCAGCTATACATAGTATATATATGTGTTTATGTATGTGTGTATATACATATCTCTATCTACACATACACACACACACACACACACACACACACACACAGGATTCTAGGTGAATTCCTTGGTTTCATCTTCTAGATATGAAATCTTTAACAGTGTTCAATTTCAAGTTTTTATCAAGTATTGAATTTTTAAAATTTAATAATTTTTGTTAATTCCTAGGATTTCTAGTGGGTTTTTCTTTCTTATCTCACTGTTTGCATTTTATTGCTGCAAGATTTAATAATTCCTTATTCTTTTCAGTTTGGAAGTTATGCCTTCATTTTTCTCTAAGAACATACTAAAGATACTGTACCTTAAAGTCTGTCCAGGCCAGATACACTGTTTCTTACCTGTAATCCCAGTGCTTTGAGAGGCTGAGGTGGGAGAATTACTTGAGGCTGGGAGTTCAAGAGTAGCAACATAGTGAGACCCTGTCTCTGCAAAAAACAAAAAAATAAAAAAATTAGTCTGATGTGGTGGCATGTGCCTGTAGTCCTAGCTACTTGAGAGGCTGAGGTGGGAGGATCACTTGAACTCAGGAGTTTGATATTACAGTGAGCTATGATTATCCCACTGCACTCCAGCCTGGGTGACAGAGCAAGACCCTGTCTCTAAAAATCAAAAATAAAAATTAAAAAGTCTGTCCAACTGTTGTACAAACTTGTTTTCACCTAGAGCGAATTTATATTCAACTGCTTTGCTGACTGTCTGAATTAGCTCTTAATTTCTGCATGTATATTGGAATTCCAGTTTGGAGGCTCATTTTGAGGGAAGTTTTTGTTTGTTTATTTCTCTCTCCTCTCTATCTAGCTGTCTTGTGTTTACCTTGGCCTGACTAGAGTTTCCAGAGAAAATACAAGATGTCTATTAAATTTAAACTTCAATCAAACAACAAATAATTTTAAATATAAGTATGTCTCAAATATTGAATGAAATGCACTTGTACTATGCAATTATTTGAATTTAAAAGGATAGTCTGCAATTTTATTTGCAAAACGTGGCAACCTTATATCTGATGCTCTGTAATCCTATCTAAAACCAGATCTTATGGGGATTTGGGTTATTACTCCATGATGATATCTAGGTTATCAACAAAAGCAAAACAAAGCAATACAAAAGACAAAGCAAAAGCTGCCTTTTCAGGGCAATAGAGAAGGTTCTTGCTACCTGATATTCTCTCTTCTGGGACAGGACCTTCCCTACTTCTTGCAAAATGTGAAAGGCCATTATTGGAGGCTCAGCTCTTCAGCTCTCCCTGCTGCCTCAGAACAGCTCTTTCCCTCTGAATATCAGCACGCACCTCATTTGTAAGTCTACTCAGTAGAGCACTAAATTTGTCTTGCATACAGGTCAAGACCATTAAATGTTATGGAACCATGATTTACAAAAGAAAGGAAAGAGGTAGTTCCTGTCCCCAAAGAGCTTATAATCTAGTTTGAAGCCAGAACAAATGCAGGAAGAAAGATGGAAGGAAATTTACAAGACAAGCAAGAGTCAGTGCCAACTAATTAGGCTAAGGCTGATATGGAGGTAAGTAGTTAATTGAGATGGTGTCCCAGAAAAGGGAGATACTCTTTATTGAGTATCTACTACGAGCCACCTAGATGATCTCACTTAATTCTCATTACAGTTTTATGAGGCAGGATTTATCATCCTGATTTTATAGAGAAGGAAATTGAGGCTCAGAATGATTAAATGTCTTGCCCTATGTAATGTGATTAATAAATAGGTCTTCTAACACCACACTATTTTGACAAATTTGTGGATTAATGCTGGCGGGTTATCATTGAAAAATGTTGGGAAAGGAAGTCAAGAAATAGTGGTCTCGTTTTAAGACCTTAAAATGCAAAGTTAGAAAACACCACAGCAATCATTCTAAAAGGACTATCCTGCAACATTTTCCATAATCTTTTCCGGTACTTTTCTAGAAACAGAACTTGGATAGATCAAAATGTATTGACCAAGGTATTGACCAAAAGGAAGGACTTCAGAACTATGGCTATTGATATTTGTGTTAGTCTGTTTAGATGTCTATCTCCTTTGCATTCCAGACTAATCCTGCATTGGGGTGGGGGTGGGTATACTAATTGAAATCACGGCACTAAATGCAGTTATGAAATAAACTGTGGCTGGGCTTTGATGAATTCCCCTGGGAAGTGAGTCATTGTGCCCCAAGAGAGAGTTGGGTGCTATAAAATTTTATATCCCCAAGTTGGGAATGACTATGTTTTCTCAGAGTAGCAGAGATGCCAGTAACTTATTTCTGTCTTCTCAAATATGCGGCAATGACGTTTATGGCATCACATGCCATCAACCTGTACTCAGGCAGAGCTCTGCCTTGACACCTTCTCAACCTTCTCCACAGAATCTGGGGGACATAGTCAGGGGCAGTATTTGCCATGAGTCGAGCTTGCAGACTGTCTGCAAGTAAGATGGAAATGTCACTGTGCTGCCAGTGTAGAAAATGGCAATATTTATGGGAGGTTACTCTGAGCACTGAATTGGGGGAAATGATTAATTGCACTGGAAACAAGTTGGGAATCCTAACGACTGAGTTAGCGGGCCTAAACTAAAAATATAGGAGAAATTGGAGAGGAGGGAAATGTGTCCCTCCCTCCAAACATCCTTGAGAAAAGCAATAGAGAGAATTGAGCCAGGAGAGGGCAGACTTTAAGTTATCCACACTACTGTTCCCAGGGTGGTAAGTATGATGGGCAATAGGGCTGAATCTAATCATCATCTTCATAACATAACCTCATGTTTGTGTTTGCATTATAATTTTCCATTTCCTTACATTCATTCTCTATACATGCATTTATTCAGTGTTTATTGAATGCCTACTATTTACCACACAGATAATTGAGCCCTGGGAAGCAATGAGTAAATGCTGTTATGGTCCTTGTAGACCATATGGAGCTTAAAGTTCAGTGTGAGAGGCAGACAGGAGTCAGAGGGTCAAAAACCACTGTGGGCTGGGCGTGGTGGCTCACACTTGTAATCCTAGCACTTTGGGAGGCTGAAGTGGGACAATCACTTGAGCCCAGGAGTTCAAGACCAGCCTGGGCAACATAGCAAGACTCCTGTCTCTAAAAAAATACAAACATTAGTTGTGCATGATTATTCATGCCTGTGGTCCCAGCTACTGGAGAGGCTAAGGTGGGAGGATCGCTTGAGCCCAGGTCAAAGCTGCAGTCAGCTGTGGTCATGCACTGTACTCCAGCCTGGGAGCAAGATCCTGTCTCAACAAAAGAAGAAGAAAACCATTGTGATATTACTACCAAAATGAATTTATGGCTGAGTATGCCTGTGGTCCTAGTTACTTGGGAGGCAGAGGAGGGAGGATCACTTGAGCCCAGGAGTTCAAGGCTGCAGTGAGCTATGCCTGTGAATAACCACTGCACTCCAGCTTTGGCAACATAGATAGAGCCCATCTCTAAAAAAAGATCATGGTATTCTGAATATATATTTTATGTGGCAGCTACTATTCTAGGAGCTGAGGATATAGCAGTAAACAGGGCAAAATCCTGCTCTCCTGAAACTTATGTCTTCGTACAGGAGACAAAACCCAAGTAAACATATAATTTCAAAATAAACGTACGCTGTAATTTCAGGTAGTAAGAAGTGTTATGATAAAAATAAAACAGGGTAAGTGGTTAGAATGTGCCTGGGTGGCTACTTTGGCTAGGATAGTCCCACTGAAGGGATGACTCTTGAGAAGAGAACTGGAAAAACTGGGAGAGGATCCTGCAGATATCTGGGGGAGACAGTTCCAGACCTAGAGAAAGGCATGTGCAGAAGCTCCGAGGCTGGCACAACCTTGGCTGCTGTGTGGAATCAGACCGTGGGTGGGCAAGCATGGAGATAGTGAGGCCAGGAGGAGGTTGTGACAGGAGCCCAGAGGAGCGATGATGCAGGCTCGGACACATGGACCGGGTTGGTGGCGGTGGAGGAGTTGAGACATAGGAGGCTTTGGGTTTCCACCATGAGAGGATTTAATCTAGTTGGGAAGGTCTGGACAGACTTTCCTGAGCAAGTAACATTTGCACTGAGATCTGAAGGCTTAGCAGAAGCAACCAGGTGAAGATAGAAGGAAAGACTATTCTAGTACATAAATGAGCAGGCTCTTTGGGGGAGCAAGTCAAGTCTGAAGCATTGAAACAGATCTGTGTGCCTCGGCAAAAATGAAGAGTGAGGGGAAGCTGGAAAGATGGGCAACATCCAGGCCATGTGGGGCTTTGGGAGCCATAGTGAGGAGCTTGGGCTTTTTCCTAAGTGCTGTGGAGAGTTAAGAAAGGGTTTTCAGTAGAAGTGACATAGTTGGATATATGTCTTGGAAAGGCCTCTGGATGCAGAGTGGAGAAAGCTCCATTTTTCTATTTCACATTCACCCTCTGAAGGAAGTTCTTCTATCCCCATTTTACAGAACAGGAAACTGAGTCTCAGAGGGTTGATGCTGCTTGGCCAGGATACACAGCATGGCTGACTCCTCTCTCTGGAGTCTAAATCCATAGCACTTTGGACCCTTTCACCTCTTCTGCCCTCAGGGTTTCCCCTTCTCTCCCCAGCAACCCCACCCCCCTCCCCACTTGACTATAGCACCCGATAATCACAGGGATTTGATCTGCTCCTTCTTAGACTGCAGGCCACAGGCTCTTCCTCCTTTCCATCTTTCCAGGGTTTTTACTTCTCCTCTGGGTTGAAAAGTTCCAAGGGTGCCAGTGTGCTCTTCATTTTCCTATCCTTTTTAGCATTTATGAATTTAGTATTGTCTCTTCATGGGGCCCTGGAGAGGTAACATATTGTTACTAACATTCCTGCCAACATCCCCCTCTCTCCCTCCTTCAACAAATCAACCTTCCTTCATCCCTCCCTCCCTCCCTTCCCTTTTGCCTTCCCTCAGACTTAAGAAAAGATACTTGACCACTCTGGAGAAAAAGATACGAAAACCAGCTAGCACAGTTTAACTGGATAACAGCATTTGAGGAAGTTGGCCAGATGTGTTCCCCTTGCTGGAGGTCCAGGGGAGGTAAGGGATAGTACAGAGGAAGGAAGTGACTGGGTTTTGAAGAGGAAAAGGGTACAGAAAGAGCTTCCCAAAGAAACTCCCAAATTCACTGCAATCCAATCCAACAGCAGACACTGAGTAGAAAAAGCCTCTGTTTAAAAATGTTTGTGGTCCTTCTAGTCCTCACAGATGGTGAGAGCGAGGAAGATGTGTGCTGATGGAGTATGAAATTTTCAGCAGCTACGGAATAAAAGGCTCAGAAATGGGGGCTAGTGCTCTTGAAAACCCCCAAGGGAGAGAGACCTCGTGAACAACAGAAATTCTGGAGGCTCTGAGTCCTTTCTCATGGCCTGCCTCTCCTCCTCTCCCCTATCCCTCCCAGCACAAATTGCAATTGATCCTATGGGGTAAGGAAGGCTGTTTGGGTGTTATTTATTGTTTTGGTGGCTGTGGATTGTGTTTATTTATTTACTTATTAATTTTGCCAGTCAAACTCAGGTTTATTGACAGGACTGAGCCTGCCCCTGGGCGCTTCCACCCAGCCTACCACAGTGCACAGAGAAATAATTAGTTGCTGAGGTATCAGGAACAGATGTCGAACTGACATCTTCTGTTTACTAGTGTCAAATTCAGCAGTTTTCCTGCCTCCCAATAAATTACCAGCCACTCGCTGCCTTCCTGCCTCCCTTCTGCCAACCTGGTGGGGCTTTCCTCTCTCATTAAGAGCAGAGCAAACACCTCCATGGTGACCTCAGCCTCTAACGTAATCCCCGTCTTCCCCGCTTCTGAGTTTTAAATCTTATTTATGACTTTTTGATGGACATGGCAGGAGGAGAGTGTGGCTTGATTCCCTCCCTCCTAAGAGAAGCTCTAGCTTGCTCTGTTGCTCAGAGAACAGGGAGCCCCCAGGAGCCTCAGGCAGGAGTAGGCTATTAATTGCTTCATACTGGGGCAGTGACCTTTGTCTCCATGGGGCATCCTGAGGCTTTTTTGCAGATGCCATCAAAGTCAACTGCACTTTCAAAGGCCATGCTCAGTTTCTGAACGGTATACAATGTATCTGCTCTGAAACCTCGGCAGAGTGGGGTCTTGGGGGTATTTAGGGAAATGACACAAGGGAGGGTCTAGGGAGGTTAAGGAGAACATTTCAGAAAACAGGTGTAACAGGCATTGTGCTTTGGAGAAGCTGTCAATTTGGGCTGACATGTGGGATAATATCGGGGCTGGCAGGAAATTTATTTATTCATCACTCAGCTCATATACATGTGCCAGGCATGGTGCTAGGTTCTGAGCATGCTGGAATGAGCTATTCTTGGTCCACATTCTTAAGTAGTCTATGGCTGGCCGGCTGGGGAGTCTCGTGGGCCATACTAAGGAGTGTAACCTTTACTATGAAGGCGCTGGGGAGCCTCTGAACAATTTTATTCAAGGGAGCGATGTGATCTGATTTGCATTTAAAAAAGATCACTCTGGAGCCTGAGTGTGGGATGGACAGGGTGTGGGACGATGAATAACACCAGAGATATCATTAGGGAGCTCGTGGAGTAGTCTGGCTGATAAATGACTACGGTCTGCTGAGGCAGTAGGTATGGAGGGAAAAGATTTTAGAGGTAGAGTCAGTATGACTTAGAGATTGGGGTTAAAATAGATGTAAACCCATTACCTTATAGTCCAGAGAAAGTGAAAGGATCTATTTCAGGTCATGCAACCTATAAGACTTGGCAGAACCAAGACGTGACTTCAACTCCCTAACTTCCTCTTGAGAGTTCTGTTCACTCAGAAACAGCTTCCTCTCCCTCCAGATGAAGACCTGGAAGCTGCACCATGCCACTTAATCCAACAGAACTTTGGGAGCGGAAGTTCTAAACGTGGTCTCGTCCAACAGTTTACAGTGTTACCAGCTCCACCTATAGTCTTCCCACTAAAGACATCCAGCACCTGGACACAGGGAACTTATACCTTTTGGCCCCACTCACCCAATTCTTGGAGGGCTTCTTCCCAGAAATACCTAAATCGGCCTGTGACAGATTCTGCCCATTGTTGTTAGTTTTATTCTAAGAGGTCAGAAAAGCAAAACAAATCAAAACACAGAGCAGATTGCAAAGCTCCTGATAGTGAATTCTCATCCCAGAAGCAAAATCTAGTTAGGAGAGATATATGAGCTCAGATGTTTGCTAAGCACTAAACTGCCAGCACTAAACTGGCAGGAATGACTGAGTCACACTTCTCACACCTGTCAAGCTAACGGAGCTACTCTTGTCACTGGTTGAGGGGACTCCTCATATGGGCAGGGCAGGAAACTTATTCATAAAATTTCACCCTCTGAACCCTGGATTTCTAGATTGCACACCCATTATCTCCCATCTCCTGCTTCCTGTGATGTACACAGCGATCTAACAGGCGCTTGTCTGTTCCTGGTAGCAACTCTCTTGTTCCCTCCTACATGCAGATGAGGAGTTAGCCCCAGTGAGGTCTGCGTCCTTGTGCTATTCACTAAACCTATGCAACTAATGTAATTACCTGATGTATCAGCTTAGATACAAGCAGTAATGAGGCTCCCTTTCTGACTTTTAATTGGCTATAATGTGTGATCATGACCTCTTACTAAACTCTTTCCATTAAGCTCTCATGTTTACATAACTCCGTGAGTTTAGCTCATCCGTCCTCCAGAAATTTCCCTGATTTCTGCCCTTTCTGTGAAGTCAATTATCTCCCTGTGTTTGTCTTGCAGATCTTTTTGAAGCCTGAGACGTTCCTGAACCACACAGTGTGTGTGTCTGCCCTTTTTTCCTCTACCCAACCTGGAGATCCTCCGTGTCTCCCATAAACTTCCTGTTGGAATGACCCTCTGGTTTCCTCTTTTCCAGGCGTCTCTAGGACAGTTAACCCTTCTCCTCCTTAGTCACTGTGACTTACTGCTTGCACCTTTTCTCAGCCAGGCAATGGCACATTTCAACACTGTTTGAAGGTTCCTGTGCTTCCCTCCCTCCTAAAGGAACCTGAATTGATTAACACAAGTTTTGCAGCAGCAGCAATAAAAAAAAAAAAAGTTGTAAAAGCCTGGGGAAAACATAAATAGTGACAGAAATGAAACAAAGATACAGACAACTTGGGTTTCAAGAAAGAGAAAAAATACACCCCGAAAAAAAGTGAAAGAAGATCTAAGGATTAATAATAATAAACACAAGTAGGTGGAGACTATAGTTGCATAATAGATGTTATGTAAAAAATTCAATATTGTTAGAAATGAAAAAAGACTAGAATCGACACTGAAACTGGGACTGACGATGAATTAGAAAACTAAACAAAAACAAAGAACTAAATAAATAGATAATAGTAATGCATGAAAAAAAAAAACCCGAGCTAACAAAATAGATTTATTCTATGAAAAATAGAAAGCAGGAAAGCTTAACCAAATATGGAAACAGTAAATAAAGACATAATAGTAGAAAGTTTCCTGGAGCTTTTTCTAATAAATAATTTAATCTGTATAGAGTCCCTTCAGGATTAATTACCAGAGAAAGATGATCAGAAAATACTTTGGTAAATAGTATTAAAGTAAAGCTTTAAAGACAAAGGCATATCTCAAGCAAATATAAAGAAGAGAAATATAATTTCTCAGACGATTTCAAGTAGCTGAGATATGAAAAACTAAATAATAGAATGGGGATTAGTATAAAGATAAGATCCTTAATTACAATATCATGTATCTATACTCCTATAAGGAAAAAAGGAAAACCTACTGCTGAATGACAAGGCTAAGTATTGTAGATGACAGTGTTCTCCAAGTTATCTTACAGATTTGATCCTATTAAATTAACAGCAAAAATACTCCATAAGGGTAAATAGATGTTATTATAAATGATAATATGTAGAAATAAAGATAATTTGGGGCCGGGTGTGGTGGCTCGCGCCTGTAATTCCAGCACTTTGGGAGGCAGAGGCAGGCAGATCACCTGAGGTCAGGAGTTCAAGACCAGCCTGGCCAACATGATGAAACCCTGTCTCTACTAAAAATACAAAATTAGCCAGGCATGGTGGCGCAAGCCTCTAATCCCAGCTACACGGAAGGCTGAGGCAGGAGAATCACTTGAATCTGGGAAGCGGAGGTTGCAGTGAGCTGAGATCATGCCATTGCACTCCAGCCTGGGCAAAAAGAGCAAAATTCTATCTCGAAAAAAAAAAAAAGAGATAAAGATAATTTGGAGATCATTGTACATTCCTTCTATAAACATTAAATAAGCCTCTACCGTATGCCGGTTACTGGGCTGGCTTGCCAGAAACTTGATCTAGCAAGTATTTTTTGTTTCATGGTGACAATTATTCAGATGCTGTAGAACTGGCTTAAAAACAGAATATAGGTCATTGGGATATAATAGAGTTTCCAGAAACAGACTCTAAAGAAAGAAATATTTTAAAAATATGTGACAAGTGAAGTATAAGGAGCCAAAGGGAAACAGATAATTGTATGTTTTGCTGGGATCACTAGAAAGGATGTGGAGAAAAATCCAGATCTATAACTTACACTTATAGCATTGTACATCTAGGTAGATTAGGGACTACAGTGTTAAAAAGAAAGGAAAAGAAAATAGAATCTTATCCGTATGCAACTGTGGAGGGATGTTAATTTCTTCCTTGCTTGGATCATAACATTTTTAGCAATAAGGATAACAGGTTAAGATCCACACAGATTTAAAACTTCATGAAAAACAATAAAATCCAGATATAAAGAAAATAAATGGGAAATGCATATCACAGATAAGATAGAGAAAAGGATGAATTCAAAATATATCAACAGGCTATACACACGTACAAGGGACAAGAACATGTGTCTACTGAACCTGTTGCTGGATAATGTGAACAGTAGCAAATATAATAGAAAATAGAATATAATAGAAAAGTTGGTGAGGAAGATGATCAACTCACAGGTAATTAATTTAATTTAAAGATAAAGCAACTGTCACTTTGGGAGGCTGAGGCGGGCAGATCACAAGGTCAGGAGATCGAGACCATCCTGGCTAACACGGTGAAACCCCGTCTCTACTAAAAATACAAAAAATTAGCCAGGCATGGCAGTGTGCACCTATAGTTCCAGCTGCTGGGGAGGCTGAGGCAGGAGAATGGTGTGAACCCGGGAGGTGGAGCTTGCAGTGAGCCGAGATCACACCACTGCACTCTAGCCTGGGTGACAGAGCGAGACTCCATCTCAAAAAAAAAAAAAAAAAAAAAAAAGCAACTGTGAGCTCCCACTTCATATTTATTAGCAAAAACAAGCCAAAATAATAGAACTCAATGCTGGTACATTTCTCTGCAGACAGGAATTCTCACACATCACTAGTGTCAATGTTAATCTCTATAAGACAGACCATGAAACTCACACCTGAGTGCGTGCTTCAAGCCAATGTTTCCTTCTCTGGGAGAGTCAAAAAAATTATTGCATACAAGTTGTAATATATTTGTATACAGGTGTTTATGGTAGCATTGTTCATAATACTAAAGATCAAAATACTCATACACTGGGGAGAGGTTAAGTAATTTGAATTTTATTCATTCAAAGTGAATGAATCTTCACTTTGAATCTTATTCATTCACTCAGAAACCAATACCCTAAAATATGGCATTTTGACATATACTGAAATGAAGAAACCTCACGGTCTCTCTGACCTCGCCCCCACCCCATCATCTCTCCCAAAGAAACTAAAGTTCCTTTATCTCCCTAAGATCCAGACCCACCAAGGAGCATAATTGCTCCTTTTCTCCTCCCTGTTATCTCATCATTTATTGCAGAAAACAAGACCAAGATGTGGCCATATCTTAGCAGACCTTTTTAGGAGTATAATGACTATCTTTGGGGATCATTTAAATTCCAAAGAAAACTATATTGTGGGTGCAACTGGCTGGGCCCAGCGTTGTGGGCAGTAAAAGAATCTACCAAGACAGTTGTGGGTAAAGAAAGGCAGATTTATTAGAGAAAGTATAAAGATATGTTACAAGACTTTAGCAAGCAGCATAGCAGAAAAAGGGCTGTCTGCAAAGAGGCATGAGTGAGGGAAGTTGTTGTATAGGGTTGTGCTGGAGGGGCTATGTACCAAACGAGGTATTTGGGAATAGGATGTTGTGCAGGTGTGCAGGTGGGTTGTTTGTAGTAGGCTATTTTTCAGAACAATTGTCATCCCCCACCTGGGGTCCCTTCCTCATTGTTCCTGACTTATCTTATCAGGACTCTACAAACTATTTACAAGTTAATTTCCGTTCCTCATCCAATCATTTTCCCTAGTAATAATTTATTGCCCCTCAATAGAATTCCTCTTCTCCCCACTCCTATCACCCGCTTTACCAGAATCCAAGGCCCCATTCTTTCTGTAACTTCAAGATGGTATATAAGCTTGTATAACTCATTGAGAAGTTGGATCTTCATTCTGAAGCCTCCTGTGCATACAGGTTAAATAAATATGTATGCCTTTTCTCCTATTAATCAATCTGCCTCATGCCATTGATTTTTTTTCAGCAAACCTTTAGGGGGCCAATGACCATAGCCCCCACAAAAGTCATATTATAAAACCATTTACCCACAGATTGAAAGTTAAACAGATACATGGAAAAAGTATACAAAAAGTGTTTAAGAGAAAAGCACAAAATGTAAGATCCATTCAGCATAACTAATTAGAAATAATATGTATTATTGAAAATTACAGGAAAGTCTCTAAGAAATGGTGATAGTTGTGTTAATGGAAAAACAAACCTCTATAAAATATTTTCAAGAGATTTTTTGAGCCAGTATGAGTGACCATGGCCTGGGGAACAGTTTCAAGAGATCCTGAGAAAGTATGCCCGAGGTGGTTGGGTTAAAATTTGGTTTTATATATTTTAGTAACACAGGAATTGTAGGTAAAATTATAAATCAAGACATAAAGGGTATACAATGGTTAAATCTGAAGAGGCAGGATTCCTTGAAGGGAGGGTAACTTCCAGGTCATAGGTGGATTCAATGATTTTCCCACTGCCAATTGGTTGAAAGAGTTAAACTTTGTCTAAAGGCTCGAAGTCAGTAGAAAGAAATGCTTGAGTTAAGATAAGGGGGTACATGGAGGTCAAGGTTCTTGTTATATAGATGGAGCTTCAAGGGTAGCAGCCTTTGGAGATAATAGATAGTAAATGTCTCTTTTCAGACCTTAAAGGTGTCAGACTCTTATTTAATCTCTCCTATATCCAGGAAAAGACTTGTATTGGGAAGGCCTTGCTGCATTAATAGAGATGCTTTACATATGCAAATTTTTCCCACAAAAGAGGGCTTTGCAGGACCATTTCAATTTGTTGGCCCTGTGGTAGCCATTTCAAAACATGTCCAAAAAATGTATTTGGGGGTAAAATATTTTGATTTCCTTTGGAGTCTGCTATCTGTCATTTCATGCCATACCAGAGTCAGGTGAAAAAGTCAGCCACATTATGCTGGATTAATAAAAACCCATCTAATGAGATATTATGGTTTGTAGGTGTCACTTAAGCTCTGCCTTGCATGGCCTTACGTCTTCTTAATAATTTGACATCTTATTGCTACAAATAGTCTGTTTTGCCAGTCTTATGATCGACATTTTAATGTAAACTCCAAAAGATGGTGTCATTGGTGTGACTGGCTGGGGCTGGCGTTGAGGGTGGTACAAGAATTTACCAAGACAGTTGTGGGTAAAAAAGGCAGATTTATTGGAAAAAGTACAAAGATACATTGCAAGAAAGCAATGGGGGGCACAGCAGAGAAGAGGATGTCTGCCAAGTGGCAGGGGCTGGAGGGAAATGTTACAGGGTCATGATGGAGGGGCTACATGTAGATAAGATGTGCAGATAAGGTTGTGTTTCTGGGTCTTTGGGAACAGGATGTTGTGCCAGTGGGTTGTCTGTAATTAGCTGTCTCTCAGAACAATTGTTCTCCCCTACCTGGGACCCCTTTCTTGTTGCTGCTTACTTATCAGGACTCCACAGGTGGCGGTGTGTCAGACCTCCCTTCTCAACATGGCCAGGAATTCCATTTTCAGGTTTATCTGGAGTTACCTTGGCCAAGAGGGGGTCTGTTCAGTTGGTAGGGGGCTTAGGAATTTATTTTTGTTTACAGTTGTGATGATAAGCAAGGCCAGTTTTCATTAAGCCTTCATTTTTGCCATACCTTGTGCTATGTCTTTTATGAAAATTATCTTATTTAATCTCAACAATGTAGCAGTAGGTATGAACTCTAGAGGAAAAACGGATGCACACAAAGTTAAGTGACTTGCCCAAGGCCACAGAGCTGGTAAATTTTAAAGCTGAGATTCAAACTCCAGGGTCCATTACTACTTAATACAACCTGTTACTTCTTGAGGCCTACATTCTACCTGTCTCTAAATGTTTTCTTAGAGCAGGCCCAGCTGATTTATTTTGGTGAGTTGGGAGGAGACTTTTCCAGAATGCACTGGCCACTCCCTCTCTTTCTCAGGGTAAAATGTCTCAGCTAAAGACTTTCCTCATCAGAGGAAAGCCACTTTCTAATTCCCACTGCAGCCCTTATGGTCAAGGTCTAAAAGGAATAACGTCCCCAGCTCTCCCTCCTGTGACATGAACGTACATGAACTCCACCCTGACAACCATGGCATATCTGTGATGTTTATTTTCTCGTGACCACCTTTCCAGTGAGGCCACTCTGAAAGATTGGGCTCTGTGTCATTCCCTTCTAACCCACTTCTCTCTCATACACATCTCTTTCCCTATGAATATTTAACACCAACATATTTTAAGATGATTCTAAAAGAATTATTTTATAATCAGGATTTCTGTCTGAGCCAAATGTCCCTTTGAAGGGCTTTTACTTCCCTACCTTGCTTCCTGCACACTTAAGTCACATTCCAACAGGAAGAATAGAAGCACTTTGAACGTTTATATGTGGTTTTCTCAAGGGAATATTGTGTTTGGGGTCTGGTGGCAAGAAAAGCCTGAGTGGTGAGGGAAACCTCCTGGGAGGGTTTAGTTGGCCACCCCCCGTGTTCAGGAAGCTCCTCCTATGCATAAAAAGCAGTCCTATGCCCAGGACACAGCACATGGAAAGACTGCATGATGGAGCTGTTAGGATCCCCTGCAGGGGTGGGAAACTCTACTGTCTGCTGCCTGTTCTTATATGACCTGCTAGCTATGGATGGATTTTACATTTTTAAATCCTCTGAAATCTTCTGAAAAAATCTAAAATCTTCTGAAAAAAGAATCAGAAGAATCCCTTTTTTGTGACATGTGACAATAATATGAAATAAAATTTCAGTGTCTATAAATAAAATTTAATAGGAACACAGTTCACTCCTTTTGTGTTCCCAGGGGCAGCAAATTTGAGCAGTTGTGGCAGAGAACCCATGGTCCTCCCTCAAAGCTTAAAATGTTTACCTCTGGCCCTTTGGAGAAAGGCTGCTCACTTCTAGTCTAAAGGACTGTCTCTTCTTCTTAAAGCCTGCTCCGCCCTAAATGGAAACTACCCCTGCTCTCCCCCTGTTTGAATCTTACACAAAAGGCTTCTGTAAACCAGAAATAAAACCATAAGCCCCCAACCAACTAATGGACCCTCCCTGTGGCCAAAGGCATTCCAAAGTTAACCTGAAAAACTAGTTCAGACCACAATGAGAAGAGGGGTCAGACATGCCTCATACCCTCCTCCCTTTTGGAATTCAGGCACAACTGATCATCATTAACATCAACACAGAGACCTTAAAACTGATAGACTCTTTTTTTTTTTTTTTTTTTTTTGAGACAGAGTCTCACACTGTCACCCAGGCTGGAGTGCAATGGTGCCATCTCAGCTCACTGCAACCTCTGCCTCCTGGGTTCAAGCAATTCTCCTGCCTCAGCCTCTAGAGTAGCTGGGATTACAGGTGCCTGCCACCACGCCTGGCTAATTTTTTATATTTTTATTAAAGACAGGGTTTCACTATGTTGGCCAGGCTAGTCTCGAACTCCTGACCTCGTGAGCCACCCACCTCAGCCTCCCAAAGTGCTGGGATTACAGGCATGAGCCACCATGCCCAGCCAAGACTGATAGACTCTTAAAGCCTGATGAGAAACATTTACAGTCTATTCTCTCTGAAGCCTGCTACCTGGAGGCTTCATCTGCATGATAAAACCTTGATCTCCACACCTGCTTATCTTAACCCAGACATTCCTTTCTATTGATTCATCTGTCAACCAATATCCAATCAGAAAAATCTTTGAATCTGCCTGTGATCTGGAAGCACCCCCTCTTCCAATTGTCCAGTCTTTATGAATGGAACCTATGTATATCTTATGTGTATTGATTGATGTCTTATGTCTCCCTAAAATGTATAGAACCAAGCTGTAGCCTGAGCACCTTGGGTACATGTTCTCGGGATCCCCTGGGGCTGTGTCATGGGCCATTACGGGTCAATCATATTTGGCTTAGAATAAATGTCTTCAAATATTTTACAGAGTTAGACTCTTTTTGTTGACATCTCTATCCCCATAACCATGGTGTTATATATGGCATTTATTTTCCTGTGACTATCTTTTCCATTTCAGGGCCACAGATTGGATCTCTACAGAAGAAAAATATCTGTGACTGTACAGTCACTCACCTGTGGTCCAGAGAGGGAGCTAAGGGTTGGATGGAGAGGTGAGGGCTGTCTTCAAAGGGGCTTAGATATCCCCACTGGTAGAAGCAAAATGGTTCTAGCATGTTCCCAGCACCAGAGATATGTACTTGGTCCAATGGGAGTTGAGTTTTAACCAGCAGAGTACAGTAAGCCCAGTTTCTTCCTCAGGAATGTTTCTGGTTCCATCTATTGATCTCACCATACTGGGGGTATAATGTTCTTTCTTTTTAAAAAATTTCTGTCTCGCAATCCTTTCCTTAGTACTCTCTGGAAGGGATTTTTACTTAAAAAAAGAAAAAAATTAGGCCCTGCTCTCAGCCCAGAGTTTACCTTACAAAGATGTCTCAGCAAGAGAATAGAGAAAGACTATGACTCATTGCAATAAAGTAGATATTGTGACAAGAAAGATGTTAACATCTTAATGAAAGCCCTAAGGGGAAATTTGCATAAAACAATCTCCTTGTTGCTTAAAAAGAGCCACTGATGCCTTATTTGAAAAAATCAAACCCCAATTTTGTTAAATATTCAGTCTGGGGATGATTTGAAGAATTTTCTTTATCTCCTGTGAGATTTTTCCTCGTCAGAATCACAGATGCTGAGAGTTGAAGAGGCCCATCTTCCCTCAGCCCACTCTCCCGGCAGGCACTGTGGTAGGAACACTGTCTTACTCCTTCCAGGTCCCTGAAGCTTTTTGAAGTTGGGGTAAAACTAGAAGATGGGCCAGCTCCTAGGACTGGGAATTTTGATAGAGCAAGAAAGCCCTTGCTCAAGTCTCTCTGGACTCCTACATTCATCCACTTCTTCAAGTCCATTTTAAAAAGTCTCAACTGGTTTTTAAGCTTCTTGAAATTTATTTTTCATTTGGAGTTTGTCCAACATTTTTGACAGATTGTTACTTACACGCTGTAAGTGACAGGGAGATCACTACTTCTTGGGGCAGGATGTGCTACACTGGGCTGGACTCTGCCTCCCATTAACTTCTCCCACTGGTCCTAGTTCTTCCTCTGGGATTACTAAGTGATCCATTCACTTTTCTTTGTGGCAGTCCTTCACATGGTTGTAGACAACAACTGCAGGTCTTCATGGGTTCTTTTGTTGCAATCAAACACCAACGTAGAAAAGTTCTGCTTAGCCCCACCTTTCTGGCTGGTTTCCAGTGAAAACACAGGACAGATCTTCAACACAGGGGCATCTCCAACCTTGGAGGCCGGATCAATCTCTCTTGCCCCTCCAGAAGGAAAAGCTGGAAAAAGCAGAGGCCAGACCTATTTTTTTCCCCAGGGTTTGAGGCAAATTACCTCAGGGAAGAAAGCTTCAGCTGCAATGATGTTGGCTCTTTCTGCTAAAGGAACAGCTGAATTGACAGCCTACATCCCACTGGGAAGTATGTCAGTTTCTTGAGTAGCCAGACTCTGCAGCTCCAGCCAGTGGCAGGTACAACAGGAAGTTTGAGGGAAATGTTGAAACAGAAGGGCTAACCTGATTAGGCCTGTCAAACTTGCTTGCTTTTAGTCATTCACTTCTAGTTGATTTTAAAACCTATATAGCTAAAAATCATGTAGCTAGGCAAAATATAATTAAACTTCCACTCACTAGCTTTCTTATAGATAACAGCTTTGATGTAATGGTCACTATGGTAACAGTTGCCTAAGTTATTTTTCAGGAACTTAGGGTCAGTTTTTGTCCAGTTCAAACCAGCTGAGACCACCAACCCTCCAACTGAGCCTACATGAGCATCCTATGGGTGACCTTTTGCTGTCAGAGGACCAAAAACTCCACTCTCAGATCATGCAAATGAGACATGCAGGCTGGCCAATTCCCTATTTTAAGATGGTCTGAATGAAAAAGTTTGGCTTATTTAACCATCAGCCAGTCAGTAACAAAAGACCCAGGAAGTTCTTAACTGCAAGGTTTTATTTTGAGGGCTAGGGGCTTCCTGGGAGCCCCACATGTGCATCAGACTTAAACTCCAAATTAAAGTTACACTTTCCTCATTTTAATGCTAAAGTTCATGCCCTGGGGTGGAGATTTAAAATGCTAGCACTACATATGATATATGAAGAAACATGTTGAGTCACTACGCAAGCACTAGAAAAACCCCTAGTATACATGCCCTGATGTAACCCTTCCCTATAGAAAGACCCTGTCAAACTAACACAAACACTACCCTCAGGTAGCAGCTGGCTACCTTGTGCACCAGCTCATAAACTCCCTTTATTTCTATGCCTGGTGATCACTCTTGATTTAAATCCTGGGAGACTGCAAGAACCTGGGGCACTGGTAGCACCAACACCATCATATGAAAAGCCATGAAGTCTGCCTACCCTTGTGCAGATCACTGATTCTCACTTTTCCTCACCTCAAGTCACCTTTCCCCATGCTTCAGACCACCCTGTTTTGTTATCCCATAAATATCCCTAAACTCTGTCTTTGGAGAGGCAAATTTGAGAACTCTTCTCCCATCTGCTCACTTGGTAGCTTCTCTGCTATAAAACTAGTCTTCTCATTGATTGACACACTGTGCAACAGGCAAAATGAGACTGGCTCACTAGCAATATTTGTATCCTCCTCTGTATATGATACCCAGGAAGGAGGCTTTGCTGAATTCCAGTGATAAGGAAAGCAAAGTAGCCTTGCCAGGGGACAAGGACATTGGATCACTGGGTGCTCACTAGATAGGAGGAGGAGGGGAGGGCCTGAAACAAAACAAGTCATGGTTATTGGTCATGCCCAAAGTCAGGAGGCAGCTCAGAACCTTCCTCATTCATTCACCTGGCCACACCCCTGCCCCAGTCCAAGGAAGTGTTAAATAAAATGTATAGGAGGCCATTGGTTTGGCCTGAGCTGTTGCACTAGGCCCAATGGACCAAACCAAGATGGAGTCACTCATTCTAAAGTTCCATGCAATCAAGCTAAAACTAAGTTGTTTATATAACCTTCCAAGACATGGGGGGCGGCGGCTGGGGAGAGAGAAAGGAGAGAAAGAGAGAGAATAGCCAAATCTCCAAATAGCCAAACAGGCCAGTTTTAGCCAACATAAGGAAGTCCCCTCTGCTTTAACCTTTACAAGGAAAATAACTGAAATTGCCAGTCTACTTTTTGTTTTTTGTTTCTGCTTTATTCAGCTCTTTTTTTGTCCATAAAGCCAATCTCCTCTGCTCAGCATATTGGAGCACTCATTGTTTTTTACGGAATGAGGTGTTGCCAGACTCTAGAGTTGCCAATAAAAGGCAATTAAGATTTTTAGACTAAATTTGTTGTAATTTTGCCTTTTGACAGAAATCTATTTGCCGGTTCCACAGACCCAGAACGTGTTTTTCAACACTGGCAGCACAAACAGCAGTCTGCCTGGTGGCGTCATGGTCACCCAGAATCACTGCTTCACTTGCTGCCTCCCTTTGCTACAGCAGCCCAGTGTCCTAGCCTTGCTGCTTTTGTGATTCTTTGCAGCAATTCTAGTAGGAACAAGAAACAAACAAAAATAGGCCAGGCACACTGGCTCACGCCTGTAATCCTAGTACTTTGGGAGGCTGAGGTGGGAGGATTTGCTTGAACCCAGGTGTTCAAGACCAACCTGGCCAACATAGCAAAACCCCTGATATGGTTTGGCTGTGTCCCCACCCAAATCTCATCTTGAATTCCCATGTGTTATGGAAGGGACCTGGTGGGAGGTAATTGAATAATGGATGGAGGTCTTTCCTGTGCTGTTCTCATGATAGCAAATAAGTCTCATGAGATCTGATGGTATTATAAAGGGGGAGTTTTCCTACACAAGCTCCTTTTTTTGCCTGCTGCCATCCATGTAAGACATGACTTTGCTCCTCCTTGCCTTCTGCCATGATTGTGAGGCCTCCATAGACATGTAGAACTGTAAATCCAATAAACCTCTTTCTTTTGTAAATTGCCCAGTCTCAGATATGTCTTTATCAGTAGCATGAAAACAGACTAATACAACCCCCATCTCTTACAAAAAAAGCCAGCCCTTCTGTGGTCAGGTTTCTAAGGTAAGGCATCTAAATATTGTTCTTCCAGAGCGGATCTGTTGGGAGGGGTGAGGGCCCAGCTCCTGGGACAGTCAGAGGCCCAGGCTGAGCAAAGGCCATAAAGGAAAGATGACCTCCTGCCAGAATATTTGGAGCTCCCTTTTATTTCAAACCAGAAACCAGTCTCAACGTGACTTTGTGGATAACGAAAAAAAAATCCTGCAAAAATTGTTCTATGTTTTTCTCCCATTTCAGGTTCTTACTTGGTTCACTACTCCACATGGTGTGGTGGTCAGAATTTGCCCTTTACACTTACTTCCCTTTCCTTCTTCCTATTCTTTACTAAAGGAGCATTCAGGGCACACAGAGCATTGAAAAATAAGCACTGACTACTATGGCTTTAGTGCCTGAAGGGATGCAAGACCTGGACCAACCTTAGAGGTCACTTACACAACCCTCCGGTTTTTTCAAAGGAAAAGAATGAAACTCCAGGAGTTGAGGGGTTGAGGGGTCATGAGACAAGCCTCTCAGATGTTAACAGATCACGGTCACTTCAGTTTTTTTGAGGTCCCTTGTATATTAAAAGAAACAATTTAAAAAATGGGAATCATAAGAATTACGAAATTTTTTGATGTTTACATTTTATAAGTTAAAACTTTTTCCAGAAAAAATGCAATATAGTGCATTTTAATAGTCACAAAATCTGGAAAAATATTAATTCACAGTCATCCTGTGCTATAGACAGTGTTGTATAGTCACAAGGCTCAGGGTTTAAGGTTGGACAATGAATATTGCTTTCCTTTGCTCCTATATCTTTGGGACTGTCTGATAGATCTTATTTGGGGATAAAGTTAAAAGTCTAATCTGAGACCTTGGTGAATGTAGAGGCCAGCTGGCTCTCCTGCCCTTCTTGTCTCTTCTGAGCTCTTCCAGAAACCAACTGTGTGATCTTGGCCACTCATACTTTCATCAGGGTAGAAAATCTAACTTAGTGTCTTTGGCTATCTTTGATTTACTCTCTTGCTAAAGGTCTAATTGTTTAAAACACATAAAAAATCAAAACTGTGATTTCATGGTGGAACCATCAGTGAATTAAATTTTGGGGCAGAGCAAAGATCTTGTTCAGAGCAACCTGTTGGTGTTATGGTGGCCACTTTTAAGATGGTCCCCAGTAATATTCACTTCTCCATATATTGAATGCATCCTACAGTGAACGCAGCTGACCTTGTGACCAAAAGGATATTGTGAAAATGAGGAAGTGTGACTTCAAGGCTACATCAGAAAAGACTTTGTGGCTTCTGACTTTGTGTAGAGGAGAAAAAGTAATATCTCTTTTCTCACCCATCATAAGGCTCATGACTGAGGCACCGGTATTAAAAAAACAGATTAATGATAGAAAAGCATACAAAATTATGTATTCACTTTTATTTATTTATTTACTTATTGAGACAGAGTCTCACTTTGTTACTCAGGTTGAAGTGCAGTGGTATGATCTCGGCTCACTGCAACCATTGCCTCCTGGGTTCAAGTGATTCTCATGCCTCAGCCTCCCGAGTCGTTAGGACTTACAGGCGCATGCCACCATGCCTGGATCTTTTTTTTTAAATTTTTTGTAGAGATGGAGTTTTGCCATGTTGGCTAGGCTGGTCTGAAATTCCTGGCCTCAAGATATCCACCCACCTTGGCCTCCCAAAGTGCTAGGATTACAGGCATGAGCCACTGCGCCCAGCCTATTTATTCTTATTGATACATATTGGATATACATATTTTCGGGGCACATGTGATAATTTGATACACTCATGTAATTAAATCAGGTAATTGGAATATTCATCAACCTAAATATTCATCTTTTCTATATGCTAAGAACATTCAAATTATTCTCTTCCAGCTATTTTGAAATATACAATAGATTAATGTTAACTATAGTCACCCTACTGATCTACTGAATATTAGGTCTTATTTCTTCTAAGTGTATATTTGTACCCCTTAATCAATCTTTCTTCATTGCCCTCTACCCTCACCTTTTGATTTATTTAACATAAGTTGTCTTTTTTTTTTTTAAATTAATGTGACATGGGAGCCTTCAGAAATGAAGTCCAAAGAAACAGGTAAACTTGTGCATTTTTACACCAAGTTTGATGAAATGGAGAACTGTGGAGAATTATGATTGGAGAACAAAAGGGTGATCTACTAGTGATCAACTGGGAGGAACTTAGCAAGACCGGTTTGTTCAGATTCTTCTTGGCATTTCTGTGTCTTTGAAGATAAGTATGTTCCTTTCCTCTGGTTGTAGGGAGGGTATCTCTGGAATAAGGGTCTTATGACCTACTTCAGAAAGGAAGGTCAGATAATTCTTTCATGACCAGCTTCAGGGGAGAAGGTCAAAGGGGAAAGTCAAAGAGATCTTCCTGCTTCTGCTATTTTCTCAAATGGTAAGGTGCCATACTTGAAGGTAGTGTGTCCTGAACCCCATCACTTACTATCTCTTGGATCACTCTGAGTGAAGCCAGCCCCCATGGTCTGAGGACACTCAAGTAGTCCCTGGAGAGTTCCAAATAGGAAGGACCTATAACTCCTACCAACAGCTGGTAGCCGTGTGAGTAAACCATCTTGGAATGGATCCTCAATCTCCTTCAAGCCTCCCAGTGACTGCCTGCAGCTCTGGCTGGCAGCTTGACTGGAACTTCAGGAGGTACCCTGAGCTAGAACCATCCAGCTAAGCCACTTTCAGAGTCCTGACACTTAGAAACTGTGGGCAATAATAAATGTTTACTGTTCTTGGGAGCTGCTAAGTTAAGGAGTATCTGATATGCAGTAATAAATGACTAATATTGTCATTTTACATAGCATACATAAAAATGGCTAACCTGGTCTCTCAGGTTACTGCCTATAGCTATTCATCAACTTCTCCTCACCTGGCCATGTGTCTAAAATTCTTGCACTTGAAGCTCATTCCTTTCTGAACATCAATTTTCAGTATCATCATCTTGAAAGTCAAACTCCCCTGTATGTGCTTTATCTCAACCCTTAAGCTGCAATGAGTTAACCTCTAAATGGACATTAGTTCATAGCCGGTTGATAGGAGAGTATAACTGGGAGATAGGACTTGTGGTTAAGAGATGGGAACAAACTTTGGCTGTTGATTAGAAAATAACCGAGTGTAGATTTAGAGTCAGGAAATCCAGATAGACTTCTTGTTTCACCTATGAGCCTGTGATTATGTGCAAGCCATGTAACTTCATGAATTTTAGTTTCCTCATCTGTACGATGAGAATAATGAAAGTATCTAACTCACAGTCACCCCCACCACCCCTGCCCCCCATATACACTCTCCTTCATCCCCAGTCCCAGTGAGGATAAACAATGATAAGACACATGAAAATACTTTATACACCAAGAAGGTTCACACAAAAGTTATCTTACTTAGCAAAAAAGTCAGTCTCCTAGGGTGGAGATAGGTGGGCTCTGCCCCCATTTATTAAGTACTTTTTCTGTGGCATTCATTATTAAGAGCAGGAACATAAAAATGAATAAGTTTCCTATCCTCAAGGGGTTCACCATACTGACAGTGATAAATAAGACAAGAGGCTATTACTTTAAATGTAAAAAGTGCTAAGCACACAATAATTGATTCATTTCTTCATCAAATATTTATAGAGTGCATTGCCCCACAGGTAAATGTGCTGGGTGCTACTGATACATGAACAGTTGATTAGCAAGCCCATTGAGACAGCTGCCAGCAGGAGGCGTCACTGAGCTGAGTCATAAAGTTTGGGTAGGAGACAGTTCAGTGAAGTTTAAGGCTAAGGGTACCACAGGCAGGATGAATAAGGGCATGGAGGCGAGCACCAGCATGGTGACATAGGGCAACTTCCCTCAATTCAGTGATGATCAACACCCTTGAGAAAAACTCTCCCGAAGATAACTGGAGAGGATAGGGGCCTGGCTGACCCAGAGCCCTGTTTAGCTGGTTTACATCAGGTCAGTGGCATGCCTGATGTTCTCATTGGGAATGCCTGTCAACTCCCAGTTACCCATCAGTGTGACCTCAGCCCCAGGCCTCTTGACCTTGCATGCTCATGGGCCCTTTTGCACTATGAATAACTTAGAGAATACCAACTAACTTAAATATTAGACTAACTGATAATTAAGTTAATTAAGCTAATAATTAGGAGGATGGATTTATTGTGCAAGAAGTCATCCAGTGTATGCCTAGGCCAATTAAAATTAAAATTAAAATTAATTGCTGTTTGGGGTTCCCTGTATCTCTGACCCTGCTATTGGCTCAGACCATCCATCCTTGACTGTGCCCATTAAGGAAGCCCCTTTTCCTTCATGCTCATGTGTGCTGCTCAGGGCTTACAGCTGCTGAGATGGTAAAGTGAGAATAGGTGTCCTTTGGGGTCACAAGCCTATTATCTGATGCAAAGAAGTGTCTCATTGCCTTCAAATGAGCAAAATAAAAGATCAGCTGATTTTATTTCCTCATCAAGATGGATGATTTCCAAGTGTTGAAACTGAACTTGATGATTAAAACTCATTTCCTTGCAAAACCCAGCCCTGGAGGTGTCATCTTCCTTGGCTACTATACCCAGCCCTTGGTGACATGTGACTTGAGCTCAATGTGAATGGGCATTTAATTTGATATCCAGGATAATGTATCCCCACAAAGTACAGAATCCCCTAAATAAATAAAATGGGCTTATTATTCACTGGGTAGAGTTATCCAGACACCCTTGGATACAAGATGGAGCAGAAACCAGACAAATAAACGGATATTAGCAGTCTGACACTTTTGCCCAAATAAGACTCACTTTTTTGAAGGATCAATCTTCTGGGCAAGGACCCTGAGGATTTTGTGTCACTCCTGCTGATCTTTTACACACAGATTTCTTCCAGTTATGGTTCTGACTGACCTGCTGTGCTCCAAGTAAGTTCTTCTTTGGACAACAAAAGGAATATGAATCTTCATGCTGATGGGGGGAGTAGATGTTAGCTTGTCTCTTTGGGTTGGTCCATTTCAGAACAGCTAAGGTCCTTGTTGTAAACTGCATATGGGACTTGCCTTAGCCCAGCTCTGGGTCTCTGTCTGAGGCCCAGATCAGCTTGTCCTACTTTCCTCTTTCTTCACTAGAGGTCCAGGAACTCAGCTGCCCAAAACCAGCCCTGGGGGTCTTGACCCCAGGGCAAACACTCTTGCCCTGGTGGTCTTCCTGTCCCTGGAATTCCCTGTGAAAAGCAGTGCTGCCATCTCAGTTTCCTCCCTCCTTTTTGCTCCCAGAATGACAATTTCCCAGGGCCCCTTTGGTTTCAGTCATTTGCTGCAAATCCTGAACTTCAGCCCTCAGGTTTTATTCCAAGGGCATGACTCACCAACCCCAAGACATTTGGCTTTCAAACTGCTAAATGATTCACGCAGAATAAGAAGCCCCATAGCATATGTAGTTGAGATTTGTGCCTCTGCAAAATTACACATCTTCACTTGACGGGTCTTTAGGGCTGTTGGTGAATGGTGCAGGTGATAATGTTGGTTTCTTAGATATCAAGGGTCTGTTGAATCAGAGTTGGGCCACAGGATATAGATAGGAAATAAGGATTTGGTGGGGAATGTCTGCCAGTATTATTTCTCTATGTAGAGGATAACAAGCATGACCAGATATCAGCCCTAAGAACTTTCCCCTCTGCATCCTCTGCCCTTGCAGTGATGCCCTCACCTCTTGGGCAGCCAGCAGTGCTTCAAGCCCCCTTGCTTTTGTATCCAAGTCTTCCATTACACTTCATGGCATGAGGCACCTACTTGTCAGGTGGCTATTTTGATTTATGGAGACTTTGTATGTGGATTTAGTGTAACTTAACTGGGAGAACCAATTGCTGGTGTGTAGGAAAAAGAAGGAAATGTTAGTTACCAGTTGGGAGATCCTTGTATGGAAACTGAACACGTGAGACCAAATACAGGGGGATAAGGCAAAAGGCTGTAGTAAAGCCATGTGAGAGACAGTGAAGGCTTGAAATAGGGCAGCAGTAGTGGGGGTTGAGAGGAGGAAATAGTTAGGAGAGAAGCTTAGTGAAGTCATCAGAACCTGGACAAGGTATTTGAAGATTTCATGGTCTCTGGCTGAGGCAGTTGAGTACAGTGGTGTCTTTTTAGCTAATGGAGATCTAAGAAGGATGAGGTGTGGTTGGGGGAGTATTAAGAAGTCTCTAGGTGTGGTGAAACTGGAAGTTAAAGGGGTTCTGATTAATAGTCTTTTTAATTTTTGCATATATGTTTTATCTGGCCATTTTACTGGACTTCTTTCTGATGAGATTAATGCATTCAGTTTTGGATATGTTTGAGTATCTTCGTCTGCACTTGAGAATTAGAAACCTGGGCTGGGAATAATGCTTGGGAGCTACCCATGAATAGAAGTGGTTAAAGGCCTGCATTTGAACAAGATCACTTAGGAGGAGTGTGAGTCCTGAAATGAGAAGTGAAAAGACTGAAGAAGGGATCCTGGGAGAGGAGAATGAGCAACTGAAAAAAAAGCAGTACAGGAAAAAAAAAAAAAAAAAAAAAGGAAAAACCATGGTGTCCTGGAAGATAAGGGAAGGGAAGTTTTAAGGAGCCAAAGGCTGAGTGTTAAATGGTGGGAGAAAAATTAAGGTCAAAGTGAAAAAATTTCCTTTGTATTTGATGTTTGGGAAATTGGGGAGATCATCAAAAGTAGTTTCAGGACATAGAAGAGAAGTAGAAATATATTAGGTTGGCTGAGAATAGCCAAGACAATCTTGGATAAGAAAAATAAATATTTTCAATAAATGACCCTGGGTCAATTGGATAACCAAGTAAACATTAATTCTGGATTCTCTGTACACCAATTTAAAAAATCAATTACAGATATATAGTAGGGAAAACGACAAGGCTTTTTGAAGACAATGGCGCATCATATTTTCATGATCTTGGTGTAGGCAGATATTTCTTAAAGAGAGCACAAAAATGACTAAATTTAAATAAGAGAAATACATTCAATTACATTAAAATCAAAAGCCTCTCTTTATCAAAGGATATTCTTAACAGAGTGAAAAGGCAAGCCATAGAGTAAAAGAAAATATTAATCATACTCATGTCCAATAAAGAACTCAGCTCTAGTATATATACGTCATTAAGAAAAACACAGAGAGCTCAATAAAAAATGTAAGCAAATACCTTGTGAAGACAAGACACCCTACAAAAGGGGATAGCCAAATAGCTCAGTATACATGAATAGGTGCTTAACATTAATTAGTCATCAAGGGATTGCGTATTAAAGCCATAATGAGTATTTATCACTATACATACACTAAAATGGCTAAAATTAAAAACACTAAAAATACCAAGTATTGGCAATGATGTGGAGGAAATGAAATTCTCTTACCCTTCTGGTGTAAGTGTTTTTTTTGTTGTTGTTGTTTTGAGACAGAGTTTTGCTCTGTCGCCTAGGCTGCAGTGCAGTGGCGCAATCTCGGCTCACTGCAACATTCACCTCCTGGGTTTAAGCGATTCTCATGCCACAGCCTGGCTAATTTTTGTATTTTTAGTAGAAACAGGATTTCATCATGCTGGCCAGGCTGGTCTTGAACTCCTGGTCTCAAGTGATCCACCCACCTCAGCCTCCCAAAATGCTGGGGTTATAGGTGTGAGCCTCTGCACCCTGCCAGAAGTGTACTTAATACAACAATTTTGGAAAACTGCTTGCAGTATATCCTAAAGTTGAACGGTGAAAGAAGTAAGGTTGAATGTGGATACAAATAAGTTTGCAGCTGGGTGGGACTGGAAGTTAAAAGGGTTCTGATTAATGATCTTTTCATTTTTGCATATTAGTTTTGTCTGATCAATTTACTGGATTTTTTTTAATAACTCGAAAAGTTTTTCAGTTAACTCTTTTGGGTTTTCTGGATAAAGACTCATATTATCTACAGATAAGTAAAACCTAGTATTCTACTAGCCAGTATTTATACTCTTAATTCTTTTTCTTGCCTTACTGCATTGGCAAGGATGTGAAAATAATCTTGCACTGAAGCATTATTAATGAGTATTTTATGTGACACCTCATACCTGGAATCCCAGTACTTTGGGAGGCCAAGGTGGGGGGATAACGTGAGCCTCAGAATTAAAGACCAGCCTGGGCAATGTAGTGGGACCCTGTCTCTACAAAAAATTATTTAAAAAAATAAAAAATAATTTTAAAAATGAGCATTTTATTTTTTTCTTGACTTGAGCGGGAAAGCTTAATTAATTTCCTTTATTTTATCCCCTGATGCCCATCATTTTTATATTTCTCTGGGGTACCAATGAAAAGTTTACATTTTTTAAAAAAGAGCTTTCTTTTTCCTCCTGCTGAATTTGTGGCTTCCTTAATTTTGTGGGCTTTGTTGCCAATCTTTCCCTTTTTAACTTTCAGAAAATTCTTCTGGTTGTGGAGTGCTAGTTGGCTCCTCTCTTGATTTTCCAACAGTGCTATGGATTTGTTTTTAAGTTTGTTGTGTGTGTGTGTGATTTTAGTGATTATGGAAGAGAGGCAATGTTGTGTGTTTAGTCTGTTAATGTTTATTGAGCACTTAGTACATGCTAGCTCCTTTTCTATAAGCTCTATACCCATCAAATCATTAACTGAACTTATGAGAAAGGTGTCATTATCACATTCTTTTGTAGATGAGGTAACCAAGGCCCAAGACAGGCTAATTAACTCACCCAAGGTAATGAAGCTACTACATGATAGAGATAGGATTCAAACCCAGGAAGACTGGCCAAGAAGAGTACATGATTTTACCCACTACACATACCTCCTTTCTGATCACAATGCCTAGTCTAGGTGCACTTTGAGGAAGGCTGGGGTAGAGGACTTGAAGCATGTTAAATGTTTGGAATAACTGTTATAACAGGAGAAAGAGAAAGCTCTTTGGGGATAAGGGAAGAGATTGCCATCCCACTGAGAATGCAGGTGAGGCTGGAGAGCAGGTGTTAGTTGTTTAACTTAGCCTTCCAATTCAGAGACCTCAAGGCTGATCATATTTCTAGAAGGCGGGTGAGGCACAGTCTCCCTAGCTGCTCTCTACTTTGCAGTCCCTTAAAATAGACCTACAGATCTTGCTTTGAGAGTTCTATTTTTGTTTTGTTTTTATTCCCAATATTTAAGAAAGGGCAAGGAAAAGAGAGTTGGAGGTTTGTTTTGTTTTAATAACAAACTTGTGAGGATTAAAAAGATTCTGGAACCTTACAGCATTCTTATAGAAAATTCTTCTGTTTCTGACTCTTTTCCTCTTTTAGTAGCTGGAAGCCCTGATTGCTCTCTGTTTTTAGTTCTTATTTAATTCCTAAGGGTAGAACTTATGAAAACTTCTCTCTCTCTCAGTCTGCTGGCTTCCTTAAGCTAGCAATTTAAAAATGTCAGGAGCATAATTTTTTCTTCCAGGCAAAATTAAAATTTTTCTTTTCTTTTAGAGACAGGGTCTCACTCTATCACTCAGGCTGGAGTGCAGTGGCACACTCAGCTCACTGCAGCCTCTAGCTCCTGGGCTCAATCAATCCTCTCATCTCAGCCTCCTGAGAAGCTGGGACTACCACACTTGGCTAATTAAAAAAAATTTTTTTAGAGACAAGGTCTCACTGTGTCACCCAGACTGGAGTGCAGTGGTGCCGTCATAGCTCACCGTAACCTCAAACACCTGGGCTAAAGTGATCCTCCCACCTCAGCCTCCTGAGTAGCTAGGACTGCAGGCATGCACCAGCATGTCTAGCTAATTTTTTTTCATACTTAAACCTTTTCCTAATTATTACAAAGTCAATCAAAGAGAATACTGAGGCTATTTTCACAAAAATTGGAAATCATGATTGTGGCTGACAATGGCAGTCTTATGCAAATCTCAATGTCCAATTTATTTCTATAATCTTTCTTGGATACACAATATCAAGAAAATCCTGATTCAAACAGATAAATAGCTTACCCTACAATCTCAAGATTCTCTTCAATCATACTGATCTCAAATCATTGAAGAGGATTTGCAGAATTTTTTTGTTTCAAAGTTATATTGCCACAATATCTAACAACTAGCTTACTTCCTTATAAATACAAAAGTCAGTCAATAAACATCTCATGCTTACTATAAATGCCAAGCTTATCAATTTTATGTCACTAACACAAAGAAATGTGTTCTGATTTTCCTTGTCATTGCATGTTTATTATAGCTCAATACAGGCTGAATAAATGTGCCTGAACTTCATTTGTGGCTATATACAAGTGCCTAGAGAAGAGCCTACCATCTTGTAGGCATAAAATAAATGTAAAATAAATGAATGAATGGACAAACCAACCTTGCCTGGTATCTCATTAAGTATTAAATTATATCTACATTTTTATTTTTACTTTTTGATTCTTACTTATGCACTTTTTGAATTTTAAAAAGATCAGTGCAGAGCTCTACACGTCATAATCAATGACTCATTTCCAAGACTTTCAAATATATCCACAGATCTGGCAGTAGAAGCTTTTCTCCAAGGTCTGCCTGAAAACCGTTAACAAGGCAGTATTGGTTGTCTTCAACATATCAAATTTAGCATAAAGCACATTTCAGATTGTGTTGATTCTTATTATAGTTTTGAAAATTACATGAGAAATTTGAATCAAAACATTTGTGGAACCCAAAGCATGCCATGGAACTCAGGGTACTCTTGAGTTCCAAGGAGGACAACTGGAAACCCCACCCAAAGTTTATGCAGGCCACTTCTTTCACAGAGGTCTTGTCTCCAGCAGGCATCTCTGAAAGACATAATGGGCAGTCACTAGTGACTATTCATGCACCCTCCCTGGTTTGACAAAGTTGCCCATAGCTCACTAAAACCACAATTTTCATGATTAATTTTTTTCTTTACCTCTGTCTAGTGCACTGGGTACTAAGAACTTTACATGCATGTTCTCACTTAGTTCTTTAAAAAAAACCCTGTTCAGCAGATATTATCATTGTTTCCATTCCTATTCTACAGTTGAAGGAGTTGAGATAGAGAAGTCACAAAGATGGGGCATGGCAGAGCGGAGATTTTCCTTGTGCTGACTAACTCCAAAGCCTGCCCACATTGGCAGATGATGAGGGCTTCCTGAAACCAGCTTGTTGGGCTTAACAGTAAAAAAATGCAGCCTGAGATTCACTTTTATATTTATTTCTTTATTTTGACTTTGACAATAATAAAGACAAGAATATACTTAAGCATATTGGTTCAAATGATATTAGTAAATTCAGGATTGTGTTTTCCAGTTCCAGACAATCAGATCTCAACCTTGATCACAACTGCCAGCATGTCAAACTCAAATGCCAGTTTTAATAAAATATGATTTAAACATTCTTTAAAGGTATCTTATGTACTTTAAGAACGGATTAGTATTGCAGATTTTATTTAATGCAGATATATTAAATGCACTATTGTGGGAGAATAGATGTGATGACTGTTCTTCCAACAATTTTATTCAATGTACATGATATGGAAACTTTTGTTCACAGAGTAGTTTGACATAATTTAGACTTCAACTGACACAGGACAAACAGGAGCATGAAATCCCAATCCTATTATATCACTTAATGATAAGATGACATCAGTATATGATTTCATTATTTTTAAGGTTATGTTTAAAACAACAACTCAAAATTAAAAGAAAATTATGCAGTGAACTTGGAGACCACTGAGAATATATCCAAGGGTAGCCCCACACCACAGGTCGTGAGTTCTGCTTTGAGAGATTCATATGACAGTATTTTCTCATCTCCCCGCTTTCCAGGGTGGACTGATTCCAGCTCCGTGGAGAGAGAAAACAAAATAGTACTATAATAAAACACTGCGTCTTAGCCTCTCTTATTGGGAGGGCAGTCCCATCAGTCAGCCACATTGAGGTTCACCCTCAGATAAGGAAGGAGGAGAGTGATGTGTGAGTCACAAATGAGCTGGGAGGTGAGGGCTGGTGGCGTGGAGGGGCTCCATGGAGCCATCTGCTACCTGCAGTGGCAAGGGAGGCCATTTCCTCTGCGGCTGCACAGGTGAAGTGGGTGTCTTCACTCACCACACCCAATTTAGAACATGATGAATCCCTCATCACTCAACTTATTAACATTTGCCGAGCTAGTTTCATGTCTGCCTCTACTCTCTGGCCATATTTTGACATAATTAAAACATCAAAACCATTATCTCAACTAACAAAATAGTAATAATTTTATAATATAATCTAGTGCTCAGACCATGTTTGAAGAGGCAGTGGAGAAGCACCTGAACTTTATTATATTAGTTTTTTTTAATTGCCATTTTTCTGAACTGAGCTGAAAGTGGTGCTTCCATTTGATCACCCTGGGAGGCTCTAATGAATGTGCATTCAGCACCACACACTCCCCTGTGGCATCTCTGATTAAAGTTTGCTGTTTATATTGCCCTTGGCCCAGTGGCTTACACCTGAGCAGTACCTTGGGCTTCCTTGCCTTTAATTGAGAAGTATTACCTTGGAGGCCCTTTAAGTAGAGCTGAGCCAGAATGCAGGGAAAAGCACAGCAGTTCCCTGCGTACCTCCTCCAAACCCTCACAGCCTCCCACTTGCTGCTGACCCCTGCTTCAGGACTCCACTTCCGAGGCCTGGCCCAGGCTCTTTTCTGGCTTTTGTCCTCTCTCACCTTGCTCAATCTCAGCTCTGACAGGTCCCCTCAATTTCAGGTCCTCTTGCCTCTGGTGAATAAATACTACTGCTGCTGCGTAGTGGTTTCCTAAGGCACCTCTTCTATATCTTTGGTCTTTCTCTCCCTCTGATGATTTTCTTTCTCCCCTCTTTCCATCAAACCAATACAGCTCCAAGAAGCCTATCTACTATTTCCACTTCCCATCCTGAGGCTGGGTTGGGTCTCTCTATCCCGTGTTCTGTAATACCATCTTGTGTGACCATCATCTTCTTAGACATCTGCCCCTCCCACTCAGCTTTGAGCTTCATTTCATCCTCCACAGTCAGCACAGTGCTTGACATGAAGTAGCAGGTCCTCAGTAAGTGTTTGAATGAATGAATGAATGAATGAATGAATTCAGTCGCAGCCCAGGAGGCCCCACCTTCCTGGCCATATCTCTTGAACCAGGGGAGGAGAATCCAACCCTGCTCTGGTCTGTTTGATCATCTCCTCTCCATAAAACACTGGGGCCCATCACCACGCTTACTTTCAATAGGACATTTCCAGGATCTATTTGTCTTCACTCTCCCATAACTAAATACATTGGAATGAGCATGATGTTGATGATAATGATGATGAGAATGACTAACAAAATAACAATCCCCTCCATTCATATATGATTTCATATTTTAGATAGTGTTAATGTGAATTGTCTTATTTAATGCTACAGGCTTATTTGATGCCTATTTAAGTAGTTTGGTAGTTATCAATTATCCTGTCTTCACAGAGGAAGAATTGTCTGAGGTCCTGGGAGGGTAAAGTAAGTGGTGGTAAGTAGTGGTTCATACTAAAAACTATGTTTTGTAACTTGTTATTTTGTTTTGTTTGTTTGTTTGTTTTCCTATGAAATCACACACCAAGTTGTCATACTGGGGATATGCTCTTTACTCTCTGTCACCCATTGTGAATTACTTATTTGGATCATTTCTATAAGAGTGATTCCCAACTTTTTCAAAAAAATAATTTTTTCCTGCTTTAAAAATTTTGTAATAGCAACTTTGGCACAAAATGAAGAAGTAGAGAGAAAAATGTGATGAATCCCTCATTACTCAGGCTGCTAACATTTGCCATGCTAGTTTCATGTCTGCCTCTACCCCCCGGCCATATTTTGACATAATTAAAACATCAAAACCATCATCCCAACTAACAAAATAGTAATAATTTTATAATATATTCTAGTGCTCAGACCATGTTTAAATTTTCCCAGTTGCCTCAACAATGTCCTTTCCTTGTTTGTTTGAGGATCCAATCAAGATCCACACACTGCAATTGGCTGATGTGTCACTTTAAACCTGTAACATCCTTCTTTTTTTTTTTTTTTTTTTTTTTTTTTGAGACAGAGTCTCGCTTTGTTGCCCACGATGGAGTGCAGTGGCGTGTTCTCGGCTCACTGCAACCTCCACCTCCCAGTTCAAGCCATTCTCCTGCCTCAGCCTCACGAGTAGCTGGGACTACAGGCATGTACCAACACGCCCAGCTAATTTTTTGTATTTTTAGTAGAGACAGGGTTTCACTGTGTTAGCCAGGATCGTCTCAATCTCCTGACCTCGTAATCTGCTCACCTCGGCCTCCCAAAGTGCTGGGATTACAGGTGTGAGCCACCGCACCTGGCTTAACATTCTCTTTTTAAATGCCACTTATTTGTTGAGGAAATAGGCTCATTTCTCTAGTAGAATTTCCCACATTCTGGATTTGGCTGACTGCATCTTTCTGGTATCATTTGATATGTTTTTCAACCCACGTTTTTCAGAAACACTTTTCCAACATCAGTACTTTTGCAATTTTCTTCTCCCCATGCCTGGCCCAGAATTTACACACATTAATGGCTGCTTGTGTGTCTGTGTGTGTGTCTATGAAAAAGTTCAGAATTACAAAAAGCCACTGTCAATTTAATAATGCTATAATCTAAAATAGAATATTATTAACCACAATAGTATTATGTCTATTTTAAAAACAGCAGTGCAAAAACATATATATTTCTTTTTATTTTAAGTTTAGGGGTACATGTGCAGGTTTTTCATATAGGAAAACTTGTGTCATGGAGGTTTGTTGTACAGATTATTTTGCCACCCAGGTATTAAGTCTAGTGCCCATTAGTTATTTTTCCTGATCCTCTCCCTCCACCCTCTGATAAACTCCAGTGTGTGGTGTTCCTTTCTATGTGTTCATGTGTTCTCATCATTTAGCTCCCAATTATAAGTGAGAATATGTGGTGTTTGGTTTTCTGATCCTGCATTAGTTGGCTAAGGATAATGGCCTCCAGCTCCATTTACATTCCTGCAAAGGACATGATCTCACTCTTTTTTATGGCTGCATAGTATTCCACGGTGTTGTATACCACATTTTCTTTATTCAGGCTATTATTGATGAGCATTTAGGTTAATTCCATGTCTTTGCTATTGTAAATAGTGCAACAATGAACATATGCATGCATGTATCTTTATAATAGAATGATTTATATTCCTTTGGGTATACCCAGTAATGGGATTGCTAGGTCGAATGGTATTTCTGTTTTTAGGTCTTTGAGGAATCACCACACTGTCTTCCACAATGGTTGAACTAATTTACACTCCCACCAACAGTGTATAAGCATTTTCTTTTCTCCACAATCTTGCCAGCATCTGTTATTTTTTGACTTTTTAATAATAGCTATTCTGACTGGTGTGAGATGGTATCTCCTTGTGGTTTTGGTTTGCATTTCTGCAGTGATCAGTGATGTTGAGCTTTTTATCATATTTTTGTTGGCTGCATGTATGTCTTCTTTTGAAAAGTGTCTGTTCATGTCCTTTGCCCACTTTTCAATGGGGTTATTTGGTTTTTTTTCTTGTAAATTTGTTTAAGTCCCTTATAGATGCTGGATATTAGACCTTTGTCAGATGCATAGTTTTGAAAAATGTTCTCCAATTCTGTAGGTTGCTGTTCATTTTGTTGATAGTTTCCTTTCCTGTGAAGAAGCCCTTTAGTTTAATTAGATCCCATTAGTCAATTTTTGCTTTTGTTGCAACTGCTTTTGGTATTTTTGGCATGAAATCTTTGCCTATTCTTATGTCCAGAATGGTATTTCCTATGTGGTCTTCCAGGGTTTTTATAGTTTTGGGTTTTACATTTAAGTCTTTAATCCATCTTGAGTTAATTTTTGTATATGGTGTAAGAAAGGGGTCCAGTTTCAATCTTCTGCATATGGGTAGCCAGTTACCCCAGCACCATTTATTGAATATCCTTTCCCCATTGCTTTTTTTGTCAGGTTTGTCAAACATCAGATAGTTGTAGGTAGGTGTGTGGCCTCATTTCTGCGCTCTCTATTCTGTTCCATTGGTCTATGTGTCTGCTTTTGTACCAGTACCATCCTGTTTTGGTTACTGTAGCCCTGTAGTATAGTATGAAATTGGGTAGTGTGATGCCTCTAGTTTTATTCTTTTTGCTTAGAATTGCCATGGCTATTTGGGCTTGCTTTTTATTTTTATTTTATTTATTTGTTTTTGTTCCCCATGAATTTTAAAATAGTTTTTTTTCTAGTTCCATGAAGAATGGCAATGGTAGTTTAATATGAATAGCATTGAATCTATAAATTGCTTTGGGTAGTATGGCTATTTAAATGATATCAATTCTTCCTGTCCATGAGCATGGAATGTTTTTCCATTTGTTTGTGTCATCTCTGATTTCTTTAAGCAGGAAAGACATATGTATTTCTTATTCAGCCTTCAAACAATGTCCATGCTACGGACAAAGCCGGGGTCCCTGGGGTCACTTAATGCCTCTTTTCCCAACCCTCTTGCGTGGCCAGTAGCCTTAGGACAGGTTGGTAACCACTATCATAAAATGACAATTAGTGATAATATGCTGCTCCTCTTAGAGGTGTTTATATTTAACAGGAGGAAAATGCTTCAAACCATAAGAGGGTCTTTGGTTGGGGTCAATTTCTGGGGAATTCCTAACTGTTCTTCCTCTATGATGAATTTAAGCAGTGGTGTACTGGAACCTGTTGGCATGGGCTCATGGGACCCTACTGTTAAATTTTCACAATACTGCATATCAGTAGCTTGAATAAATCATTATAGGAGTATTTATAGTAGGGAAATTAGTAAATGCAATAAGTAAGCCCCATACCCATACTCCAGAGTGCCAGTTTTAAAATATTTGTTAACATACTACTGGATTTATGCATTAAATATGGGAATTATATGAAGACAGTCTAAGGCATATTCTTCCCTGTCTGTCCTTATAGAATTCTTTTCAGCCTCAAAATAAAATAAGACAAAATGTGTTATTGTTGGCCTGAGAGAGACCAAGAAAATGGAACTTCCCTTTACAAACCTTTCTTCATCCCTTACTCTGCCAAATCTATCAGAAAAGCCCTAACCTAGAAACTATTTCTGTTTTCACTGCTTCACAAAAAGGTTCTAGTTTTCCCAACCAGGAAACCATAGGTAAGTGTGTTTGGTCTGCCAGATGGGGTCAGTTCATAGTAAGTGAAGGACTCTCAGCTTGTGGCCTAGTAGGAGTTGTGTCAAGGGGGAGAAGGCCAGGCTCTATCTCTGGGGTGAGAGATGGACCTGGCTTGGGCTTGATCCTTTGCCATGGCTTTCAGCTTGAGTTGTCTTGTTTGTGAGATGGGGATAATGATAGCTATCTCATGGTGTTGCATATACCTAATTACATAATGCATACAGAGTGCCTTCCATCAGTGCTCAATAATTGACAGGAATTGGTTTTAGTAATTCTTTCTAAGGACAAGAGTTTCAGATATTTCACCCCATGACCTAGGGTTCATCTTCAGGTTGCCACTTGCTAGTTCCTTACCTGGAAATATTCCTAAATAAACCACTCAGACTAAGGTAAAAGTCATGAGGAGGCCATTCCAGCGGAGCTTCCAAACAGGTGTGTCTGAAGTATTGATTTCCTTGGGGTATGAGACAGCCAGAGCCCTAGGCCTGTTGTCTCTGGCTCCAAATGCCTCCCAGTAAGCCCAGTGCGCTGTGTCAATATTGGTCATTTGATTTATGGACCTTTTCTGAAAAAGTTGGGGGATGGGGCACTGAGGAAAACCCATGCTTGAGAAGGGGTTGCTGGTGTCCTGAGAATTTGTTGCTCTGGATTTTCCTGGAGGACAGGATAGAGTGTCTGGCATATGGGGCACTGATGGGATTCACGCCTTCCTGATTCAGCCAAGCTGTTGTTCTTGTGTATGAAGAGGGAGGCTTATGGATCTCTTGCCATTTTTCTCATAGAAAGGTGAGGATGCAGGTTGAAAGGTTTTATTGGAAGAATGTTGCAGGAATGTAGAGGGCTATCTGTTTGTTAGTATCCACATTGGCCCAAGGCAATAATACAAGGAGTTATTTTCTGAACTTTTCAATTGAGGGATGGGTAAGGCTCACTGCTTAGTTGGTGAGAGCTGCGCTGATCTGTTGGAACACAGTAAGGATCGGTCTGCTGCTGTTCGCCCTGTACCTTATTTATCCGTGGTACCAAGAAACTGTCTTTTGGATTCACCATGAGGAATTTTGAAAGAGTCACAGGAGCAGTTCCGTGGTGCTGAAAGATACAATTTGAAGTGGGAATAAGAGAGTGGGTAGATGGCAAGAGGTGCAATGGGCTTCAGTAGCACAAGAGGTAGAATGATCAATATGAGGCTGGTCTAAAGATTACAACTGTTAGAGGGAACTCTATGAAGAGAAATTTCATATCCTCCCTGAATTTAGCACCACTAATCGGAGGAAAGCCTGAGGATATTTTACCGTGGCTTTAGGAACTATTTATTTATTTGGTGTGTGTGTGCACGCATTGTGCTGCCTTTTGAAACGCCTACCAGAGAAAATGTACGTTCTAGAAATGGGCTTTTGAAAAGACTTGTTTTTGCAAAACAGCTTGGGACGAAGGTCATTCTATAAAGGAGTTCTGGCTTTTCTTTTTTAATGGAAATTAGCAATTTATCTTAAGAAAGTTATTGAAAAGCCAGTTCATTTATTTGCATAATGATAAAATGTGCCAGAATTTCTCTGCTCTGCTATTATTAACGAATGGAGACACACAAAATCTCAGTAAAAAGACATAAAAGGCACCCAAGTGTTCTTTGGATCTCTTTATGAACCAGTCAGCTTCACCAAATGAAACTGGCACTTCTGTAAAAACATATTTCTGTAAAAATCTCATGTAATCAATAAATGCCTGTTTAAATGCATACTAGGCAATGTGCTACTTCCTTCTTCTTGTGTGGCATCTGCTTATTATGTTATCTTAACACCCAGAAACACACTCCTCCCTTCCCCCAATACTCACATTAAACTGCTTCATAAACAGAACAACATTGTCACAGGAAATGGAAGCAGTTCCTAAAAACTTATTGACTATGGGAGTTGAGGAAAGGGAGAAGTCTGGGACTAGTCCTCATTTCTGGCCTTAGAGACAGAAAGGTCATTTTAATTGAGATGGGAGAAACACCCTAAACTCAATTGCCTTTTAAAGTTAAACCCCTTCAACACAGGGCAAAATCTCCATGATTGCCTTTAAGATCTTATATCAGACTGAGCTAAAAGAATTTGTTAAGTATTTTCTAAAGCTCAGATACAATAGAAAGAACTGACCTTCAATTATAACGCTAAGTCTCAGGTGAGCTTCCCTGATTGGCAACACTTCACGCTGTGTTGTCACTCATTGTTGCTGGGAGAATTAAACTGGCCCTCCTGTGGTTCTTCTGGGAGAGGACAGCTGGAAGCTTGTGCCTGGTTTCTCTTGGACTTCATCCCGTGAACGTTTTCCTTTTACTGATTTTTAATCTGTAACCTTTTGCTGTAATAAACTGGAAGAGTGAATATAACTGGTTTTCTCAGTCCTGTGAGTTTTTCTAGTTACCTGTTGAGCCTCAAGGTGGTCTTGGGGACCCCTGACACAAAACCTCAGATGGACCCCTGACACAAAAACTTTGGATGGAGGACGGGCGCGGTGGCTCATGCCTGTAATCCCAGCACTTTAGGAGGCCGAGGCGGGCGGATCACGAGGTCAGGAGACCAAGACCATCCTGGCTAAGAAGGTGAAACCCCGTCTCTACTAAAAATACAGAAAATTAGCCGGGCGTGGTAGCGGGCGCCTGTAGTTCCAGCTACTCGGGAGGCTGAGGCAGGAGAATGGCATGAACCTGGGAGGTGGAGCTTGCAGTGAGCCGAGATCGCGCCACTGCACTCTCCAGCCTGGGCGACAGACCGAGACTCCGTCTCAAAAAAAAAAAAAAAAAAAAAAAAAAAAACCACTTTGGATGGAAAAGGCATATTGTAATAAACTTGAGAGTTTCCTGAAGGACTCTGAATTACATAGGAACACAAAGAAGGTTACAATAGCTCTAGATAGTGAACAAGTTATTTTGGAGTATATCCCCAAAGTTTATCATGAGAAAATAGATTGGACTCTAATTTGGTCCTGTAAGCAAAGAAAGAGTGAATCCATTGGAGACTGCAGAGATAGTCTTTAAAACCTTTAGACTGCATTCAGGAGTAGATCCTGATACAGATGTAACTTTGGCTTCCTCCTCATCTTTGTGAATGATCTTGAGCCAGAAATAGGAAATCTGATATGTAAGCAAAGACTGAAAAGGGAAAGAGCTCCATAGCCATATCTCCAACGCCTTGCCGAACATTTTCAAGGAGCCTTAGGACAAAAGCAGAATGAAGCTAATGCCTTAAAGATAAAACAACTCAATACTTCCTCTCTAGTCAATAAAATCAGGTAAAGGAGCCTCTTATTTTAGATGTCCATAGATATTATAAGCAAAAAGGACATGGGACAAACAATTGTCCTCTGCTAGCTAAGAAACTGAAGGAAAAAATAATAAGCACATAAGTCCTAAGCTTCAGGTTCCCTTTGAACATCTCCGAAAGAATTTCATATTATCCTTCACAATGGTTTTGAATATGACCATTGTTTGAATCTTCTCAGGAGGAACCGATGCTTTTCCTTGCCAAAGAATTATGGCTCTGAAGGCAGGGAAAAAAATTGCCTGATTTTGCATTCCCATTCTGGGAAATTCTAATTTATTTCTCTAGTGAAAGGGACACTCATTTACTGGGACTGTCATTAAAGAGCTTTGTGAAGCCTTTTTACCTGCCCAGAGACTTTACTATCCGTATTACCCCCAATCTTTGGAAAATTAAAAAAAAAATGGAACTCTGAACTAAGATTAGCAGAACTCTTAGAGACCTCTTGAACTTCCCTGGACTAAGTTATTGCTACTGGTTTTAACGACAATAAGATCAAACCCTGGGGTTCCTCAGTGCTCCTTTATACGTTAGCTAAAAGCTGATTCCTGTGTCTAGAAATACCACTTCTGATCTCAGACTCTGCTCTTTTTCAAGAAAACATGGCCAAATACTGCAAGAGACTCATGTATTGCACCCAATTTTAGCATCAACAGGTATGGGCGGCCTCCCTCAACATCCTCCTAAACAATCCTTTTATGATCTAAACCCTGGGAACATGGTTTTCTGAAAGAGACATCAGAGAAAGACAGACTTCAAACACCAATGAAAATAACCTTAGATACTGTTAAGAAATAAAGAACACAGCAGTAAAACGCCAAGGGGTTGATCCTTGGATTTTTGCCTCTGACATAAAGAGACGCAAGCCACCCTCAGATCACTGTCCCTGCTGGAGACCTTAGCTGAGGATTCTGATAATCTTCAGAAAGGAGGAGATAGCTCCTACCCAATACCTGGATCAAGTAGACAACTGAGTAATTTGGTTCCGCAAACTTCCACCCAAGACCCACAAAACAAAATCCAGATTTTCAGAGCCATAGATTGTCATGCTTTATTTTATATATCTTGTCCTGTATTTTATTAGCTAGTTTTTTTTTTCTCTCTGCTAGTTTAAAAATCTTCTAGCAAACACTTGTCGACCCTTAACTGCAGTATCTGTAAGGACCCTCTTCTTATTACTGGTCTTTGCATCTCTAGTCACTCCTTGGCAAAAGTCCAATATCTTGCTATGGATTGCTCACAATTTGGCTAAAATACACAATAACAATGGGTTGGCTTTATACTTAAGTTTTTTGTCAGCATCCAGCTCTCTTCAATAACAGCCATGAATCAGTTGGTTTTCTCAACCACTTGGTGAGTTTTTAGATGGCAAACACCAAAAAAGGCCTAAAAGCTGAAAATATAAAATTTGCTATTGTGTCATACCTAGAATGGAAGTTTTCTATTTCCACCTAAAAACACCTGGGGAACTTCTATAGGAACTAGTCTTTCTAACTAAGTGTTCCCATAGATAGAACTTGGAAAGCAACTCTGAAACATCTGGGCCATGGGACTATGAACATCTGGGAGGTGCCTCACTTTGATAGACCTCATCACTACCTAGACCAGCTTTATGCACTTTTGCTCTAAATCTGCCTAGTGATCTCTGTTCTACAAATCTCACTGGCTAGTGCCAAACCACTTCTGTTAAGGAGTGCCAAAACCAGATAATACTACTTGACAACTTTGTAGAGATTTTGTCTGACTCCTGATCATTGGGACATTCCCAATCACTGGAATTGGATTTGTGTTCCAAAAACCTACAAGTCACAAACCAGTCAGGGATTTGTTATCTTAAAAAATGGATTCCTGCTATCAAATAGTCTTTGATATCACCCAGAATTTGCATTGGCCCATTCATTTCTCCTCTCAGAAGAAGAGATTTTAGATAACTAAGAAAACTGGGCCTTCATTTGATACCCCAAATCTTGATTTTTTTTTTTTTTTTTTTTTTGAGACAGAGTCTCACTCTATCGCCCAGGCTGGAGTGCAGTGGTGCGATCTCAGCTCACTGCAAGCTCCTCCTCCCAGGTTCACGCCATTCTCCTGCCTCAGCCTCCCGAGTAGCTGGGACTACAGGCGCCTGCCACCGCGCCTGGCTAATTTTCTGTATTTTTAGTAGAGACGGGGTTTCACCGTTTTAGCCGGGATGGTCTCGATCTCCTGACCTCGTGATCCACCCGCCTCGGCCTCCCAAAGTGCTGGGATTACAGGTGTGAGCCACCGCACCTGGCCTGATACCCCAAATCTTGATTATTAAGGAGAATTCAGAACTACTTTCTTCCTCTTCAAGCCTCTTTATTTCATGGCTGAAATAAAAACCTGAAAGTCTGAAAATCTGAGTTTGTAATGCCTTAGTCATTGACAGAATTATACAATGCTACTAAGTCTACAGAACTGACTAGGGAAGTTTATAAGATTGGGCAGATGGTGATTCAAAATAGTGCAGACCTAGAGATGTAATGTAGGCCTTTCAAGGTGGAACATGTATTTTCTTAGGCAGAGAATGCTGTACTTGAATTTTAATTTTTTAAAATTGTGATAGAGTCTCACTTTGTGGTTCAGGCTGGTCTCAAACTCCTGGGCTCAAAGGATCCCCTGCCTCCAAAAGTGCTACAGGTGTGAGCCACTGCACCTGGCCTGTACTTAGATTTCTGCAGATCTGGGAAACCAATGAAGATATCAGGAAATTACGTAATTTAACTAACACCTTCCTATATGGTTCTGCAGGCTGTTCTCACTGGGATGAGATTTTTTTTTTTTCTCTAGGACATACTAGGCTCATAGCTTAGAAAAGGACTACAGACTCTAACCGTATTCCCTCTCTCAGTATTTGCCTTACTGCAGTGCTCACATGCTAGTGTGCAGTTGTCATTTGATCAAGAGCCAACAAATCATGAGTGGGCAATAAGAACAGTGCATCTGTTTTCTATTACGGCCATAATAAATTACCACCAGTTAGTGGTTTAAAAACACAACTTTATTATGGCACAGTTGTGTAGGTCAGAAGTCTGGGTTGGTTTGACTGCTTCTCCTGTCTGATTTTCTTTTCTTTCTTTTTTTTCCAAATTTTATTTTATTTTTTTGTGTGTGTGTCAAGGTCTTGCTCTGTCACCCAGGCTAGAGTGCAGTGGCTCAATCTCAGCTCACTGCAACCTCTGCCTGCTAGGCTCAAGAAATCCTCCCACCTCATGCTTCTGAGTAGCTGGGACTACAGGCACACACCATCATACCTTACTAAATTTTTATATTTTTTGTAGAAACAGGATTTTGCCATGTTGCCCAGGCTGGTCATGAACTCCTGAGCTCAAGCAATCTACCACATTGGCCTCCCAAAGTGTTGGGATTACAGGCGTGAGCCACCACACCCAGCCTCCTGTCTGATTTTTCAAAGGGCACAATCCAGGTGTTGGCAACTGGGTTCTTACTGAGAAGCTATGAGAAGACTGCTTTCAAGCACATTCAGGTCATTTGCAAAATATAGTTCTTGGCAGCTATAAAACAGAGGTTCCTGTTTCCTTGCTGTCATCTGGGGAGCACTCTTAGCTCCCAAGGGCCTCTCTTTGATTCTTGAACATGGGCCCCTACATCTCAGAGCCAGCAAAGGCACATCACGTCCTTCTCACATTTGGAGTCTTTCTGACTTCTCATTTTGCTTAATTTCTTCTGCTTCTAGCTGAAGAAAGCCCTCAGCTTTCTAGGCCTCTTGTGGTTAGATTAGGCCACCAGATAATCCAGAATAATCTCCCTATTTTAAGGTCTGTCACCTTAATTATACTTGCAAAGTTCTCTTTGTCACTGAATGTAACATATTCACAGATTCCAGCAATTAGGATATGGGCATTTTTGAAGGGCCATTATTTTGTCTTCCACAAACAGGAAAACCTGACATTTATAGAGGTAGAAACAACTACAGTTAGAAACTGATACATGATCATGACACCTCAAACATCAGTGCAGATGTGGATTAATTGCAACCCAGAAGGTAATGATTTATTCTCTAGCTCAGGCTGGAGACTGGCCACAAGTGGGGACTGAGAATTGAGACAGCTGTGGACAATGTAATCTTACTGTTTGCCAACCAATTTATTCAGACAAACAGTTTTCTTATATGGACAAATAGCTCCCTTATCAGAAAGACAATTTGCTTGCCTAAAGAAATAACTTGCGTATTAAACAAGAGTTGGCATATCAAGACCCTTTCTTTGCTGTGTCCACTAAACTTTACTATGTCAGGAACTTTGTCCAATTCCAACTAGGTCCTTACCTTAAAAAATCCACCTAAAACTATTTGAGTCCCGGGTCAAAACACTAAAAATAGCCTTCCTTACTGTCCTCTTTTTGAAGCAGCACTAAGACTCTGACAAGACGGTGTTTCCCTTTGCTGCAGTGAGTTTAATGAACTCTGTTTTGCTCCTTGGGCATGTCTATCTGATGGGCTCTGTGGGATGGTTGACACCTCCCTGTAGGCAGCCCATCTCTCCCTGATTCCTGAGAAGCAGGGGTGGGGTGGGGAAAGAGGACACAGCAGAGACTCCTGCACGGTCCAGCAGTATCAATAGGTTTCACATGTGTCATTGATGAGCTAGAGCACCCGAAGGGCTGTGTCTGCATCATCGTTAAAGCTCTGTCATCATATGACAACTCTGCGCAACACTCTCAGAATCCATCTTATCAGCACCATACCACACACTCTAGCCCAGGGCCTCCTTGTGTTGCCCGAGAATGGTGTTGCATAGCTGTGTCTTTCAGGCATGGGGGCGCTGCTCAAGCTGCCTTTCCTGCAAAGCTGGAGGAGTCTAAGAGAAAAGAATGAGAGAAAAGTCCTACCTTTGACCCTTTAATCCAGGACTGCACCCAATTGCAAAGGATTGGAAGGGGGTTTGTTCATTGGGTTACAAAAATTAGAAAGTTAGAGATCCCTAGTGATTGCCAACCTCACTTCTGCAGGGAAATATATGCAGGAGGTCAGGGAGTGAGGCAGAGTTTTAGAACAGGGCTTGAGAACTTCCTAGAATTCTGCATTAAGGGGAAGGTGATGACTGATGGAACGCAGAACGTGTCCTCACCTCTGAGGACAGGGCTCCAGGATCCTTTGGGAAGGGTGCTCTCTCTCTCTCTCACTAACGTTCAGATGTTGTGGAAAAGAAAGAAATGGAAAAAGAAAATGGCAAAGTTGTAATGGAGGAAAAGAAGAGCAGCATGTTCAGGTCTTGGGAGCAGGGAAGATGGATGTCGGGGGAAGGAGTTTGGCGATGGTTAGGACTTGACTTCTGTTGGTAGACTAGTGACTACTCCTTGGAAAAGAGGAAACTTTTATTTCTCTAGTGGCTCATCACTGAGGAAACCAATTCCTGTCAGCCTTCAATAGACGGAGATTTTGGTCCCTGGTTCCAGGGGTCACAGGCAGCTTCCCCGCTGGACTGGGCCTGAGGCAGGTGCCACATGGTGCCTATTCTTAGGGCCTGTCCTGAGCGGGGAGGATTGCTGACATGGCACCCAAGTCACAGCTGTTGTGGAGACAGCCTCTGCCATATCGCTGGCCCTGCCCACCCTCTTTGTTACTCCTTGATTCCAAAATAAATAGACCAGCAAAAAAGAAGGAAAAGGACAGCGAGGACTGAGGTGTTCACTGATCCTGAAGCTTCAGGGCTGCTATGGGCTGAATTCCCTCCAAAAAATACAGGTTTAAGTTCTGACCCTCTGTACCTCAGAAGGTGAATGTATTTTCAGACAGGGTCTTTAAAGAAATAATGAAGTTAAAATGAGGTCATTAGCATGGACCCTAATTCAGTATGACTGATGTTCTCATAAGAAGAGGAAAATTTGAATACAAGTACACACAGTGGGACAACCGTGTGAAGACACAGGGAGGACACGGCCATCTGCAAACCCAGGAGAGGCCTCAGGAGAAACCAACCCTGATGATACTCTCATCTCACACTTCCAGCCTCCGGAACTGTGAGAAATACATTTCTGCTGTCTCGGCCCTCCACTCTGCGGCACTATGTTATGGCGGTCCTCACAAACTAATACAAGTGCTGTATGTGCCTGAGGCTGTGGCTTTGGGAGAATTGAGGGGTTATCACACTGTCAATTATTACTCTATTTGGAGCCTTTTCTTCTACAATTGTGACTTTTCCTCTCCACTGACTCCTGCTACTTCCTTTTTCTTATTTGTCTCCTATCCTCTTTTTATCATTAATGTTTCTACTTTCAGATTTGAGTATACAACAAGTTCTGACTGAGATGCAGACAACTGATATATTCTCTATGAGTCTGAGTAAATGCAAAAGCAGAAAAAAAAGAGAGAGAGAAAGAGAAGGAAAGGAAGAAGAAAGGGAAAAGGCCAGATATCATGAAAATTAAACTGAAAACAACATGAAACTCCCTTTTGCTTGTTATCATGAGTCTGCCGCCTTGAATGGGGGGTAAGAGGCTAGGGATAATAAATATTCAGAATGGAGAAAGGGCAGCATTTCCGCAGCATTTCCTAAGTGTTAAAGGACAATTTTGCTGGAAGAAATCTTAAACCTATCAGATTGGACTTTCTTGCATCTGAGCTGAACTGTTATAAGGATTCCTATCTGGAGGTTGACCACATTTTCCTTTCTCATGCCCAGCTTGCTTAGAGAAGCATTGTTTGTACTTTGGAGTTTGGTGTTTGTAGGTGCCAAGCGAGGCTGGCTCTAGAGATGCTCCAGCCAATCACAGCAGGGTTGACCCTCTATCCCTGCCCCACCTCCCTTTTTTCTGTTCTCTTCCTCCATCGTTGATGTGCTCATGGTGTATCAGAGAGAGCTACAGAAAGGGATCAGAGGACTTGGTTCACCCAAGGGCAAGGGTCCCATTTTGCTATTTCTGCACCAGATGGGAGCAGGACAAACAAGATGGAGAGTTCAGGGGTGGCTGAGGGTTCCTTAAGTTGACTCTTTGATGGAAACCAGCCACACCGCATTTGAGAACCACCCTCCTGCAGTCAAATCTGACCAGAAATGACCAAATTGGAACCATTTCCAACCAAGACAGGGCAGACAGCTGAAGAATGCTGATTTGAGATCACACTTCACTTCCTCCAAGTCTACTCAATGTCACTTCTCTAGCTCACATTGGCTACATCACATGAAAGATCAACATTCTTCACATCTAGGAACTCTCTATGCTCCCAATAGGCCTTAATGTTTCTTCTTAGCAGTTGATATCACCTGACATTTTATGTGAGGTTATTTGTGTGAGGACCAGGTGATTCCTTCCCCAGAAGCTAAGTTCCGTGAGGGCAGAATCTTTGTTTTGTGTACTGTGACATCCCTACTATGTGCTTGGGACATAGTAGTTCTAAATAGTTCCTGAACAAATGAACTAACAAAACTGGAACTTTTTAGGTTATTATTTTGTTCAGCCAACCCGATGATCAGATAACCTGAAGATGTATGAAGCCTTGAAAACCCACATTTTGGGACTCAATTTCCTCACTACCCAATCTTTACATTTTTATACATGTGAAATCGGGTGAATTTAATTGTAACAATAATATGTGCATATTTGTTATAAAAATTCAAGGTTTTCTGTCGGTATAGAACGTTATTAACTCTAGTCCTCATGGTGAAGATCTCTAGATTTTTTCATGCTACGTAACTATCACTTTGTATCCTTTGATCTCTCCCTCCCCATTTCTCCCATCCCACCTCTGCCCACCACTGTTCTACTCCTTATTTCTATGTCTGTCATTGTGTTTTGTTTTGTTTTATTATATTTAAGATTTCATAAGCAAGTGAAATTTTGAGCAGTATTTTTCTTTCTGTATCTGACTTATTTCATTTAGCATAATGTCCTATAGTTTCAACCATGCTGTTGCAAATGGCAGGGTCTCCTTTTTAAGGCTAAACAATATCCTATTGCAGATATAACACAATTTCTCTATCCATTCATTAGTTAATGGACATTTAGACTGTTTCCATGTTTTGGCCACCATGAATAATGCTACAAAGAACGTGGGAGTGCAGACATTATTATGAAGTGGTGATTTCATTTCCTTTGGGTAGATATCCAGAAGAGGGATTGCTGGGTCATATGGCAGTTCTACTTTTAATTTCTTTAGGAACCTCCATACTGTTTTCCACAATGGCTGCACCAATCTGCATTCCTACCAACAGTGTAGAAGGACTCCCCTTTCTCCACATCCTCACAAACACTTGTTACCTCTTGTTTTGTTTTTATTTGTTTGTTTGTATTGTTTTGTTTTTGATAGTAGCCACTCTAGTAGTTGTGAGGTGATATCTCACTGTGGTTTTGATTTGCATTTCCCTGATGATTCGTGACTTTGAGCACGTTTTCATATATCTGTTGGACATTTTTATGTTTTCTTTAGAGAAATGTCTATTCAGGTTCTTTGCTCATTTCTTAATCAAGTTGTTTGTTTATTTGTTTTGCTATTGAATTGTTTGCATTTCTTATATATTTGGATATTAACCACTCATCTAATATATGAGTTGCAAATATTTTCTTCCAATCCATTGGCTGGTTTTTAATTTGTTGATTGTTTCCTTTGCTGCCAAAAAGGCTTTTAGTTTATAGTCTCACTTGTTTATTTTTGCTTTTGCCCGTGCTTTTGGTGAGATATCAAAAATATATTTGCCTAGGCATACATCAAGGAACTTTTCCCCTATGATTTTTATTAAAAGTTTTACAGTTTTAGGTGTTTCCGTTTCGTATCTTTAACCCATTTTGAGTTGATTTTTGTGTATGCTGTAAGACAGGGTCCAGTTTTATTTTTTTGCATGTGGATATCCAGTTTCCTTAACATCAGTTATTTAAGAGACTATTCTTGAGACCATTCTTTGCTCATTGTGTCTTTTTTTTTTTTTTTTTTTTTTGAGACGGAATCTTGCTCTGTTGCCAGGCTGGAGTGCAGTGGCATGATCTTGGCTCACTGTAACCTCCACTTCCCGGGTTCAAGCGATTCTCCTGCATCAGCCTCCCAAGTAGCTGGGATTACGGGTGCGTGGCACTATGCCCAGATAATTTTTGTATTTTTAGTAGAGACAGGTTTCACCATGTTGGCCAGGATGGTCTCGATCTCTTGACCTCATGATCTGCCCATCTTGGCCTCCTAAAGTGCTAGCATTACAGGCATGAGCCACCATGCCCAGCCCATTGTGTCTTCTTGGTAGCCTTGTTGAAAATTAGCTTACCATGTATGCTTAAGTTTATTTCTGGGCTCTCTATTCTGTTTCATTGGTCTATGTGTCTGTTTATGTGCCAGTACCATGCTATTTTAATTAATATAGCTTCGTAATATAATTCGAAATCAGAAGGTATAATGTCTCCAACTTTGTTTTTCTTTCTCAAGAGTGTTTTGGCTACATTTTCAAGATTCTTTTGGGTCTTTTGTGGTTCCATACAAATTTTAAAATTGTTTTTTCTATTTCTGTGAAAAAATGCCATTGAAATTTTGATAGGGATTGCAGTGAAAATGTATATTAATTTGGGAAGTGTGAACATTTTAACCACATTAATTCTTCCAATCTGTGAACTTGGGAGATCTTCCCATTTATTTGTGTCTTCAATTTCTTTCATCAATGTTTTAAACTTTTCAGTATGTGGATTTCTCACTTCCTTGGTTAAATTTATTCCCAAGTATTTTATTCTTTTTGATGATACCACAAATGGGATTGTTTTCTTGATTTATTTTTCAGACAGATGGTTATTGGTGTAAAAAAAAGATTTTTAAAAAATATTAGTGGATCTACCTTCTTTTTCACTGGCTGTTCCTTGCATCTTAGCTGTAGCTTTCCCAACCCACAGAGGGAATTTACCAAGTCATAGGACTAACAAAAGGCAGCATCAAGATTGGACCCCCTCCTTCTGTTTCCTGCTTCAGTCAGTGCTCTTGCTATCATGTGTTAGGATCCCTGCAGTGTGGAGGCCAGAAGATGCTGTAACTCCTTTTCTGCCCCAGTCTTTACATTCTGGTGAGTCTTGGGATCTGGGAAAAGCATCACTTATTTTTGCAAAATATTTTTGAGCTTGTGCTCCAGACATAGCTATTTTAAAACTGATTTTTTATCCTTAAAATGTGGGAAATAATTCCTACCACACAGGGTTTTAAGAATAAAACAAGATAATATAAGTGGAAGTATCCTGTAAGCTCCAAATAACTTATCTGACATTTTAATCATTGTAAGATATTCAGAAACCCAATAGGATGGAGAGTATGAGTAAGTGTCTTAGAAGTGGGTGAACAATAAATTCAGAGGGAGTTCTGAGAAACAAAGTATAAGTAGAACCCAAACAGGAGAACAGGCAAATGTCAGTTTTCCTTCCCTCATTTTAGGGCATAGGTAGAGAAGAGATCGTGGAACTTGGGACTTGAGCCAAGCTTGGAAAGCTGGGTAGAACTTAGAGAGGCAGAGAGGAGGAAAGGAGACATTCCTGGGCATGGACTAGCATGAGCCCCACATGGAGACTGTCAGGAGCAGGGTGTGTTTGGGGAAAGCCCTGGGGCATAGACTGGCCGGGTCAGATAGGTGCACTTGGAGAGCAAGAGATCAGTGAGGAGAAATATGTTGGGGCCGGACTCTGAAAGGCTCTGTGTATCAGGTAAGGAGTTTAGTCCATAAGTGATTGGTAACAGAGAGCCCTTAAAGTTTGGGGGTACAAGAGTGACACTAACAAAGTGATATGTAAGCAATCTGGAAGTGCAGCTTAAGGTGGAATTGAAAGAGACAGAGGTTAAATTTTAAGATCCCACTTGTACAGTCTAGGAGCGAAGCAATGAAGGTTCAGATGACCTTAGCTGAACAAATTGGAGTGGAAAGGGAAGGAAGAACAGACAGGACAAAGAAGGAACAGGAGGACTTAGAAAATGGCTCAATTTGTTAGCCAAGGAGAGCCAGGAAGAATGAGAGGGAAATAAAGCCAAAACGATTAAAGATTTCAAATCTGAGTAAGTGAATAATGATGCCATTTATAGAAACAGAGAAACCACTAGGTAGCACTGATTTTGGAGGTCAAGTAATAAAATCCCAAACTAGGCATTTTGAGTTTTAATTTACTGTTGGAACATCCAAGTGGAAGGGTCCCCTAGGCAACTGGAGGAGTGCTAGGAGAAAGATCAACCCTGAAAATAGAGAGTTGGGCAGCTTTCACATGAAAGGCAATGATGTGAAAGTCTGAATACCCTCTCCTGACCCCTTCAGAATCTAGCCTGGAAGTTGCACCCCTATGAGGAGTCCAGTAGGGAAGAGCCAGCCTTTCAGGTGGTCATTCAGGCTTCTAGCCAAAGGTTTTTGTGTGAACAAGCATTTGCCCAAAATGTCAAGGTTGCTGGGTCAGGGTGGGGAGGTGGGGAGGGATCTTAACTTGGGACAGGGGAAGGAAGAACATCAGAATCAATTGAGATGGGGGCTTTTAAAACCATACATATGCCCTCAAGATTTGAATATGCCCTTCTTTCTATGAATCCTTCCCATGGTGAGCTACTGTTTCTGAACCAAGAGGGTGTGTCTGGTGTTTTGGGGCAAGATAAGATTGGCAGCCGCCGGAGGCCTGAAGTGTGAACAGTGAGTGATGGGAAGGGAAAAAGAAGAGAATCAAAGGACGTGGAGAAGGAACTATTTAGAGAAGGGCTTCAGGACATAGAAGAAAACCCAGACTGGTATGGAGGCTAAGGGAAGGGGAAATTTCACAAGGGATGATGTGGCTAAAAGTGTTGATGTTGCAAAGAAAATAAGAATGAGGCTCTGTCTTGATGTGAAAAAAGGAAAACCTTTGGATTGTCTACCCCACTGTGGTTATGCAACCACCTACAAAATTCACTTTTTGGGGAATGAGGAACATTATAAATAATTTATTTTAAGAATCGGTTATGCAGGCGTCAGTTTTAAAGAGGATTAATGCATTTCACTGAAAAGTGTTGAATTTAATGACAATGTGTAGCTGTGTCCTCAATGAGCAGAAAAAAAATCAATGGGACAAAAATGAACTATTTTCCATTCATTGATTCTGTTGCCCTTCATAGCTGCATCTGCTCACTCAGTCCCTTTTTACATGGTTTGGGCTTCTCATAGGGAGTCCTGCCAACTCTGAGGGAACTTCTGAGACACCAAGGGCCACAGCGTCTCCTCAGAGAGGGCTCTAACCAGTTCCCCAGGTAAATGGGTACGTTACACACAGGCTGCCTGTCTACATTTCTGAGGAGAAAGAGGCACCCCCAATGGACCACTGGCTCCAATGCCATCCCTGACCCTGCTGCTTGTCTGCCCTGTCTCATCATCTCTCCCTAAAGCCCCATCTCCAGTCACCCCTAGCTGTGCATGTTTCCTCTTCCAGGCGCAGTGTAGCCTTGGGCCACGGCAGGTCTCTGCTCCCTGCTTTCAAGTGTGTCCTCTCTGCAATATTTGACACTCCTTTCCTCTCTTGTGTGCTGATTCCCTCACACATGACTCTCAGTGGCTGTTTTAATATTTTTTCCTTTTTCTTAAGCCCCTGTTCTATTATATTGCTGGGGTCTTGGCCTCCCATTTTCCTGAGAAAATTAAGACCATGTTGTGACCTTATTTACCTTCCTTCCTCTTCATCTACACATCTTCTCTCCACGTTTCAGAGGGCAAGAAAACTCTGGCATCTTATTTGCAAAAATTGCCTCAGTCTTTTCTTTCCTCTCACAATGTAACTTTGTGGCTTCTCCAATCACAAGGTAGACACTCCCTTACTCCCCTTGAATCTGGACTGGACTTCTGACTTGCTTTGAACAGAAACATCAGCAGAGATGATGGTGCACCTGTTCCAAGCCCAAGTCTTAAGAGCTCTTTATGGGCATCTGCTCTTCCTCAGAGCCCCTTCACAGCATGAGAACAAGCCCAGGCTAGCCTGCTGGAAGATGGGAGACAACAGAGAGGAGAGCTGAGGCCCCAGCAGGGCCATCTCAGGCCAGCCAAGCCCCCAGCCAACTCAGCAGCTGACCACAGATGCATGAAAAAATCTAGATGACCTTAGTCAAGCCTGGTCCAAAAAACAGAACTGCTCAATTTACATATATACTTGTGTTAAAAATTAAAGGTACTTGTTGTGGCTAATTTTACGTGCCAGTTTGGCTAGGCCACAATTCCCAAGTATTTGATCAAACCCATCTGGATGTTGCTGTGAAATTATTTTTAATTAACATTTAATTTATTAGACTGAGTAAATTTCACTCCATAATGTGAGTAAGCCTCATCCAATCAGATGAAGGCCTTAAGAAAAAGACTGACCTCAGGCTGAGAGCAGTGGTTCATGCCTGTAATTCCAACAGTTTGGGAGGCTGAGGCAGGAGGATCATTTGAGCCCAGGAGTTCAAGACCAGCCTGGGCAATATAGTGAGACCTTGTCTCTACAAAAAATAAAAAAATTAGCTAAGCATGGTGACACATGCCTGTAGTCCCATCTACATGGGAGGCTGAGGTGGAAAGATTGCTTGAGTGCAGGAGTTCAACACCAGCCTGGTCAATATAGTGAGACCTCATCTCTATAAAAAAATTTAAAAATTAGCTGAGCATGGTGGTATGCACCTGTAGTCCTTGTACTTAAGGGGCTGAGGTGGGAGGATTTCTTGAGTTCAGAAGGTTGAGGCTGCAGTGAGCTGAGCTCACACCACTGCACTCTAGCCTGGGCAACAGAGGGAAACCCTGTCTCAAAAAATAATAATAATAATTTTAAAAATAAAAGAAAGAAAAGACTGACTTTCCTAAGGGAGAGAGATTCTGCCTGCAGTTTGACTTTGGACTCAAGCAGCAATACCAACTCCTCACTGGGTCTCCAGCCTGCTGTCCTACCCTGCATATTTTGAACTTGCCAGCTTCTACAATTGCATGAGCCAATTTCTTAAAATAAATCTCTCTCTCTTTCTCCACACACATACATAGTCTTCTGGTTCTGTTTCTCTGAATAACCTTGACTAACACAGTAATGTTTTAAACCATTGAGTTTTGGGGTGATTTGTTATGCAGTAACAGATAACTGATACAGAGACTCTTTCTTTCTGGGGCTAATTTGTCTTTAGTCAACTTCTCTGTTTCTAAAAGCCTTTTCCCCACTGGCTGCCTCCTCTGCACATGCTCTAGGGGAGATGATCCCACCCTTTTACAACTTTGCATTGCTTCATTTCTTTTTGTTATTACTGAATGTGGTGAAGTAGTGGGGGTTTCTTCTGCCAGATTCTCTCCCTGACATCTATCCATCTGAGTGCTTTCCTGAAGATGTTTCTCAAAAAAGGCCCCCAAAGGCCATTGATCAGGCCACTTTCTCCCCAGAGGATCTACCAAGGTCTCTTTTGGAGTCAGGGTTTGAGGGCCTCTCTGTGGCTGTTGACACTGTCTGTGACCCTCATGTGGCCCCACAGCACCGCCTTCTCCTCTCTCTCATCCTTCTTCCCTAGCTGTGCCTTGTTCTCTGCTCATGCCATTCCCTCCACTTCTGTAATTGCAGACATCTCCAACTTTCTATCACATACTTTCTCCTGCAATTTAATTTACTTTAGGAAAATGACTCACAAACACAATCTTAAGCCCTGGCCTTAAATCCCGTCCTGTATTTTTCATGACCTAACTAGACACTTTCACTTGGCCATCTGTCTGTCGCCTCAGACTCAGCACTTCTGAAGATGATCTTGTCTTCTTTAGAACTATGCCCCCTTCATGATTTCTACCACTTTCATATTTTATCTAGCAGCCAAACTTAATGTCTTTGTTTTGTTTCCTTCTCTAGGCCTTGTATCTCAACCTTGTTGAGGGAGGCTCACATAGTCTTATTTGTTCTGCCATCAGCACAACCACCTATCTCATTCAGGTATTCATGACTTCTTGTCTTATGATCACAGATGCCAACCAGCACCTCTGCCTACATTCAGTCTTTTCACCAGCAACTCACCCTGACCTCTGCCCACATTATCCTCCTGGAACATCTCTCATCATGTCAGCACTCCAAACTTTTCATAGCTCCTATTTGTCCTTCTCCACCTGATTTCCCAAGGACACCACCTTAGAGAGCTATTTAGAGGTAGGCTATTGGGGTCCACCTACCTGGGGGAACAGGAAGATACCAGCTGCTCCAACCCCTCCTTTATTCAGGATCAAGTACTAAAGCTTTCTTCCTGTTGAGCTATCCCCAGAAGCGGTATCTGCTATGAGGGCCTCTGTGGTGGTCTCTGAGCTACAGACCATGCTCCTTCCTGGTGTCTTCCTCTGATAATGAGGTTTCAACCCAGGGGCCCCCATATGCCCCACTTTATCTGGACCCTTGCCTAATGTCTGCCTTTATGTCTCTAATCTGCCTGGCGAGTATCCCAGCCCTTGAGATCAGGATCAGATTTCCTCCAGCTGCTACTGCAAGCTCCATGGAACTGCAGTGCCTACATCACAATTTCCCTTCTTTCCCAGCATATGCGAGTTCTCTGAATGCCTGCCTGTGAAGACTGGGGTCATTTCATGGATGGTCAACTGTCCCATGGTATCAGCTGCCTCTCTTCTGTCTCATGTTGACCCAGATGGGAATCTTACCTATTTTCTTTGATTTGTGATCTGTGAGTGTAAAGCTGATGTTGATGTTGATTTGGAATGGGGGTGTAGTTGATACTACAACAATCCTACAACTTCCAACTTAACATTAGATATTTCTGTTCTGAAAAGCTCATTGACCACCTGCCCCTGAGGCTACTTCAGAGGTTTCTTTGACTCTATGTTGTGCTCATCTCTCCCCTCACTCTAGGATGGGCTCCTGGACCTTGACCTCTTCCTGCTCCATTTAGGCAGAGCCAGATAGAAGGTGCTAGGGAAGGAGGTCTCCCACCTTGGTTTATCCATATCCATCAGATGCTCAGCAGAACTGAGAGCTTTTATTTAATCAGACACATCCTCCTTAAAAAACTGTAGTGGTAAATATCCCCCCATCGCCCTCCTCATTGTACAGAAGCTCTCTCCTATGTTTGGGGTATCTTCTGCTTCTTCCGGTCTCTTCCCTACTACCCTCATTCCTGATTACTCCAGCCTGGCTGCCACTAGGGCTCCGAGAGTTCTCTCTTGCTGGGATTCCCTGCTGCTGCCAACTGTGAGAACACTGCAGAAGTTCAAAACTGTGTACACCTGGGACCTTGGCCTCCTTAACCTGTCCCTGCTCTTGGGCCCTGTACCTTTCTGAAGTGAGCTTGCTGGGACAGGGGCATACATCCCTAGGCACAGTTCCCCTAGAATCATGTATTGCAGGCTGGTAGCAGCTTGGGTCTCTGCCTCTGACACCTAACAAACACACCTAACAGTGGCAGTGGGCTCAGAATGTTTCTCACCTCTGTGTCCCTGGAAGTGATTTTCCCTAAAAGACCCAGTGACCAGGGCCCTTTGTGGGTCCTTGGAACTTAGTGTACTGACCTCTTTCAGAGTGTTCCCATGACATAAGCTATGTGTTTGTCTTGGATTCAAAACAATAATTTACTTGAATGTGTTCATTCAGAGGAATAACATCACCTTTTCGAAGGCAAGCAGCAATTTGACCATTCATTGAGGATATTATAATATCCTCAGTGGCAGAGTATGAGCCAATGGGGTCTGCAGTATTTTCCTTGTCTAAAGTGACTCCAGATCCTTGGCCATAAAATGAACATTTCCAAGCAGCTTAAATTTAGGCAACTAGTGGTGGCTTTGCAAAGTAGATGCTCAGCAAACTGGAAAAACCAGAGAACAAGCTGCAAGTCTAATCTACAAGTTGCAGGCAGATAGTGGCCTTAGCATGTAGCTGGGAGTCAGTGAGGGGGGCTCTGAGCCCTTCCTTCCTCTTCCTTAGTTCACCAGTGCTGGTGGGGACCCCAAACAAATCAAATGTCATTATACACAGCCACGCTCTCCACACCATGAAAAGGATGCAGGTCTTTCCTCTTCTAGACCCTCTTGTATAGCTCCATATTTTGTGGCTTGTCTTACCTTTTAGAATCCTTGATGCTTTTCATGGATCTAAGAAAATATTGTCAGTGGAGTAGGAGGAGACACATACATGGATTTTTCTGTCTCTTCAAAGACAGCCCCTTGGACAATGAAGTAGAGACATGGTCTCTGAAATCAGGGACCTTGCTATCTAGTTGAGATGATGAGACTAACGCAGCTGACACATCCCTCTATTTGAGTTGTTCATTCAATAAAATAACAACACCAGGCACTTGGGCACACAAAGTTGAATGGGAAAGGGGCTCTGCCCTCAGGAGTTCAGATATAAATGGGGGCACAGGTGTGCAAGGAGATCTTTACCATTTAATATGGTAAGTGTGATGAATGCGTCAACTGTACCTGGGTTGGAGTTGGTAGGAAGTTGTCATAGGAGCAGTGAATTTTGGTTTAATTTTTAAGGATAAAATGAGTTTTGCTAGCAGAGAAGATGGTTCTACCAGGAGAAATAACATGTGCAAAATTGTGGAAGCACGTAAAACACTCGTACTTACTATGAGCAAAGAGAAAGGACCCTGTGAAAAGGAACCAAGTCAGGTTTGTATTTTAGAAAGAAAATTAAGAAAAAGGTAGAGAGCATGTGTTGGTGGGGGTGGGGTGAGATTGAGGTTAGATATCATGACAGAGGCTACTACAATCATCTGAGCAAGAGGCGATGAAGGAGACAAGGGGAAAAATGAGAAAGATGTCCATGAAATTGAGCCCACGGGGCTTGTTGGATCCCTGGATGTTTTGGTGAGAGAGAGGTTGAAGGTCTGGCTTTCCAGCTTGGATGACTGGCTGGCCTGAGCAAAGGCTTAGAGGACAGGGACAATATGCATGTGGTGCATTGGGAGCATGTCAGGAATGGAGAAAGACCTTCCATATGGCTGGAGCACATGGTGGAGGGGGAAGTGGCTGGAAGTGAGGCTGGAGAGAGAAGTGGGAGGCCCATCTTGGAGGGTTTTATGTGCTCAACTAAGAAATGTGGCATTCATTCTGCAGGCTTTCAAGTGCCTCTGAAGGGATTTAAGGAGAAAAATGTGAATGGATTTGTGTTTCTGAATTATCACTGAGTTTATGGTGAACAGTGGATGGGACTACCCAGGCAGGGGTGTAGTTTGAAGAAGAAAGCAGAGACTGGATTTTGTGAAATGGCCTCATCTAAGGTGTAACATGGGAGGCTTAGGGGAGAGAAATAATGAGAAAGTGATTGAAATACTGAAGAGGATGGTTCTGAAAAGGAGAGAGGAATATGGGCTGCAGTGGGCAGCCAAGACGCTGTGAGTAGAAAGGAATTGCAGCATGGGGGGATCTATATGAAATACGCACTAGAAGTGGCGAGAGGGCTGGGATAAGGCAATATGGTCTCAGTAATTTGTAAACTTAGTAATTTGGTCTATTTCCCTGTGAAAGAGAATACATAAAACCTTAGAATCAGCCATGCAGGTGGGTTGCCTTGCCTGTAAGATGATGGGAGTGGCTTAGCCACAGTTGTACCCTGTGGAGCACTGGCTGGGAAGAACTTTGAGTCTTCCCCAACAAGCTTATGTGGCTCTTTTGCAGAGGTCCTTCCCAGCCATCAACTCCAGCACAGACAGAATAGCTGGACTGACTTCTCTTCCTGGGAGGACTTTGGACTATTGCAAAAAACACCAATGGTGAGACCCAGGAAATTCAAGCTTCCATTAAACAGACAGATGACTGAGACATGGGGCATTGAGGACTATGGGAATGGCTGGGCCCCTTTTCTTCAAGCTGATGCTGCTCCTGGGCTCTGTGTGCTCTGGCCTCATTTGCCCCTGTTGTCTTTGTGGCCTAACTCCCAGTTGGCCAGTGGTTCACTGCAGTTCCTCCAGCTTCACTGAGCAGCAGACAATGATGTCATGGGCACTGCTTATTTTTAATGGTTCCTTAAAATTCTAGTCCCATCCCAGCACTTACACAGCTATTTCTGCTGAGTGCTTAATCAGTAGGTCCAAAATGTGAGCTGGGGCCATGCACAAAGGAGCCATCCTGCCTGTTGGCTTTTATGTGGGATGTGGCCGTCTGTGTGTCCCATGCCAGCCCAGCCTGGTACCTGCCTCCCTTTACCTTGATAGCAATTCAACATGGCAAATATGTACCAAGAACCTGCTATGTGCCATAGGCTGGTGCTAAAAATGTGCAACCTTTGCCTGTCTTTTAAGAAATTAGAGCCAGGGCTGGAATGAAGCACAGCTGTTAGAAGCACTGACTGTCAGGCTATGTCCCTCAGATTGTCACAGCCTGAAATGCTCACAGAACGTGGTTTTGTGCCTGGGCATGACGTAGCTGAAAAAAAATGTGCACATATGTACACACTCACATACACACACACACTGCCTACAACACATATTACACACTTTTTTGTTTTAACCTAAAGTAGTGAATAGAACTGGAAAGAAAATCCTATTACTCCATGAATAAGGAAGGGAGCCACTACTGATATGATGCTAAATTGGTTTATCCCATGAGCTGGCTGTCACCTTCGAAAACAGATACTTTGGTTTTCGGAGGCAGAAAGATCAAGGTTTGTATCCCAGCTTTACCAATTAGCTGTGGGACATGGGGAGAGTTATGCAATCCTGTCAAGCCAATGTTCACTGAGGGATGACCTCTGTTATAAGCCCTATACATGAGTCACTACACTTAATCTCCACAACAACCAGTCAGGTAGATGCTACATTATTAGCTTCACTGGGTAGTGATGGGGTTCAAGGTGGTATTGCTGAGAGCACCAACACAACACCTGAAAACCTAGTCTGAACACTAGCTAGGATGGGACACAGGACAGGTGAACTTCGGTGGGAGATAGAGGATGAGCTGCAGGAGTGCTGAAGCCAGATCCTGGGGTAGGGGGATCAGCTCCAACCCTGCGAATGAGGCAGGAGAAGGAGGTTGTACTCAAAGGGTCTGTGAGGAGGCACTGGAGATATATTCTGCCTACTTCATATATCTTTCCAGCTTTTTGCCCTGCAGGATGGTGGCCTGGTGATGGCAGGGACAGAATAGCAGTCAGCATCCACACGTGCTTTGCCTCTGCAGCATGAAGCAGTGGTTGAGAGCAGGGATGTGGGGCCAGACTTCCTGGGTTTGTATCCCAGCTCTACCACTGACTGGATGAATTTGGGCAGGTTTGTTAACCTCTTTGTGGCTTGGTTTCTTCGTGGGTGAAATGGAGCTAGTAATATTCCAGCCTCATAGACTCATGATGTGGATTCCATGAAACAAAACATGTAAAGCTTTTAGCACAGAGCTGGGCACAGAGTGAGCACTGTTGTAAATATTTGTCAAAATATGCGAACCCAAGGGAGTGTGGCGTTATTTATTCAAACCCTTTTCTGTCTGAGCCTGTGTAGTTGCCTATCCTCATTTTAGGCTGTGTGTGGGATACAGATTAACTTAAAAACGCAAGTGCTTTCCTCAACAACTTAACAGTTTTCTTGGGGACAATTTATATTCAGGAAACTATTGAAGAGAAACAAGAATGTCATTCAGCATCTAAGCCAATTCCCCCATTGACATATTCAAGGGCTTTCCAACTCCATAAGCCCATTCCTGTTGGCATCTCCCAGAGAAGAAAGTTCAACAGGGTCCACTTACAGTTACAAGTGAAGAAATCTTGGGGTTAACCTCCAACTAATATCACCCGACCCAAATCTTCTCTTCAAGTAGATTTCTGAATGGAGATTTTCTTCTACCCATTGTTTTGATATTGACTTTTGCCAGTGGCTGTAAAAGGCATTTCTGTTCTAAAACACTCGCAGAGAAATACCCTAAGTTCCCTTCTCAACTTGCTTTCTTATTAGGACCACAGAGCAGGACTACCCCATGCTTGTAGTCTGTTAAAATCCTCCTCGTGCACCTGGTTGTTCACTTTCTTTTTTCCTGGGAATTAAAAGAAACAAGTGTTTGACAGCCTTGGGCATTTGCACATCTTGCTTTCTTGCCTCTCATTCCTCACTGCCCAGGGAGTTTACCTTTCATCAGGTTTATTTCTCATCAATTAATTATTTAAGCACTTGTTGAGCATCTATAATGTACCAGGTATTGTGCTAAAATATAGGAACACAGAGATGAATATGACAGTTCTTACTCATGCTCTCATGGGGAGGCAGACAAGACAACAGATACAGAAGAGGATGACATCCTCTAGTGGGGTGCTGTGGGAAACCTTGTGCAAGGAGGGACACCTCAATGAGACCAAGGGTTTAAGGAAGGCTCCCTGAAAGAGCTGATGCTTGTGTTTTATTTTAAAGGATAAGCAGCAGTTTGATAGCTGAGGAAAGAACTACTGGCAGCAGTGGTTACAAATAGGAAAGCTTGGAATGACAAGAGTACAGTATGGCTAGCCAAGAGTGTGTCATGGGAAGAAGAGAGGCTGAGGCTGGAGAGATGGACCAAGACCAGATCACAAAGCAGGAGACCTCCTGTGCCAAGAGAAGGTGTAAATTTTTTATCTGGAAAGTCAAGGGGAGACATTTGAAGACTTAAAGCCTGACATGAATGTGTCCTATCATTACTTTCTTTTAAAGCGTTGCTGTGGTTATCCAAATGCTTGGGAGTCTTAGTTTCGGCGACCACTGCCAACATTGTCATTCCATGAGGATCCTCAGATTCTCACACTAATAGACCCTGGCCCAGCTGTCATGGCAGCCCTATAGATGACCTAACACATCTGCATTTGCAGTAGATACATCTTGGTCCTCACTCTGGGAACCTCAACCTGCAGTGAAGATAAGCATACTATCTGCCTGGGACACACAAGATATCATCATCAGCATCATTGTCATCATCATTATAAAAGTCCTCATGAAACATTAACAGAGCACTAATATATGCTAGGCACTGTTCAGAGGGCATCACATATGTCTCTTATTCAGTCTTCACCAAATCCAGTAGGTAGTCTTATTGCTCCCAATTGCCAGTGAGGAAATACAAAAATCCATGCAGTTGTACACATATGATTGCTTCCTCACCCATGTACCTGATCTTTCACATTTGTGCAGGTCCTAGTCTACAACAATAGTAGTTCCAAAACAGCAGCATCACTTTCATTCCAGTTCTCATCACTGGAGACAGAGAAGGAGACAGCAGAAGTCAAACCAAACTAAAGTAATAAAAGATCTCAGGTTCTTCAGTGTCCTTAGTTGCAGGAAGAACATCCACTGCAGAAGGGAGCAATACCAACTATAACTACTGTTTGTTATGAGCCTACTCATAATAACCCTGGTTATCCCCATTTTCAGAGAAAGACAGCAAGACTCTATAGGATTACAGTAGTGGATCCAGGTACATGGGTGAGGAAGGTACCCAGGACCCAGGTACATGGGTGAGGAAGCAGGATTCAGACGTGCTCAGTCTAAAACCAGCCAGACCCTTGATCAGTGCATGGTACCTTCACTCAAAGGGGTCTGCCTGGGGCGGGCAGCACTGAAGAGAGCAGGGAGATGCTCGTGGGAGCATCATTTGTAGTGGTTTCTCTGGTGGTAACTGCCCCCTCCTTGCTCATGGTGTACTCCTCCCAGGAGTGTCTTTGGAGATTCAACCTCAGTTTTACAGATGAGCCATTCCTTTGTGCACTGCTGTCAGTAGGAAGTGAGGAAGAAAGGAACTTCTGTTCAGGGAGTGGCCTATGCAAATGAGTGGACCCCCAGCCTGCTGGGGTTCCGGCCCTGTGGGGTGGTGAAGGTCAGCTGCCTGCTGCCTGCTGCTCTCTCAACTGCCTTCTTTAGAGCACTGAGATTGTCATCCTTTCTTTCCTTTGTTGCATAGCCAGGCACTTTTTTTCTCATCTCAGAAAATAATCTTAGGACCTTTCCCTCCTCCTTTTCCATTCGTTCTGCTGAACACACGTTCCTAGGCACTTTCACAATTATTAGCTGATATTGTTGTTATTTATAGGTGGGACAACTGAGAGGTTACCTCTGCCCGCAAAGTTAGGTAGTGGCAGAGCTGGATGCAGGCTCAGTGGCTTGATGCCTTTGATGGAAGGGAGTACAAACCAGGAATTGGAGTGGGAGACAAAGGAAATTCTCACTCCTTCCACATTTCTTTATTTTCTGGATCACCTTTCTTCCTGCCTTCCTGGCCTTAGGAAAATTACCCTTTTTTCCCTTCTGCAAATGTACTACATTGTCTCGGTAAACTCTGCTCCTGGGAATGCACAAAGCAGCCCTTTCTCCTCTGTCTTATCTTAGGTGCTGCCGTCAGAAGGCACAAAATATTTTCAGTGGGTTTAGCCATGTTATTGTGCTCTGGCTCAGCACCCATCCTCTGGATAAGATGTAAAATTAATCCTAACTGTAGTTCTGTGTTAAGATTTTCCCCAGATACTATTCTCAAGGGCAAATGGGCATTCTGAACATTAGAACAATATTACTAGGTGCCTCCTCTGTTCCAGGAGCTGGGCTGGGACTTGGGGATACAGAAAGGAAGATACACTTTCCTCCCTCAAGGAATTTATAGACAGACACACAAACACTCATTTCCATTAACTGTGGCCAAAGCCTCTTCTTAGAGATATTGTATCAGACAGTCGTAGGCAGGGGTGGGCTGTGGAGGGTAACTGTAGACTGAATTTTTAACAGTCACTCTGGGTGATCTTTATGCTCACAGAAGTTTGAGAAGCACCGCTCAAATAACTAAGAAGGAATTGTCACTCAATTCTGATTATTTTTTATGTTAAGAATTACAAATATGTTCTTCATTTGAGATTATGAATGCTTACATTCCAAAATAATCACCAAGTATAAAGTAGTTCTAGTCATCACTTAATGTTTGCTATGTTCTGGGTGTGGAATGACATGCTATATTTTCCATCGCAGTTCATTCCACTGACAATTTCATGACATATATGTTACTACCCCACTTTATTGATGGCAGTTGATGAGGTTAGGCAGCTTGCTAGTAAGTGTTGCTGACTTAAGCCCCTCTGTAACCTGGACTGAGGCACGTGTCTTCCTAGAGTCCCCATGCTGCAACTCTAGGATAAGCCCATCTCTGTCCTAAGACCGTATGAAGGATAAGTCCACTAGGCTAACTCTTCCATGTGTGGCAGAGAAACAGTAGCTATGAGCAAGTCTGCCAAGGGCTTGGTGTGTGGCAGCAGCAGACTGCATAGTAAATGCTCCAGGAAACCACGGGGAGAAGGTCCAATGACCCTCAGCTTCTCACATTCCAACCCTGTTTGTTGTCTTCCTGTTTCTCTTTTTACTTTCCACCTTGTAATTAAGCAATCAGCCCTTCCTCAGTCTCTCAGAAATAAGCATTCACAGTCTCAACTGGCAAAAGTCACTTGATCTTTGGCTTTATGCCTTCTGGTCAGATTTTCACCCAGTGCACGTGCTAATCAGCAGGAGCCTGCTGCCCTGCCTGGCATGCTCCCATTGAAGCCAGGCCAAGTAACGTGCCCTCTGTCACAGCTGCCCCTCTTGGCCCAGTCAGGATGACTGGCCCCTGATGTTTCTCCCCAAGAGATCAGGCTTTGTAGATTTTGTCCAAATCTGCCCATGCCCATTGGGTTGTGGGGTGGGTGGTTGCCTCAGGGTTACACAGGACGAGAAAGCACTGTTAGCCCCTGACCAGTAAAATGAAGGCTGCTTGGGAGGAGTTCTGCAGATTGGGCTCTCAACCGGCATGTCCTTGCAGAACTTGGACTGTTGCCTGAGATAGTTTAAATGGCACCAGACAAAGCACTGGAGAATATGTGGTGCGAGTAAGGGCACTGCAGCCCCTGGGAGCAGACTTCATCAGAGGTGTCCACCCTTGACATTTCCATGGCGGCTGAACAAACAGTCTGCAAGCTCACAGCCTGGAGTTTCTTATCCACTTACTAAATAACTGCAAGGTAGATGGGTTTTTACTATATATACGAAAGGTTTATACTGCACAAATTTCATGGCAGCAAAAGCCATTTTTTCTTCTTGGTTCTTTCTCTCTTTTCTCTCTCCTCTCCCTTATCTCTACATTTCATCCTCCTCTTTGCCAAGGCGGTCAGCTTCCATCTCCGAGTTTTCTCTCCCTTCCTCTTCCTTTTAAATCATACTTTGACAGTCCTTCGGTCCTTGTATAATCTGGGCAGGAGCTCAATTTGATTTCCTTGTCATTCACATGAGAGGTGCACTATGATAAAAGAAAATTGTCAGAAACAACTAAGGTATCTTAGGACTCAACGCCTCACGATTCACTGCCTGGTCTTTCATAAGCTCCTTGAGGGCACAATTTATTCTTATTATTCTTTCTATCTTCTTCTTTTCCTACCCTGTCACTAGCATTTCATACATGTGCATTTAATTAACAAAAAGGTGAATACAGAAGCAAACCAGAGCTCTGGTTTTAAGTTATTTGGAACCAAAATTTGTCATCTCTAAAAGACATGATTGTATTGAGCCTCCAAGTAATTCACAGTGTCTTATTATGTCTGGGGCTTGCTGGCTGATGAGTGAATAAGACAGCAGTGGGAACATGATACCTTTCCTGTTCTGTGCAGGGCTCTGCTCCACAGCTTGCATGAGCAAATTCTATGGCCTGGTGACATCTTCTATTGGGGTCTCAGATCCATCTTTAGCAAGCCTCTCTTCCACACACCAGTCTGACCCTATCCCTGATGGCAGAGAAGGAGGAGAAAAAGGCAGTGGGGGAGGGCAAGGGGAAGGGTGGTGTAGGGCAGTGTGAAAGAGGCAGTGTCTCACAAAGTCATAGAGAAAAACCCAGAGAGCTCCACCCATTCAGTTAATATTTATTGAGCATCTACTATTTGCCAGGCATAGTAGTTGGTGCTAGAAAAACAATGGGGGCAAAAGAAATCATGGTGTTGTTGGCTGCACTAGAATGCATCTTCTAGTTTAGAGCAGAGTGCTTAATCTTTAATGTGCATAGAGATCACCTGGGAATCTGATTCATAGATCTGTGTGGGGCCTAAGATTCTGCATCTCCAACAAGCTCCTGGGTGGTGCTGGTGCTGTTGATCCATGGAGCAAGCATTGAGAAGTAACAAGAATCAGGAGGAGAAGATAAGTCTTCTTGGAGCTGCAAATCCAGGAGAGAAGAGGCAAACTCAAAGCATGTCAGCTACCACACTGAACAGGGGAGTGGTGTGGAAGAAAAGGAGGGGTAAGCATCTGAGGAATCAAGGAAGTGTTAGATGGAAATGGAGGGAAAAGGCAGAGGCTGATAGAGAAAGGAAAACAGAGAAAGGGACTGGGGGTAGGAGCAGGCCAAGAGGTGGAGTATAGGAATTCTGGAGATGCAGGCTCAAGGCCTGAAGCAGCTCTTGCCCCAGAAACAAGCTCACCGTAGCAGCCAGGCCAGGCCTAACAAGGCCAGTGGCTGGAGTCAGAGGAACCAGGAGGACAGGAAACAGCCCACTGAATTTAGAAGAAGGAGAAAGACACAAGAGCCATTCAACAATGCCTAGCTCACTGTGCCCTACTAAGAGCAGAAGAGGGCCAGACAGATAAGTGAGAAGTACCAATTATAGAGAGGAATGATGCATTCTTTCATTTTCAAGGAGATCCTGTAACTCAAAGTAGGTGAACCAAGGTCCCATTTAAGAGACTTCCTTAAATCAAGAGGTGAAAATTGTTTGTAGTCAGCCTGATCATATACAACTACTATGTAAATGGACCTTTCAAGATCATTCAAGGTAGTTGACAACAGCTATTCTTTACATAATTGAAACATTCTCCCTGGAGTGGAAAATCATGTGTTAGGGACGTCTGAACCACGTCTCCTGAGTTCCATCTCCCTCTCGGCCATCCCTGGCAGAGTAGGCATGGTTGAGCCAATAGCAGTTGCAGGGAATAAGTGGACCTGAGATTGGCCCTGTATGAATCTTCCCTCTAGAGCTGTCCCTTCCCCTTCTCTCTTGTCCTCTTGTCCTCCTGCCTTGGCATTCAGTGGGGACTGCTAGACAATAATAACACAGTGATGAGATGAAGGATCCTGTGCCTGGCTCCCAATAATTAGAGAAGTCTATGCAACCAAGCGCAGGGTCTGTGGCTTGGAGGCTTTGTCACCTAACTCTTACTGTGGAGAAGGCACATAGCTGAGATGGGGAAGGAGAGGTTCCATGTGTTTATGTCTGTGCCTGACCAGTCCTGCCTCCCTAGAGCCCTTTCCTCCTTCTCTTCCTGGCCTCACAGGTGGATTTTCTCTGACTCTCTTGATCTCATCTGCATATAACATAGTTACTAGAGAAATAACAGCAGGCAGGAGGAAAAAAGGCCAGGGCTTTACTGTGCAGGCAGTGTGGTATGCTGCCACTTCAGTGGCTCCCAAGCAGGCCTCACCATGGAGAAGGCAAGAGGTTCAGTTTCTCTTCATTTCCTAAAAGAGAGAGCTGGGGAGTGATGAGGACAGGTTAGATGCTGGGGAGGGCCTCTGCCAGAGCATGGTCTGCTGGGCACCCTAACAGACCAGGAGACCACCCAGGGCTCTTTTTTAAAAAAAATAATTTTCTATTTTTAATTTTCATGGGTACATAGTAGGTGTATATATTTATGGGTTACAGGAGATATTTTGATATAGGCATACAATGGATAATAATAACATGAGGTAAATGGAATATCTGTCACCTCAAACATTTATCCTTTATGTTACAAATAATCCAATTATATTCTTTTATTTTTTAACTTTTATTTTAAGTTCAGGGGTACATGTGCAGGTTTTTCATATACGTAAACTCATATCACGGGGGATTGTTTTACCGATTATTTTGTCACCCAGATATTAAGCCTAGTACCCATTAGTTATTTTTCCTGCTCCTCTCCTTCCTTCTACCCTCCAGCCTCTGGTAGGCCACAGCGTATGTTGTTGTCCACGTGCTCTCATCATTTAGCTCCCACTTATAAGTGAGAACATGTGTTATTTGATTTTCTGTTCCTGCGTTAGTTTGCTAAGGATAATGGCTCCAGCTCCATCCACGTCCCTGCAAAGGAGATGATCTCATTCTTCTTTACGGCTGTATACCATAGTATTCTGTGGTGTATATGTATCACATTTTCTTTATCCAGTCTACCACTGATGGGCATTTAGGTTGATTCCATGTCTTTGCTTTTGTGAATAGTGCTGCAATTAACATACATGTCCATGTGTCTTTATGATAGCACGATTTATATTCCTTCGAGTATATACCCAGTAATGGGATTGCTGGGTAAAATGATAGTTCTGTTTTTAGCTCTTTGAGAAATCACCACATTGCTTTCCACAGGGGTTGAACTAATTTACACTCCCACCAACAGTGTATAAGCATTCCTTTTCTCTGCAACCTCACCAGCATCTGTTATTTTTTGACTTTTTAATAATAGCCATTCTGACTGGTGTTAGATGATATTGTGGTTTTGATGTGCATTTCTCTAATAATCAGTGATGTTGAGCTTTTTCCCATATGCTTTTTGGTCACATGTATGTCTCCTTTTGAAAAGTAATTGTTCATGTCCTTTGCCAAATTTTTAATGGGGTTGTTTGTTTTTTGTAAATTTGTTTAAGTCCCTTATAGATGCTGGATAGTAGACCTTTGTCAGATGCATAGTTTGCAAAAACGTTCTCCCATTCTGTAGGTTGTCTGTTTACCTATTGATAGTTTCTTTTGCTGTGCAGAAACTCTTTAGTTTAATTAGATCCCATTTGCCAATTTTTGCTTTAGTTGCAATTGTTTTTGATGTCTTTGTCTTGAAATATTTGCCTGTTCCTATTTCCAGAATGGTATTGCCTAGGTGGTCTTCCAGGGTTTTTATAGTTTTGCATTTTACATTTAAGTCTTTAATCAATCTTGAGTTGATTTTTGTATATGGTGTAAGGAAGGGGTCCAGTTTCAGTATTCTGCATATGGCTAGCCAGTCATCCCAGTATCATTTACTGAATAGGAGGTCTTTTCCCTATTGCCTGCTTTTGTCAGCTTTGTCAAAGATTAGATGGTTGTAGGTGTGTGGCCTTATTTCTGGGCTCTCTATTCTGTTCCATTGGTCTATGTGTCTGTTTTTGTATCATGCTGTTCTGTGTATATGTACCACATTACATATACGTCAAACAGTATAGTACCAAAACACCATGGTACCAAAACAATACCATGTTGTTTTGGTTACTATAGCCCTGTAGTATAGTTTGAAGTCAGATAGCGTGATGCCTCCAGCTTTTTATTCTTTTTCCTTAGAGTTGCCTTGGCCCATCTCAAAAAACAAAAATGAGCAAACGAACAAACAAAAAAGTATTGCCTTGGCTATTGGGGCTCTTTTTTGGTTCCATATAACCTTTAAAATAGTTTTTTTTTCTAGTTGTGTGAAGAATGTCACTGGTAGTTTGATAGGAATAGCATTGAATGTATAAATTGCCTTGGGCAATTTGACTACTTTAACAATATTGATTCTTCTGATCCATGAGCATGAAATGTTTTTCCATTTGTTTTTGTCATCTCTGATTACTTTGGGCAGTGTTTTGTAGTTTTCATTGCAGAGATCTTTCACCTCCCTGGTTCACTGCATTCCTAGGTATTTTGTTATTTTTATGATAATTGTGAATGGGATTGTGTTCCTGATTTGGCTCTTGGCTTGGCTGATGTTTGTGTGTAGGAATAATGGTTATTTTTCTATGTTGATTTTGTATCCCAAGAGTTCACTGAAGTTGTTTATCAGTTTAAGGAGCTTTGGGGCCATGACTATGGGGTTTTCTAGATTTAGAATCGTGTCATCTGTAAACAGGGATAGTTTGACTTCCTCTCTTCCTATTTGGATGCCCTTTATTTCTTTCTCTTGCCTGTTTGCTCTGGCCAGGACTTCTAATACTATGTTGAATAGGAGTGGTTAGAGAGGGCATCCTTGTCTTATGCTGGTTTTCAAAGGGAATGCTTCCAGCTCTTTCCCATTCAGTACATTGTTGGCTGTGGGTTTGTCATAGATGGCTCTTATTATTTTGAGGTATGTTCCTTCAATATCTACTTTATTTAGAGTTTTTTTTTTTTTTAACATAAAGGGTGTTGAATTTTATCGAAAGCATTTTCTGCATCTATTGAGATAATCGTGTGGTTTTTGTCTTTAGTTTTGGTTTGGGGATGAATCACATTTGTTGGTTTGTATATATTGAACCAACCTTGCATCCTAGGGATAAAGCCCACTTGTTCATAGTGGTTTAGCTTCTTGATGTGCTGCTGGATTTGATTTGCTGGTATTTTGCTGAGGATTTTAAGAATATTGGCCTGAAGTTAACTTTTTTTGTTGTGTCTCTGCCAGATTTTGGTATCAGGATGATGCTGGCCTCATAGAATGAGTTACAGAGGAGTCCCTTCTCCTCACTTTTTTCAGTTTCAGTGGGAATGATACCAGCTCTTCTTTGTACATCTGATAGAATACAGCTATGAATCCATTTGGTCCTGGGCTTTTATTTATTTAATTATTTTGCCTGGTAGGCTATTTATTACTGATTCAATTTCAAAGCTTGTTATTGGTGTATTCAGGGATCCAATTTCTTCTTGGTTCAGTCTTGAGAGAGTGCATATGTCCAGAAATTTATCCATTTCTTCTAGTTTTTCTAGTTTGTATGCATAGAAATGTTCATAATATTCTCTGATGGTTATCTGTATTTTTGTTGGCTCAGTAGCAATATCCCTTTATCGTTTCTAATTCTGTTTATTTGGATCTTCTCTCTTTTTTTTCTTTATTAGTCTAGCTAGTGGTCTATCTATTTTATTAATTTTTTTTTTTTAAAAAAAAACAGCTCCTAGATTCACTGATCTTTTGAATGGTTTCTCATGTCTCAATCTCCTTCTGTTCAGCTCTGATTTTTGTTATTTTTTGTCTTCTGCTAGCTTTGGGGTTGTTTTGCTTGTGATTCTCTAGTTCTTTTAGTTGTGATGTTAAGTTGTTAAATTGAAATCTTTCTAACTTTTTGATGCAGGCATTTAATGCTATAAATTTCTCTCTTAACACTGCTTTAACTGTGTCCCAGAGACTCTGGTATATTGTATCTTTGTTTCATAAGTTTTAAAGAACTTGTAGATTTCTGTCTTAATTTCATTATTTACCCAAAAGTCATTCAGGAGCAGGTTATTTAATTTCTATGTAGTTGTATGCTTTTGAGCAATTCTTTTATTCTTGATTTCTAATTTTATTGTGCTGTGGTCCAAGAGAGTGGTTGTTATGATTTCAGTTGTTTTGCATTTGCTGAGAATTGTTTCATGTCCAATTGTCTGGTTGATTTTAGAGTATGTGCCATGTGGTGATGAGAATAATGTATATACTGTTGTTTTTGGGTGCAGAGTTCTGTAGATGTCTGTCAGGTTCATTTGATCCAGTGCTGAGTTCAGGTCCTGAATATTTTTATTATTTTTCTGCCTCAATGATCTGTCTAATATTGTTTCTACTGAGAGGTCTGCTGTTAGTCTGATGAGCTTCCCTTTGTAGGTGACCTCACCTTTCTCTCTAGATGCCTTTAACATTTTTTCGTTAATTTTGACCTTAGAGAATCTGATGATTATGTGTCTTGGGGATGATATTTCTGTGAAGTATCCTACTGGGGTTCTCTGTATTTCCCGAATTTGAATGTTGGTCTCTCTAGCTAATTTGGGGAAAATTCTCATGAGCAGTATCCTGAGATATGTTTCTCAAGTTGCTTCCATTCTCCCCATCTTTTCCAGAGGCACCAATGAGTCATACATTTGGTCTCTTTACATAATCCCATCTTTCTTGGTGGTTTTGTTTATTCCTTTTCATTCATTTTTCTCTATTCTTGTCTGATTGTCTTATTTCAGAAAGCCAGACTTCAAGCTCTAAGATTCTTTCCTTGGTTTGATCTATTCTGCTATTAATACTTGTGATTGCATTATGAAATTCTCGTAGCGTGTCTTTCACCTCTTTCACGTCGGTTATGTTCTTTTCTATACTGGTTATTTTGTCTGACAGCTTCTGTATTGTTTTATTGTGATTCTTAACTTCTTTGGTTTGGGTTTCAATGTACTTCTGTATCTTGATAATCTTCATTCCTATCCACATTCTGAATTCTATTTCTGTCATTTTAGCCATCCCAGCCTGGTTTAGAACCCTTGCTGGAGAGATAGTGTGGTCATTTGGAGAGAAGAATGCACTCTGGCTTTTTCAGTTGTCAGAGATCTTACACCGGTTCTTTCTCATCTTTGTGGGCTGATGTTCCTTCAATCTTTAAAGTTCTGTCATTTGAATGAGTTTTTTTTTAAATTTTTATCCTATTTGATGACCTTGAGGTTTTGGTTGTGGTATAAGGTGGGTTCAGTCAACTGACTTCATTTCTGGAAGATTTTGTGGGGCCAAGGCCCAGCTTCCAACTCCTGGAGTGTGTTTGACTTTGTGCTCTAACTCTGAGAGACTAACATCGGGCTCTGACTTTGTTATCTGGCTCCTCAAGGTTAAGAACCCACTGCACTGTGGGGGGCTGAGGTGCTCCTGGACCACTGGTCACAACAATCTGATGGGTGGTGCCAGCCAAAGTATTTTGTGGGGCATTGGCAGTGGGATCTGCTCTCATTTGCATGTACCAGCAGCAGCAGCAGTGGCGCCACAACAGGATGCATGCTCATTGGCTATGGCAGGGTGCTAGCAGGTGCTGGAATGTCAGCCTCTGTGTGGGCATTTGCAGCAGTGGCAGACGTAGCGTGGCTCAAGAGGCCAAGGGCCCCCCACTGGTGACTGTGTGTGAGGTCATGCTGGTGGTGGTGTTAGCACCAGGGTGAGGCCCAATTATACTCTTTTAGTTATTTTAAAATGTACAATTAAAGTATTTTTTACTATAGTCCTCCCAGGGCACATGAAAGACGGGGGAACTTTCATTTCTCTTGAAGTGTTGAAGGGTGATCCCATAGATACCACTTGAGGTAACTTCCTTCTGATGCTTGCTTTCTTCAACTGTGCCATTTGGGGATGGACAGGGATCCTTTCAGTTGCAGGACTGACAAGGTCCCAGCTCCTCATGTCAAAGGTTTGCTCAAGTGCCTTGGCTGACTTCCCAGGAGTGGGCAAGCATTTTCTGTAGGGCCTACAATAGTAGGGTATCTAGTCTTGGCACAGTCCTGGTGTGTCTTCTCCAGCTGCTGAGGTGGGGCTACAAGTCTCAGGTGTGGGCTTTCTGGATTCAGGTGCCCTGGAAGGACACCCCTCTTTAGCAATTGCCATTGACTCTAATCCTTCTCTCTCTCTCTTTTTTTTTTTTTTTTTTTTTGAGACAGAGTCTTGCTTTGTCACCCAGGCTAGAGTGCAGTGGTGCTATCTTGGCTCACTACAACCTCCACCTCCCGGGTTCAAGCGATTCTTCTGCCTCAGCCTCCCGAGTAGTTGGGATTACAGGCGCTTGCTACCACGCCTGGCTAATTTTTGTATTTTTAGTAGAGACGGGGTTTCACCATCTTGGCCAGGCTGGTCTCTAAATCCTCACCTCGTGATCCACCCACCTTGGCTTCCCAAAGTGCTGGGATTACAGGCATGAGCCATCGCTCCTGGCCTGATTCTAATCCTTCTCTTAAGGGACTAAGGAAAGAGGTCAACCAAGAGATACAGGATTCCATATGCCCATGCACCAGGCTTAAGTTGGAAATTATGGGGTCTACCAAGGAGCAGGAAGTCTCATTGTTATGTAAATGCATCAAGGAATATTCAGCCTACCTAAGAAGATTACACACACCCCCTAAGAGGCAAAATGCAATCTGTAAAAGATCATGAGTTTCATACATGGGCAGATGCTATCCCCAGACAAGTGGGGCATCACCAGCCCAGGTGAGAGCTGGCTCTGGCATGAAGGATGTAGTTCCCCCTTGGAATGATCACGTGTCACTTGTGAAACCCAGCTGTTGCTTTGGGGCTTCCATATCTTTTGAAATCTGGATGAAATTACTTGGAATAAGACCCAAGTTTCACAGACTATGAAAGTTCAAAGGCTTTCCCAAGAATTTTACTAATCTCTGAAACAGCTGATCGCTAGACTTTTGGCAAGATGGAGTTTACATTGTCCTGGCTTCCTTTGCCTCTTGGATTCCAGCTTTGTTGAATGGCATCCCTATATCCTCTCTAAGCTGATCACAAAGAGAAACTCAAATCTTTCAAAGGTCTCCCCCCAACCAAAAAAAATTACTCTTACTAAGTGCTGTGTTTTCAGTGGATTGTACTGAGGATCCTGGGAAGGCTGCCATCAGGGACACGGACTTGTCCCATCCTGTGGCTTCTTCCTTCTCCCTCTCCTTCTGCACTCTACTGCTCACTCCTGGTCTCTGAGGCCTCCAATTCCCCACTTCTGTCTTGCAGAGTAGCCTCCCCTTCCTCAGCAGCCTGGTGTCATTTGATTCTCAGTTTTCAGGACAAAAGGAGAAAGGACTCTTTCTTACTATAAGCAGTTATCAAAATATATTTTCTTTCCTCTCCTCCTCCTCCTCCTCCTCCTCCTCTTCCTCCTTTTCCTGCTCCTCCTCTTCCTCCTCCTCCTCCTCTTCCTCTTCCTCCCCATCTTCCTCCTCCTCCTCTTCCTCCTCCTGCTCCTCCTCCTTCTCCTTCTTCTTTTGTTTCTTCTTCTTCTTCTTCTTCTTCTTCTTCTTCTTCTTCTTCTTCTTCTTCTTCTTCTTCTTCTTCTCCTTCTCCTTCTCCTTCTCCTCCTCCTCCTCCTTCTCCTTCTCCTTCTCCCTCCTCCTCCTCCTCCTCTTCTTCTTATTCTTCTTCTTCAAGACAGGGTCTCATTTTGTCTCCAAGGCCGAAGTGCAATGGTGGTGCTGCTATTATGGCTCACTGCAGACTCGACCTCCCAGGCTCAGAAAATCCTCTCACCTCATCCTCCTGAGTAAGTAGGTGGGACTGCAGGCATGTGCCACCATGCCCAGTTAATGTTTTGTATTTTTTGTAGAGATGGGGTTTCACCATGTTGCTGTGGCTGGTCTCAAGCTCTTGGGCTCAAGTGATCTGACAATCTCAGGCTCCCTAAGTGCTGGGATTACAGGTGTAAGCTACTGTGCCTGGCCTCAAAGTATAGTTTCAACAGATTGCTCTCTTCTGAAGAGAAATCTGGCTCCCAGCTATCATAGTAATATAAACCTCACCACTTTGCTATCTCATAGTTGGATGAACTTGAGATCTCATAGTTGAATGAACTTGAGGGGTCATCCTCTTTTCACAAACAAGGAAACTAACACTCAGTTAAGTGAAATAAGAGGTCACCAGTTAAGTGAAATAAAAGGTCACCAGGCTGTGAGGTGTAGTGGAAAAATAACAAGTGTAGGGGTTAGGCAGAATTAGTTTGAATCCCAACTCTGCAACTTCCTAGTTGCCTGACATCAGGTAAATTATTTAATGTTTCTGAGCCTCAGTTTTCTCCTCAGTAATCTCTAAATAGCCTATAATTGGGAAGAATAACTAAGCTAATACATGGGATAATGTCTAGTACAGTGCCTGGCATAGAAAAGGCACTTAGTCCAAGGTGTATGTGGCTCAGGATCACAAACTCGTAGTGGCAGGTTATGTAGTCTGATGGCCTGATCACTGTGTCAGTCAGACTTAAGCAGGGAAACAGAAGCAATAGGAGATATGCATGAAGCACTTTACTGCAAGTAGCTGGCTTATGTAATTGTGGGGACTGGCTAGCTTGTCTGAAATCTGTAAGGCAGATGATCAGGAAGGGAAGGCTGGAACTCTTTGATATGTGTAGGAGCTGCTGTCCACAAGTAGGATTTATTCTTTTTCAGGAAGCCCCACCTCTGCTCTGGAGGGCTTCCAACCGATTCAAGCCCACCCAGATTATCTAGGATAATCTCCCTCACTTAAAGTGAACTAATTATGGATTTCAATCTACAATGTACCTTCACAGCCACACTTAGATTAGTGTTTCATTAAATAATGTAGCTATAGGCAAGCCAAGCTGACACACAAAAATGACCATCATACCCACCACACTGTGCACTCTCTGAAGGAAAAGACTGTGGTTTCACCTCTGCATCACAGCGTTTGGTATCAGGCTGCTACAAGGGCAAGTAGTCAGTCACTATTTATTAAATGAATGTTCATCAATAGAGGTCAGATTCTAGAGGCCCTTGCAGGTCCTTCTAAGTAGGTTGAGTTTTAAAGGCAACAGGAACTCACTGCTGGATCTTGAGCATGGGAGTGGAAAGGATGCAGTTGCTGTTTTCTCTGTTGAAGTCCCATGCCAGCAGACAGCTTCTGTCAGAGAAAGGGAGGTATGAAGTCTGGTCCCCACACCCCTGTGGGTGGATTGCTCTTGCTTAGGGAGGCATTTCTCTTGCATTCTCTCTAAAGGGTAGAGACACCCTGGGGAATGTGTTCCAGACAGGCTGCTAATTTTAGTTCTCTGCCTTTTTACAAAGGCAAAACCAAACCACGATATTTTACACTAAAGATACGTCCAAGCTCTTGAGGAGAGTGAGCCCCCAATGTGGTTGAGGCAGAGAGGACCCTCTCAAACGTGACCCTGAGGGCTCCTTTCTTGTGGCTATTGCTCTGGAGCAGGGGAAGTGATTGGATCATTTGCACTGGTGGCCAGATCGTGACATGGACAAAGCAGCCAGTGAGCTCATAGAGCAGAAGCAAGAGCAGAGGCCAACCGACTGGAGTCCCTGCCATCGAGTATTCTCCCCCAGTGAAATCAGCCATGCTACAAGCAGGTGCAAAACAAGGGCTTTTCACATCTTGATCAGAAAACAAAGTCAAGATATCTCATTTGTGTCTTTAAATTCAACCTCTTCCCACCCCACCCCTTTACGTGCAGGCTCCACAGCCTCAGAGCCTCAGTAAAAATCCCCACTAGAAAATCCCTGGCCACATTGGAGACCCAGGGGTGCTACTGGGAAAACTGAGCCCTGCATGTGCTTGGTGATCTTTCAGACACAGCAAGCTCACCTGACCAAGGGAAGAGCCAGATCAAAGGGCTAATAGTTGTTTCAAATATAGATAAATGGATTTACTTCTTCTCTCAATGTTCTGGTGAATGAACAATCTCATATCTCCTCCTCCCAGCAAAAGATGTTACTTTTACCCTCAGAAAGACTTATTTCTTTTAATCACATCATTATTAATAATTCTTCATAAGATTTTTGTTTCCATTGCTTCAGGAATTCCTTGAGGATGTTTGAAGTCTCCCTTTTGGGCCTAAAGACCTATAGGACGGAGCCTCACACATAGCACATGATCATACAGAACCCTGGGACTGGAGCCCCAGGAGGGCTCAGTTCATGCTGTGGTCCTGGGCTGCCCTACGCTAAGGGAGTTCAGTTCCAAAGAGTTCCACCAAGACTTACTAAACCCCTCTCAGGCCATACCCTGTGTATCAAAGATGAGTTGAATGTGGCTCACTTCCCTCAAAGAACACTGCCACATCAGGAGACAGATCCAGACAGTGAGGACGTGGATGACCTGGGCAATGGTGAAGGTGTGTCCAGGTGCCAAGTGAACCTGAAGGGGAGGCATCAAACCCACTGTGGCCAGGATGGGCTTTCTAGAGGTAGAAACACATGCACTGAGTCTTGAAGGATAAGTAAGAGTTTCCAGGTAAAGAAGAGGATGAAGCAAGGTAGGAGAGAAGGGCTTCAAAGCAGAGGGAATAGGATATGCAAAGCCACAGAGCTGAAAACAGCATGGAATAGGGCAGGAGACTAGACTGGTGTTGCTGGGAGGCAAAAGTGTAGGACCCCATGGCAAACAACTTAGTCATGATCTGGGGAGGAGAGTGGTGTGGTCAGGCTTGGTTTCACAGCTGCCTCTATCTCCCATGTGGAGGACAGCTTAGAAGGAAGCAAGATGAGAGGCAGTTAGGAGACTCACTTTGCTGTCTAAGTGAAAGAGGAATTCCCTCAACCTAGGAGAGGGGAGGACAGATTAAAGAAATATTCGAGGCTAGGAGTGGCAGCTCACACCTGTAATCTCAGCACTTTAGAAGGCCGAGGCAGGAGGATGGCTTGAGCTCAGGAGTTTGTGAACGGCCTGGGCAATATAGTGAGACCACATCTCTACTAAACTTTTTTTTTTATTTTTAATTAGCCAGATGTGGTGTCATGTGCTCATAATCCCAGCTACTCAGGAGGCTGAGGTGGAAGGATCACTTGAGTTTGGCAGATCAAGGCTACAGTAAGCTATAATTGTACCACTGTACTCCACTTGGGCGATAGAGTGAGATCCTGTCTAAAAAAAAGAAAGAAAGAGAGAGAGAAAGAGAAGAGAAGAGAAAAGAAAAGAAAGAAAGAAAGAAAGAAAGAAAGAAAGAAAGAAAGAAAGAAAGAAAGAATGAATTGAGAGAAATCATCAGGCCTTTGAGATTTAGATATCATTTCTTCAAACCATTTGAAACAGCATACCTGATGTTGTGGAATTCCTCCTGCAATCTAAATTAAATCCCTTTTGCTGTGGTGTAAACACACTCATCTTGTATAGCTTCTTCCATTTGGGTGCTGCCTCTTCACAGTTTCAGGAAAGTCTAGAGTTAAGGCACTCAGATACCACCTCAGTCTGGATCTGTTGGATCTGACACTTGTCTGATTCACTGTGACTCAAATAAAACGTGCTGAGTGTGGCTGGTGTGGGAAAACTAGCTTAGGGCCTTGGAAAACCTGGGACTCCCCTCCAGGTCTCTTTCCCCATGTTTGCTTTCTCACCTTTTACCATCTCAGATGAGCAGATCCACAGCTCCCACAGAGTTGGGATGGAACAATATTCAGTCAGACGATTAACAGTCCTAAATTGGGGTGTAGAAGCCCCGGCTAGCATATGTCTGCTGAAGTCCCCACACATGATGCAGGCCAAACCCCTACCCTTGGTGGGCATCTGTTTGCTCATCTGTCAGTGGAACTAATAATATTCTCGCTGCGTGATTCCTACCAGAATCTGCGGGATCCGAGAATGTGCCTGGGGAAGGTTCTGTGCCTGAGTACAGTGAGTCACGTGGTACGGGCTTCTGGGGCAATGAGAAAGGTTTGACTACATCTAGTCCCATCCCCTGCAGATGCCCTCCCTGCTCCTCTCAGGCTTGGGAGGCTCTGGAGCTGGAAGTGAAGGTGTACAAGTAAAGTGCCTGGATCCTCCTAGATGCCCCCTTATCTCCAGACGAGGGAAAGTATGAGGAATCTGCTTTTACTTCTCTGCCCATTCCCAGCCCTGAGAATTAAGCCGCAGCATTCTAAGCTCATCTTTCCTCCATCGCAAGGAGCCCCTGCAGGGTGCCTTACCCTCACACTCAAGAAAAGGTGCAGGGCTGCTGGTCCTACCCTGTGTTAATTGAAGCCCTAGGCAAGAAACTGCTCATCTTCCCCAGGAGGCAAACAATGGGATATAAAGATAAAGCTTCATGAGGGAGCTGGGCTCTAAGCAGGCAGCCCTGAGGTACTTAGAGTAGCTCCTCACAGCAAAAACACTAAGAAAATGGGGCTTCTGAGACTTTTCTGAGAAACCTAAAGCTCCTTTTAAATAGCAAGGAGACATTCTGACAGAGGGGAGGGCACTTCTCAGATGCTATGCCTCCTTTGAGGCACACTGCTGCAGCACTCACCTGCCCTCTGTACCGGAGGTTGCAGACCCTGTTTATGGGGAGCCTCCCATTGGTTTCTAAGCCCCGATCCTTGGCTTTCTTCTACTCACCTGGAGATGAAGAAGGAATAGTTTCAACGGGAACAAGGAATGTTGAAGAAGCATCATTGGGTACAATTTCCTTACTCTAGAGGAGCAATAACAGTAGATTTAGACTTTTCACTGTGTTTTTCTTTTCGTTTTTGAGACAAGGTCTCACTCTGTTGCCCAGGCTGGAGTTCAGTAGCACAATTATAGCTCATTGCATCTTTGACCTCTTGCACTCAAGTGATTCTCCCACCTCAGCCCCCTCAGTAGCTGGGACCACAGGTGTGCACCACCAATCACAGCTAATTTTTAATTTTTTCGTAGAGACAGGGCCTCACTATATTTCCCAGGCTGGTCTCAGACTCCTTGGCTCTAAGTGATCCTCACATTCAGCCTCTCAGAGTGCTGGGATTATAGGCGTGAGCCACTGCACCTGGCTAGGCTTTTCATTGTGCTTTCACACCCCCTTGATCCTCAGGGAGCCCCCGGTGGGTGAAGCAGATATGATGGGTCTATCCCATTTTAAAGATGAAGAAACTGAGTCAGAAAATGGCAAACTTGGTGGAAAGAGATTAGAAATGAAGATCAGGAGACATGGGTTCCAGTCACTAATGTGGCTAAAATGCCTAGTATCGCATCCCTCATCTGTGAAATAAGCAACCAGCTGGATGACATCTGTGGTTTTCTTCTTTTTTTTTCTTTGAAATGGAGTCTCACTCTGTCCCCCAGGCAGTGGCATGATCATGGATCCCTGCAACCTCCACCTCCCGATTCAAGCAATTCTCCTACCTCAGCCTCCAGAGTAGCTGGTACCACAGGTGTGCGCCACCATGCCCAACTAATTTTTGTATTTTTAGTAGAGATGGGGTTTCGCCATGTTACCCAGGCTGGTCTTGAACTACTGGGCTCAAGCAATCCACCTGCTTTGGCTTCCCAAAGTGCTGGGATTATAGGTGTAAGCCACGTGCCCAGGCAAGATCAGTGGTTTTCAAATTGGCATTCCTGGAACTCTCAGTGCCTGTGAGCCCATCAAGAGGGTGGAGTGAGAGCTCTAGAATTTCTATTCCTACTTCAAAGAGAGCACTCTACTTTTATCTGTTATGTATTGGGATTCCACATGGAATTTCATTTGAAAGCAGGGTTTCTCACTTTTAAAAGTTTGAAAACTTCTGGACTAAATAGTATCTAGGTATTAGTCCATTCTCACACTGCTATATAGAACTATCTGAAACTGGGTAGTTTACGAAGAAAAGAGGTTTAATTGACATGGCTTGGGAGGCCTCAGGAAACTTACAATCATGGCAGAAGGTGAAGAGGAAACAAGCACCTTCTTCATGTGGTGGCAGGAGAGAGAGAGAAGGGGCAAGTGTCACACACTTTGAAACCATCAGATCTCATGAGAGCTCACACACTATCAGAAGAACAGCAAGGGAGAATCCACCCCCATTACTCAATCACCTCCCACCAGGCCCCTCCTCCAATTCGACATGAGATTTGGGTGGGGACACAAATCCAAACCATATCATTCTGTGATAGCTTCCACTTTACCTTCTGTGACGCTCTTGCTTCAGATTTCCTCAGCCAGAAGGGCAGCTTCACCTCTCTAGGGAAGAGCGATCTGCCTCAGACCCGTTGCCTTCACTTTGATCTAAGTATACACTTCAGAGATGGAGTGTGGACTGGAATTTCTTCATTTTGGCATCTCTAGTGCCTATCACACGCTAGGCAGTTAACACGGGCAGACAGCTCCATTCCAAGTAGAAAGACTCTTAGAAGGCCTTGCTCTCCAAAACATTCCCTTGACTTGAACACTGCAGCCCATCAACCCCAGGTCTCTGGAGAGGAGAGGACAGTGGAGTAGCCTGTGGAGACTGAGGGGAGGAGTGCCACTGGGATGCTGCCTTTAAATGCTAAGATTAACAAGTTCACACTAAATTGCTTCCAGCCACTGGGTAGGCTGCCAATTGTGACAGTCTTCTGTAAGCAAAGGGAGGTGGAAATAGGGGAGTGGGTGACTGCAGTGGGTAGTCAAGATATTTGTTCCACCCATCACTTACTAGGTTTGAAGTCTTTAAATTTTTGCCACTTACTTTCCTCTCATTTGAAAATAAAGGGATTATAATAAAGGTGAGATCTTCTGAATTTCTTCAGTCATCGGTGGCAACAGGTGGTGCGAGTATTATGTGATTTCCAAGGGATAGCTCTTTCTGCCCGGCACAGTCATTCTCAGACTTTCTTTCTACTGCGAAACAAGGTGGTGATATTTAGATGCTAAAAGTAAACACATGGCACCATGGCAAGAAGGATAAGTGGAGTGGGTGTGGAAAACAGAAGTAAAGGCACAAACCTGGGCTCTGCTTATGCACTGGACATCTCAGTGTTCACTAGAGGTCACCACCATCACCACTACCACCACCATCATCACTACCACTACCACCACCACCATCATCACTACTAACACTACTATCGCCATCACTACCACATCACCACCATCACCACCATCATTTTCACCATCACCACCATCACCAGCACCACCGCCATGATCACCATCACCACCACCATGACCATCACCACCACTACTGCCATCACCAATATCACCATCACCACCACTACTGCCATCACCACCATCACCATCACCACCACCATCAACATCATCACCATTGCCACCACCACCATCATCACCATCACCACCACCATCACCATCACTATCACCACCACCATTGTGTAATCAGAATGACCTCCAAGCACTCTGTCTTTTGTTGCATCTTTTGTGCCTTTGTTTCAAGATTCAATATCCTGATAGAAAATAAGTGATTGGCTGAGCTTAAGTCACATATTTGGTCCTGGGCTGTGCATGTTGTAGAGGAAGTTGCTGGATCCCTTGGCTTCCATAGTGGGAGGTGGCCAGTGAGAGGGAGAACTAAAAATCATCCTTCTGTCAATTCCACAAAATAAGGAAAAGATTAAGTACACATAAGTAATTTGGGACAGGTAGCAGAAACTACCAGTTAATTAACAAAGCTCCTTCTTCTTCTTCCTAGGCACAGAACTAGACTGTATGTCCCAGCCTCCCTTGTATTTGGGTGTGGACATGTGACTGAGTTCTAACCAATGAATATGAGTGGAAGTGAAGCCATATCCCATGCGTCACTCCCATGCAAATTCCCAGGTATGCTCTTCCATGCTCCTTTCCCCTCTGGCCGGCTGCAATGCAGATGATTACCCAATATCTTCTTGAGAGCCACATGTTGAAGGTGCTTCTCTGCAAGATAGAGGAGCTTAGATCTCTGAATTACATCCTGGAGGAGATGCAATTCAGCCTGTCTGGTCTGTTAGGTGAAAAAAAGAAACATGCTTATTATATTAATAATTTTGAGGTTTACCTGTTACTAGCTAGCATTACTTTAAATGAATATAAGAAGAGGGATGAAAGCTGGACAGTAAAACAATTTACACATCTACACCTCCCAGAGAGGCAAGGTTGAATAGGGAGATTGGAATCAGATTGTAGAGGGCCCTGAATGCCTAGATATCCAACAATAAGCACAAAAAGTTGGAGCTTTCCTTTTTGGTCATCATAACACCAAGGAGCAGATCAACAGTACTTTCTGGATTTAATGTGGCTTGGACAACTATATTAACCCCCTAAGAGTCACTTTCTCAGGCAACAAGCATATAGGCAATGCCCCCATTTGGCTTAGTGACTAGGGGATGACCTAGTAAGGGTGAAAAGGGGGCTCTTGGCCAGGGTTATCAAATTGGCAAATTGAGTGCCAGTTTCTCAATGTCCTCCTGGGCCTGAGTATCCCTATTGCTTCTTGTCCTTGGTTCATCAAAGTACACATTGTTTCCCTTTCTCTCTTTCAGTTCCAGAAAGACCACTGGACTAGGAGTCAAGGAAACTAGGTTCAAGTCCCTGTCTTTCCATAGGTGGTTGTATGGCTTTAGCAAATTATGTCACTTCTCTGGGCTGCAAAATGAAGGTGTTGGACTAATGGAGTTCTCAGTGAATTTTTTTCTTTTCACTATTATTCTGCCAAAATGGGTTTCTAAATATGATGCAGATCTCTTGGCACGAGGGAGGTAAATAAACACCCTGGCTCTGTGCAATACCTCCTTGGATGTGTTGACTTTGTGCTTCCCCATAATTCAATTCACCTAACCTGCCAATTGGCAGCATTGCTGAGCTCCCCCGGTGTGAGGCACTGCGAGTAGTGAAGAGGGGAAGGCAGCTCTGTCTTAGGAGAGCTTGAATTGGACGTGGAGTCCCTTGACTTCTTATTGTCACTTAGTGAGTTAGGGAATAGGCTGGTATTTATGAGTATGCCAATTAGTTTGGAGGGGAATATCAATGCAAATAAATTCCACATAGACAATGAAACCAAGCCTCTGGGCCCTTTCAATTGTGCAGGTGGCTGGGTTTTCACTGGCTGAGTTTTTTTGTGCTCTGAGAATCTCTTTAATTTCAACTGAGCCTGTGCTTTTATGAAAGGGTGTGGCTAGACTCACAAGGGAGTGCTGAGAGGCCTCAACTGCCAATGTGGGATGGGAGTGGGAGCTGAGGAGGCACCTGAGAGTTCTCCCTGTAAGTGACATCCACCTTCCAAGGCTGTCTGCCCTGGCATGGAGAAGGGTGCTACTTCCCCTCACCAGGGGCTCTCCTAGCCTCAGAGGAAGGGAAACGGTCCTGGGAGGCCTAGCTGGGGGCTGTCCCAGCTTGGAACAAATAAAATGCTGTTCTCTCAAGAGTCTGTTTCCTCTGTGTCAGGTTAGCCGCAGTATGTTTTTTGGTGGCATCTTCGCTCACTGTTATCTCAGTTGTTTGCTCCTCAGGCACCCTGGAGGTGTCTCTTCTGGCTGCTTTGACCATCTTCATGTTTCTCTGCCACAAGAGACTGCTCCAGGATCAAGGGCCCTGTGTGAGGAGTGAGGAAATCTTGGCCAGGCAGGAAGCAGTTCCAAGTCTCTGCTTTAAAACAGCAGAAGCGTCACCAGCATTGGGGGCGTGTGTGGAGTTGAGGGGCAGGGACAGGGAAGTAGAGGTTGGGAAGCATATGGGTGTCCTGGGCTGCCGTGACAAGGGTAGCTTAAAATGATGGAAATTTGTCATCTCACTTTTATGATGACCAGAGGTCCAAAATCAAGGTGTTGACAGGGCCACGCTCCCTCTGAAGGCACTGGAGGAAGGGCTCCCTTGCCTCTGCCTGGCTCCTGGTAATTACCAGCAATCTTTGGTGTTCCTTGGCTTGCAGCTTTATCACTCCAGGCTCTCCCTCCGTCATCACATGGCACTCTGCCTGTGTGTCTCTGTGTCCAAATTTCCCTTTTCTTATAAGGTCACTAGTCATTGGATCAGGAACCACTCTCATCTAGAATGACCTCCTCTTAGCTTGATTATATCGGGGGTAGGACTTGTCTTTCTAGGGGACATGATTCAACCCACAACAGGAAGGTACCTACTTAAGTAGGGTTCTCACCAGTTAAAACCTTCAAATGAGGTGAAACCCGACTCTCCAATCTGTTTACTTCACGTCGGCATTAACAGCATCCAATTTCCTGGGGCCAACTCTCCATAGCCCATTCCCCAAGGAGTTGTTCAGAATGAATCAAGAACAGGAAAAGCTACTTCCCAGTTGTTGTTGTTGTTGTTTTCATTGAAGCAAACTCTTATAAGTAAAAGTGGAAAGGTAGGATGAATAGGTGGAGCACAGAGAATTTTTAGCGCTGTGAAACTATTCTGTATGATTCTGTAATGGTAGATGCATGTCATTGCACACTTGCCCAAACCAATAGAATGTGCAACACCAGGAGGGACCCCTAATGTCAACTATGGACCCTGGGTGATGGTGATGAGTCAAGGTAGGTTCATCAGCTGGAACAAATGCACCACTCTGGTGATGTATATTGATAGCAGGGAAAGCTGCGCATGTGTGGGGAGAGGAGGTATATGGGAAATCTCTGTACCTGTGCTCAATTTTGCTATGATCCTAGCACTGATCTGAAACATAAAGTCTATTAAAACACACAAACAACTGAAAGGTGAATGCTGGGCCCTTCTGTGTGTCCATTTTTAAATTATTCTTTCTGGTGTTCCATGGATCACTGTTGGTCATTAAATGCCCTCAAGAAGAAAGCACTTCTTGAAGACAGGAGGCCATGTCTTACACATTCTGCATCTCTTAGGCACAGAACTTAGCACTGGGTGGACACAGAGTGAGATCTCCCTTTTTGTTAAAAGACATATTTATTTCAAAGTCTTTCCATTCCTATCACTGTTGTGCACGTGACTTCATTCTCTCCATTAAGTGCCTCTTCTGAGTATAGAAGCAGGACCTGAGAGTCCTCCAGCCAGCTCCCATGGCCTTCCTGTGCATTGATCCCTGAGTCAAGTGGGGCTGTGGGGAGGGATGGTTGAGTCTGACCCATTGTTAAGATTATGATGCACCCTTAGAGCTCTTCACAGCTCTATAGAGACCTTCAGTCATGTTGTGGTTTGTCCCTCAAAGCAGGAGGCATCAGCCCCAGAGAGCTCCAGTCAAGGACAGCCCAAGCCTAAGGGCCTGCTGTGGCCTTGAACACTTTGATATCATAAGAGGAGGTGGCGGGGGGTACTGGTAGGATACTGGAGCTTCTTTATTTCTTTAAAAAAGTGAATATATAGAGCTTGATAAAATGGATTGCACTCAGCCTTGGGTATGGTTGTGGCAAAGCCAGCAGGCTGCCTGCATTGCAGTTTTCACTTTGTCCCACACAATTTGGGCTATTTCTGATTGTATCAAGGCCCTGGCCTTTGCTCTTAATCAATTTCCCAAAGCGAGGACGATGACTACGGGAAACACATTCAGAGTTCTTAGAAAGGCCAAATGGGAAAAAGAAAATGGAGCCGCAGAGATTCTCTGTTGCCCAAAGCTTGATCCTTGTTAGAGCTGCTGGCTAACCTTGTCCTGCTTGCTCTTGGGCCCTGCCACTAGGCTTAGCTTTTTTACCTAGAATACATGTTAGGCAAAAATTAAGCTTTGATGTGTTAGATTTCCAGCTTTGGTTTTATCGGGGTCTGCTGCAGGATTCAGGCTTGCTGGGAAGTCCCACAAAGAGGTCTGCAGGGCCTGAGATCCGGGTCAGGACTAAATCTGACTGGAGGAAGGATGCAGCAGCTGTGCTTGGGTCAAGGACAGTGGGCCATCGCAGCATGGAGGGGCGACCAGAGACTAGTGTGGTCTTCTGCTCAGGATGCCTTCATCCCCATGGTCCTGTGCTGGGCCTTAGGGTGAGGGGGCTGCCAGACAGGCATTATAGATACCTGAAGCAGTATTTCTATGTTCTCCAAGAAGCATGGAGAGCCCAGCATGGTAGTAGCCTCAGGGCTGGGGCAGCTGCTTTGGCAGCAGCTTTGCTAACAGGAGTTGCAGGCTTGGGGCAGTGGTGCTGGCTTCCACAGAAAGCTGGTGACATTGGTAGTGGTGGTGGCCTTGGTGCTTGGTGGGAGTCAGTGATGCTGCAGAGGTGTGAGCCGGGCGTTAGTGGCAACACTGTTACTTTTCGGGTACTAACAGTGACAGGAGCATCATTGCGGGGGGCGCCTGAGGGACACCAGCAGTCATGTGGTAACAGAAGGGTCTTCAGTGGAGGTGACACTTTTATAATTTCAAACAACATAGAGAGGGAGCTGGACAGATGTCCTTACTGAGAGGACAAAGAGAGGTGGAACCTTTGAAAAGTTAGTAACATGCTAGAAGAAGAGCTATCGACATGGCTGGCCTCATCAGTACTTCGGGGGAATCATTTTCTCTCCTTTCCCAGCCCTGGCCTTTCTCTTAACAAATTCCCTTCTTTTTACTTTCCAAGGCCAAAGGAGTGTTGGCATGATTTGTTCCCCACAACTCAATTTAGGTTCATTCCATTCAATTTTACAAATATTTATTGAGTGCAGCAGCTTGCACCTGGAATATAGAGAATACACATGAGAGCCAGGCACCGTTCTGTTCCCTAGAGGTTTATGATTTTCTGGGGATGGAGGTGGAATAAGACCAGTGCAAATGGGACACACACACACACACACACACACACACACACACCCCTTCTAAGGGTCATTACCCTCTAAATTATATGGGGGAGGAGAAGGAGTACATGAGGCAGTTGCTATTGCTCTTCACAGCATCTCCCAAGCTGGTTTAAATAGAACCCCTCTCTCCCGCCACAGTGGAGAGGGGTGGGAGGCAGGCTACACTTCCTCTGTGGTTCTGTCTCTTTCTCTTCACAGTACAACTCTAGGCTGTGTGAGGTTTACCAAAAGGCTAGGGTAATCGGTGATGAGATGGATTGAATTGTGTCCCCTCAAAGACATGTTTATTACCTGTGACTGTCACCTTTTTTGGAAATAAAATCTTTAGAGATGTAGTCAAGTCAAGATGAGGTCACACTGGATTAGGTTTGGGCCCTAATCCAGTGAAAAATGTCCTTATGAGGAAGGGAAATTTGGACACAGATAGACATGGGGGAAAGAGAGGCAATGGAGCAGTAGAGGCAGGGACTGAGGTGCTGCAGCCGCAAGCCAGGAAATGCCAAGGATTGGCAGCAACTAGGGGCTGGGAGAGGTGAGTGAGCATCCCCTCCACAGGTTGCAGAGGAAGCACCGCCCTGCTGACAACTTGAGTTTGGACCTCCAGCCTTCGCAACTATGAGACAATACATTTCTGTCATTTTAAGCCACCCGGTTTGTGGTACTTTGCTGCCACAGCCCTAGAAAAGAAGCACAGATGGAGTTATCTCATAGAATGGAAAACGTAGCGCTGCAGCTCGGTGCCATTTTTCACCTAGCTGATGGAAGAAAATTACCCAAGGAGCTTAATCCTTCATCAGGATCCCCTCTTGGTACATCTCAGCCCCCACTCTCCTTGTTCTCAGGGCTATGTCTTTGTGAATGTCCCTCCTTGTTTATTATTCTTTTGGTGGCTTTGCACATCCAAATGTAGCTCACAGGGATCCATCTTTCCCTGAGATTTGTTACCTGCCCCCAGCAGTTCATTACCTTAAGCTTGATTTATTCCCTATACATAGAGTGAAGCCCTGGGTGGGAGCCTTCAGTAAGACAGTCACAGGACCCTGCTTCTCCAGATTGGTTCAGGGATGGTGATGAACATGTGCACGCCACATGTGACACCTTTGGGACAGGCCCACCAGTGTCTACTGTAGACCACTTCATATTCCCTGTTGCCCGTGGGTTACATGCACAGATGCACAACGCACACACAAATACACACACACACACACACACACACACTCAGTAACACTGAGAGGCCCTATGCTCTCTCAGCTCAGCATCACAAACTCTTGGCTTGGGATTCTGACAGAATTACATATGCAGTGTTATCTCCTCACTTGTCTGAAGCTCTGAGCTTCTTACTCTGTGAGATATTCTATAAAACAAAAAAACAGTTACTGACAAATTTGGAATGTGAGCTCTTCAGAGTCGAAGGAAGAACCTGCATCTGGGCACAGTGGCTCACACCTGTAATCCCAGCATTTTGGGAGGCCGAGGTGGGCGGATCACGAGGTCTAGAGATAGAGACCATCCTGGCCAACATGGTGAAACCCCGTCTCTACTAAAAATACAAAAATTAGCCAGGCATGGTGATGAGCATCTGTAGACCTAGCTACTCGGGAGGCTGAGGCAGGAGAATCACTTGAACCCAGGAGGCGGAAGTTGCAGTGAGCTGAGATTGTGCCACTGTACTCCAGCCTGGGCAACAAGAGTGAGACTCCATCAGAAAAAAAAAAAAAAAAAAAAAAAGGAAATAAAGAAAGAACCTGTCATGGTTTTAGTAGATATTCAGGTTGCATATTTCTTCCATTCTGCAGACATATGAACTGAGCAGATGCCTGGGGTTGAGCATGATTGAGAAGTGAATGATCCTATTATTGGACTTAGTGACCTGGAAATAGATAGAAATGAAAATAATTTTTTTTCAATTTTTAAAGCTATAATTTTGATTTCTAGCCTCTCCTTAGGGATGGCACCACACTCTTGACACCGATCACAGGATACATGTCCCTCCAGTATGCCTTTCCTGAAAAAGCTCTTCCCTGTGGTGACAGAATCCCAGACCTGGAGAAGCAGAACATGGAGCCCGCTGTCCCTGAGGCTAGCACCCTCTGATCATGCTGTGCTGAGGAAGCAAACGCCGATCCCACCCCCATCCTGCAGCTCGGCTCTACTCAAATATCTCATTTTCTCTCCTGGGCATTCTTGCAAATCCTCTGTTTATCCTGCTTTTTCTCTCTCCCACCTGTTGACTGGCATGTTCTTTCCACCCTGGATTTTTCACTCCACCACCCACCCGTTCCTTGCCTGTACTTACTATCTACTCAGTTGCCCTTGATACCAGATAATTTGGTTTTTGATTGTGGGGCATTATATGGATTTAAAGATTTCAGTTTATTGCTTTCTAGATTCGAGTCAAACTCTCTTAATATCACTGTTGTTTAAGCGCATCCCCATCTCGCCCATGCTGCAGGAGCCTTGGGCCCTGCCACTTCCTTGCTCGGCCTCTGGAGGCGCTCTTGGAGCGGCCTGCCGCCTCCCCACTCTCAGGACATGCTCGCCCAGGCTGTGCAGCCCAGCAAGTGCTGCCGCCGCACCCAGAGGTTTCCTCTTGCTATTATTAAGCTTAAAATGAGAGATCCTGGGCAACCCAGGAACAAAAAGTTCATGGAACTTCTGGGCTTTAGTTTAGCTCCTTTTTGGAATGAAGAGACAGTGTGTGTGTTTGGTTGGGTGGAAGGCAATGAGGGAAGGAAAGTTCTGCCTACAACTGGTGATTCAAGAGCATTGAGTCTTGGGCAGATTCCACGAGCTGAAATCCCTGAACAAAGTATTGCTATTTGAATATGGTTTTGGTTTGAACTTTGTTTTAACCTCTTGATATTCTTGTCTATGAAATGGGTACCTACGTTAAAAAGGCTGTTACGAAGAATGAATGAGAAGTTACGTATACATACATATATACATATATATATGTTTGTGTAGCTTAGAATGACAGTGAGAGGCACCTGGTAAATGCTAAATAAGTGTCATTTATTATCAAGGCTATTATTGTGTAGGAAGCGCACCCCTAGAGATATGGGACCTCAGTCTCCATAACTTACTTGCTGTGTGAACATAGTCAATTATTTGATACTATATTATTATCATTTATTATTTATATTAAACTTAAATCATATTGTTATTTGATATCAATTATTTATCTTTGAGCCTGTACAACCTTATTGGGAAGTGGAGCTGAGAATTATTGTTCTGTGTCCTTCCTAAAGGTCAAATGAGATGTAAATGAGTTGTACAGTGGAAAGTGTTTCTCTGGGCAAATGCAAGGAAGCAGAGCTCTTGCAGCCTCCCTGACCAGGTGTGCAGTGCACAAGCATCCGGCTGCATGGATGATGCTCTTTCCTGCCACTCCTCTCTCCTCATACTGTGGTCCCAGCAGTGACACTCTCCCAGTATCCATTGGTACTAGTGATCTATACTAGTACATGACCATAATCAACACTAGTACTTTCCTATAGGAAGTGAGCAGAGGCACTGGCATCACAGCTTTTAACTAGTTGTGCCACTTTTGGGCAAGTCATCTTGCTGCTCTATAATTGGTGGGGTTGAGCCAGATACCACATGGGCTCTCTATCAGCTTGAATGTCCTGTGAATCTAAGGTCCCAAGAAACACAAACAGGTTCAAATGGCAGATGCCAAGCCTGGCTTTCTTGCGCTTAGGGGCCAGACCTCAATAAAGACATTGGGACCGTAATCCAGGATGAAGCTGGCTGGCTGGCTCCATAAGCAGATGCATTAGCAAGCCAAGGAGGGCACATCACTTCTAGTGCTGGATTGGTAAGCCTGGGCATCAGCAAAAAGAGACTTTTTATGTGATGCGTGGCAATGGCAACACATGGCGATTACTCATTCACAGGTTAACAAGTGAATAGCAGAGACATGTACAACACTCCAGGACAGATGACTTTTCTGGTCCACGAAATATGGTGACTTAAAAATCTGGCTGACAGGCGCAGGGTTGTGTGCCTGTAGTCCCATCTACTCAGCAGGCTGAGATAGGAGGATTGCTTGAGCCAAGGCGTTTGAGACCAGCTTGGGCAACATAAGAACAGTCATTTAAAAAAAATCTAGCTGGTAGGAGACTGAGGACCCTGTTAGATTTTTCTGAAAGATCTCTGGCCGAGGAGTGGGCACTGGATCCGACCAACTGTGTCACGGTGGGTATGCCACTTCCCTTCTTTGGACCTCGTTAGCCTCATCTGTAAGATGGAACAGACGGTAGTTAGACAAGATGCATTTTTGAGGCTCTTTCCAGCTCTGACATTCTACAAGTTCATTATTTCCTTTCTTCTAGATACCTCTGGCTAGCAGCCCAGACTAAAAATGGTCTCTGTGTAGGATCCTTTTACCGACTTTCTTACCAGGGCTTTTCATTCATCTTCATTCTGTGGTACAGGATAAATGTATGCTCTCAGCGACTTAGACAACTCTTTTCCTCCATTTTTCTTCTTAAGCATTTAAATTAATGAAATCTAGCATGTAAAGTGCTTAGCACAATGCCTGGCTCATAATAATGTATTCATTTGTATATGTGCATGTATATATTCCCCTAATATATCTTCCTCTAACTTTCTCCTTTAACCTAAATATCTGTGTCATTTAAAACACTTTTCATTTTGTAAAATCCAGGGCCACTCAGCTTGTCCTTTGTAAGAAAAAGGTTTCTCTGGATTACTCCTAAGTGGCTGACACGTTCAGGTTCACAGTACCATGGACTCCAGTCACTTCAAGGCACCCAGCACCATATCACATTCTGACAAAGGCTAGGCCCCTGACTTCAGACTGAGCAAAGGCCCCAGGAGCGTGTGTCTTCTGAGATCCAGCCCTGGCTCAGCTCAGATGGGATGTGTGAAGCTGGGATGCTGATACAGGAAGGAATAGCTTGCCTTGAGGCCAAGTGTATTCAAAATCTGACTTGAGCTGTTGAGTTGACACCTTCCAACTCTGCTATTCCAAGTGAGAAAATACTCCGTCTCAGATGGGACTTGCTCCTCTGAATCTGGGCTTTCCTCAAATTTGCAAAAAAAGAAAAAAAGAAAAAAGAAAAAAATGTGATCTGGGCCTCCACTTAACCGTGTTAACAGGGAAGAAAGCAGGATGCATTTACAGACTTTTTCTGAAGCCCCTCCCTACCCTTTTTCCAAATGCCTAGAGCCTGCAGCCTCACATTTGTTCCCCAGAACACGCTGTAAAGGGTGCAGAGCTGAGTAGAGATTATTATTCTCATCTGACAGAAGAGAAAATGTAAACTCAAGAGGCTATATATGAATGATGAAGGGTAGGGTGACTGACCCTAGGGAGAGTGGTAGGTCCCTGGTTGAACACCAAGATTAGAGCCTGTGCTCTGTGAGCTGCCTGTGTGTGGTTTACAGAAGTCTTACAGATTGACTCTTGGATGGGGCTGAGAAGACTATGAAATCAAACTAGCCCAGACCCAACAACCCTGATGCCTTCTTTCAGAAGCCCCACAGAGTACATTGTCTTTGTATTTGTTCTAACTGTGTAGTTCTTTCTACTTACTAACAGGATAATGGAGAAAATTGTGTGGCAGGGATAACCCAGTGCTTTCACTCTGACAGCTTGAAAAGAGAGGGACGGAGACCAGTAGGATCAATTTTCCCCAGTGATGTAAGCCTAACAATGTTGGGCCTTCTATCTCCTCCTATGTCCAGATACTGAAATCTTACCATATTCTGTCCACCCGCAGAGCAAGGAAGATGGGGTTGGGAGTAAGGGACCAGTGAGAGAAGGCACTGAGACTAGCGCAAGGAGGCTTGCTTCTTAAGGAAAGAAGAAAAGGACAAAAGCCGAAAAAAAGGAGAGGTATAAAAATAGAAGTGAGAGGCTGGGCATGGTGGCTCATGCCTGTAATCCTAGCACTTTGGGAGGCCGAGGCGGGCAGATTGCCTGAGCTCAGGAGTTCAAGACCAGCCTGGGCAACATGGTGAAACCCCATCTCTACTAAAATACAAAAAAAAAAAATTAGCTGGGCATGGCAGCGTGTGCCTGTAGTCCCAGCTACTCAGGAGGCTGAGGCAGGAGAATTGTTTGAACCAGGGAGGCGGAGGTTGCAGTGATCAGAGATTGTGCCACTGCACTCCATCCAGCCTGGTGACAGAGCGAGACTCTGTCTCAAAAAAAAAAAAAAAAAAAAATAGAAGCAAGAAAAAGGAAGATGACTTTGCATAGATTGGAAAAAAGGAAAAAAGAGATACAGGAAGTGAATATTAGTGGCCTTATAGAAAAAACCAAACATAAAGCCAAAGTTCCAATGGGTATTGGTGACGCCTTTGTGAAAATTGGAAAAATGTTCCTTCAGCCACCCTGGTGCCTCTGGCAAAATTTGTTTCCTATTTGTGGCACTTGAGCTAAAATAGTGGCTGACCCTTTCTTCAAAGGGTCATAATTTCCAATGCTGATCCAGATTGCTGCTGCCAGCAGGAACGCAGACAGACAGATGCCTGTGGCTGCAGGATCAGCAGGGTCCCCAGTGTGCCAGCCTCGGGGAGGGGAAGGAAGGAGGACGTGAGCGAGGAAAGAAAGGTGGGGCAGGTGGGGCTCAGATAAGGGGGAGTTGATTCCATCTTTCCTTCCTGCACTTATCAATTCAGCAAGGGTTTCGTGAGCTACCTGTGTGTCAGTCACTGTTGTAGACACCATCATCTCAGTTAATCTTCACGATAACCCTGTGGTATAAATATTATTCTCTCTGTTTTACAAAAGGACGAACAGGAGCTCAGAGTTCATTTCTTAAGGTAGAAAAGGCAAGTTTTAAATCCTGTTCTGCTGGATTCAAAACCTTGCCGCTTGCCGTAAAACATGCCATGAGGGAACCAAAAATGACTAGGATAAAAAATACACTCTCAAGTGGCAACATTTATTGAATATGTCCACATGAGCCAGGCACTGCTTCAGGCTTTGGGAACCAGACTCAGGCAGAGGGCCTGCCCTCTGAGAGGGTCAGTGCAGTGGAGAATTTGACAATAAACAAATGGAAGGATGAAATATAAAATGCCAGCTGGTGTTAGGGGGTATTAAGAAAAATAGTGCTGGGAAGGGCCTTGGGAAGGGCATTTTTAGAGGGGATGTCAGGACAGACCTCTTTGAGGGGTAGCGTTTGAGCGGGGAGGGAGCAGGATCGGGCACATGCCACAGACCTTCACCCTCGACACCCTGCTGAGTTTCCACCACGTTTTGGACACTGCTTTTGCAACACTCATCTGTGATTTCCTCTGATCGATAAGCCATCAAGAGGGGGTCCCCATGATGACCACTTCTTTCAGAAGGAAGAATTGAGATATGGAGGGATAAGGAGTTATCCAGAGGCTGCACATCTACTAAGTGGTTTAACAGAAGTTTAAACCCAGTTCTGCCACAACCCAGGTTAGGTTCCTACCTCCTTCATCTCAGAGGTGTTTCTTGGTACAACCTGACAAAGCCCCAGAGAGCCAAAGCCATAGAGTCCCATCGGTGTTCAGCCGAGCAAGAGGCAAGGGGGCAGGTGCTAACCCCAAAAAGGAGGTTTACACATAAAGTCAGGACCAACTCAAGTTAAAGCAAGGGTAGGGTGTTTTTTCTTTTGATATGCATTCAAAAATCTTTGCTGAATAACAGCTAGCACGAATGAAGCACTCTGCAGCAGAATGCGCCATCCCAGGGCTTTCCACGAATGCACTCATGTAATTAGCACAGCTGGCCTATGAAGTAGGGAAGATTATAATATCAAATTCATTTATTTATCTGTTTTAGAGATGGGGTCTTGCTATATTGCCCAGGCTAGAGTGCAGTGGATATTCACAGACAGGATCATAGTGCACAGCAGCCATGAACTCCTGGGCTCAAGCAACCTTCTTGCCTCACCCTCACCCCCTTCCCACAGTTCCTCTCCCCACCTGTAGCTGGGACTACAGGTGTGTGCCACCCCATCTGGTGACGATCTCCAATTTACACGCAAGAAAACTGAGAGTAACTTTCTAAACTTACAGAGAGTAAGTGCCAGCGCGAGAATTCAAACTCAGGCAGGCTGTGTAGGAAGCTATGCTTTCTCGATTATTCTCTGCCACCTGCAGTGAGTGTAAGTGCTGAAGAGAGGGAGGTGTGAACCTGACCATCTCAGGTGGGAAGGTTTCACCTGCCAGAACTCAGGCTGAGAAGCTGAAGATGGTGGGAGATCACAGTATGACAAGCCAGCAAGGAGCCTGGCCCCTCCACTCTGTCTCAGTCTGTTAGTGCTGCTATAGTAAAATACCTGAGTCTGAGTAACTTATAAATAATAGAAATTTATTTCTCACAGCCCTGTTGGCTGGAAAGCCCAAAATCAAAGCACGGGGAGGTTCAGTCTCTGCCTCCAAGATAGAGCCTTTCGCTCGCTGTCCTCACATGGTGGAAGGGATGCAAGAACAAAAAGGGTTCAAACTCACTGTCTCCATCCCCTTTATAAGGGTCCTAATCCCATCCATGAGGGAAGTGGAGCCCTTGTGGCCTAATCATCTCCTAAAAGCCAAACTTTTTAATACTGTTAAATTGGGGATTAAGTTTCAACATGAATTTTGGAGGAGACACAAACAATTAAACTGCATTAACTCCCTTATGCTACTGATGAGGAACTTCGTATGCACTGCAGCAGGGGAGAACATCTAGAGAAGAGAAGAGGGCTTAGTGTCTCAGACCAGAGCTCTCCCACAGGGGAGTGGGCTCAGGGGGGAAGGCAGAAGACAGGGCAAGAATGTGAAGTTTCTAAAATGGCCAACACAAAAGAAGATGAAACCTAAAATATGGCCTTCATTCCTTCTTCAGAGGCCATAAGAAATGAATACTAGAGCTCCAAGAGCAAAATGAGAGTCAGAAGTTTATGGGGAAGGAAACCTTGCCTGGGTTAGCCAGGGAGGAGCAGAACCAGGCTGGGGGTGAGTGCAGCTTTGACCTTAGTCTGCCCACTCATGGTGTGGTCCTGGGCCAGAAAGGCAGCTACTCTGATCCCCACACTTGCCCTTATCTGTAACATAAGGGGAAATAAGCTGACTCTATCCCATATAATCCTTTGCTGCACTGAAGGGAGACATCTGCTTTGCTCTTGCTAATTTAGTGTGGGAAGCCTGGCTCACTCTTGGATGTAGATAACTATTCTGCTGGCTGGCAGGCAGGCTGGGGAGCTGGGGCTCAGTCGTATCCCTCCCTGGCTAGCATTCCATCACTCAGCACCCCACCCTCCCCAGGCAGGGTTCAGTGGGCCAGGCACACTACATGCAGAAGCTTGAGGCACAGAGGAGGAGAAAGGGCAGGACTCTGGTCTCAGAGCGTGATGGTGCAAACTTGCTCACACGGGCGCGTGGCTGTAGTTTCCCAGAATAGAAAGATGCTGCTCAGAGCCCTCTGAGCCAGCTGTGCCCATAGAGGAGCCAAAAGGATTGAGAAGTATTCAAAGGAGATGTTCCATGCTGGGAGCCGGGGGTGGAGGAAAACAGGTCTATCACGGATGGACACGGTGCCTGGGACTGCCATCCTCACCCAGGCAGGCACTCCACAAAGCAGGGAGCAGAGCCTCGTGATGCCAGCAGTAACTGGCCCTGGGTACGGTGCCTTTCCAGCTGGAAAGCACAGTAAGCACACAAGCTTCATAACAAGTGTGTACTCTTGCGTAGGCCCACCCCACGACTCCCTGTCTTCTATTCAGATGTAGCAATGGCTGCCTTACAATTCCACTGGACCTTCTCTTCACACTCCCCAGGAAAAGCACATGGGCCTCAGTACCTGTCCCCAGCAGAATGATGGAGAAGGAAGTGTTTATTTTTCCTCTCTGAATGCCCAACTCATTCTCCACTCTTGCTTCTGCTCCCAGGACCCAGGCAACTATTGGTTCTTGGGTTCCCATTTAGGTGTTTCTCACCTGGGTCAAGGCATATACCTAATGGGAATTTGAATTTTTCCAGGGACTTTCAAAGACTTAAAAGGTAAGCCAGCTTGACAAAAGCCTAACACAAATTAGCTTAAGTCAGAGGAGCACTCATTGGCTCTCCTACCTAGGAGTTCAGGGATAGGTGGATCTAGGAGCTCAAACAACATTGTCTGGACTCCATTTCTTTCTGTATTTGTTCTATTTCCTGCTGGGTATTGATGTCATTATTTGTTACTGTGGATAGGATTCTGCCATAAAGCTAGGAAAGATGACTGTGGTGAACTCTGGGCTTACATGGTCCCTACTTGGGAAGCCCATTAGAAAGAGAGCTTCTCTTTCCTAATTTCTGAGAAAGATTCTGATTGGACCTGCCTGGGACATGTGCACTGAACCCATCACTGTGTCTAGAGAAATGGGGAACTTCTGTTGGCCAGGCCTAGGTCAAATATCCGGGTTATTGCCTGGGGTGGGGGATGGGCAGGTTCCGATTCTAGAAAAATGGGTTGGGGAGAGATATTCAGCAGGCAAAGTGCTAGCTGTCACAGTTTACCATAAAGGTGTTTACTATCTTGTGGGACCAGAGTAGGAGAGAGATTTGGGGCAGGGGTAGGGTCCCTTCCCACCTATTCCACTAACGTAGCAGGAAGATCCTGGCTCTTCCTGGACTGGCAGAGCTTGGAGCTGTACAACCATCCACCTTTTTTTCCAGCTCAGGCAAGTCCCCCCACCACCCAGGTTCCTTTTGCTCCTCATTGCTTGTTGTGGCCACTTTCTCATGCTCCCTCCTCCAGCCAGTGCCTGCCTGTAACTCCAACCTTCCTGTCTCTGTGGCAGGCAGCTGGCTCTCCAGAACTTTTCCCAGACATCATCCCTATGGTGCAGTGAGGTCACCAAGTCCTGCTGAGTCAGGCTGGGACAGAACCCAGCTCAGCCCTGGCTTTAGGGATACAGGGCCTTCTCTAGCTCCTTGTGAGGGTAGGCATTTTAATTACACTATCCTCATGGTCATCTTTTTATTTTTGTCTTTTAAAACAATTAACCCAGTACTTAGCAGCTTATTCACTGCCATTTTTAAGAAGTCCCTCCTCCACTTCCCAGAAAAGAAGCCCCAAGTCTTGCAATAGTCCTTTCTAAGTAAACCTCTTAGCCATTAGTCCAGCACAACCCCACATTATCTCACTTGGAAGGGAGTAAACAAGTCATCTACTGAAACCACCCAGCTAATGCTTGAATGCCCCCACAATGTCCTAACAAGTGGCTGTCCTTCCTGAGTTAGGCTACTTTTAGGAAGTGCCCATTAGGCAAGTCTGACTACTGTCGGCAACGCCTGCTCTCTGCTCTTCACTCTCTTTGTGGGCCTTGTGAGTATCACATTGTGCCTAGACCCCTATTTTAAAAGTCTGGGAGTTCCCCGGGCAGCTTCCCTAGGATGGTGTGAACATTTGACTCCTGATTGTCTGTATGGTAGGTGCTGGGAAAGCGTTAGTTCCCAGCCATTGCAGAGGCTCCCCTAGTCCACACATGGTCAGGTGCCGTGCATGGGAATGCGTGCAGGGCTCCATGGGAAACTCTGGGACACTGTCCACTCTTGAACTCCCTCCCCCAGTGCTGGGGTTCTCTGGTAGGGCTGAACTGCTTCATTGCTTTAGGGAAGCCATTTATTTCCTGGGTCTCTGTGCCTAACACTCCTGAGCCAACTGCCTACAGAATGTGGTGGTGAATGCTCTTGTAAGGAGATGTGGAGGCACACAGTTGGCAGCTCATAGCAGGGCTCTTTTTCCCAGTGGTGGGTAGAGTCATGTGTAAAGACTGCATGGGGTACTCAGCCTTCTCACCTTCGCTATGGGGAAAATATTTGGGGTAAGAAAGAGAAAAGAGAAAATTACCCCCCAGATAGTGTCTCCACCTGGAAGAACCTTTAGTCTATCCATTCCATTTTCTCTCTTAACCTAGCAGACTTAGTTGGAAGCCCATCTGTCTCTCTCTTTCTTTCTCTCTCCCTCTGTCTTTCTCTCTGTCTCTCTTCCCCCCTCCCCCAGCTCTATCTCTCCTTCCCTCTCTCCATCTCTTTTTTCCAACACCCTCCCTCTCCCAGGTTCAGTCTGGGAGTGGGAATGGACCGAGACCCACAGTGCTAGATGCTTCCTAAATGAAAACCTTGTTCTGGCCCCCAAGAAGTTTGTATCCTCATAGGATGAAAGGGCAATAATTTATAATCCTACATAGCTACAGCCAGGTGAACACAGGCTTGCAAGTCAGAAATTGTGTAGGAAGGATGAGTGGGAAATAGGAAGACTTACTCCCAAAACATTACCTGGATAGGACAGGCTTTGGGGGTGTTGATTAATCATCTAGATAGTGTCCACTGCTCCTCTTTCCCCTTCTTCTTGGCCAGAGCTCTGAGGTCATCACAGGTCTTATCTGGTGTTTACACCAAACTTTCTGTCTTTCTATGCTCATGGAAACAGTGGCAAGATGGGGGCCTAGGTTAGTCTAGGAATTGAGGGCTCCCTTGGCTATTCTGTACTTGCCATATCTCAAAGCTGGATCCTAGGTTCCCTTCCCTTTTCTGTCAAAAAGCCACAGTTGCACTTCCTGAGTCCCTATGTCCAGACCTCAAGTACTGGAAGGGTTGATCCAAGAGCTTTCTGGAATGCTGGTCATGGTATGGATTTTCCTTGTGAAATTCCACCATGGTATTTCACCACATAGTGGCTCCTGATTCCCTGGAGATAGCTGGGTGCCTAAGGAGATGCTCGGTTTGGTGGAGGAGAGCTTGGGGGCTGGAGTGCTAGGTAGAAAACAAAAATTCGGGGGCTGGCTGGACAGGTGGCTCATGCCTGTAATCCCAGCATTTTGGGAGGCTGAGGCAGGTGGATCACCTGTGGTCAGGAGTTCAAGTCTGGCCTGGCCATAATGGTGAAACCCCATCTCTATTAAAAATATCAAAATTAGCTGGGAGTGGTGGTGCATGCCTGTAATTTCAGCTACTTGGGAGGCTGAGGCAAGAAAATAATATCTTGAACCTGGGAGGCAAAGGTTGCAGTGAGCCGAGATCGCGCCACTGCACTGCAGCCTGGGTGACAGAATGAGTGAGACTCCATCTCAAACAAACAAACAAACAAACAAACAAACAAAAGATCCAGGGGCCAATGATTACCAGCTTCCAAAGAGGAATGGTGATTGAGGGGTCTTGTCATTAGAAGTAGATCAGAAGCCAAGAAACCAGTAACTGATCCAAAGAACAAGTAACTGATCTCAGTCCCAATATCATCTTCAACTACATATTTGGTTATTGTTATGAGCCAATCAGTAAGTATTTTCAGGCTATTTTCTGGGTATCAAGCACTTCAGCTACAAGGACTAAAGAAGAAATATAAAACTTGATCCAGAGGTCAAGGAAATAGGGTTGAGATTCTGCCCTCAGTCTTCTTTGTTTTCTCTCCTGTTGGTGGTCTCCATCCAGCAACTATTATGTCCATGTAAATGGGCTCCAGATCTAAATCACCAATCCAGATCTCTCATCTGAGCTCCAGAACTCCAGCCACTGCCAGGACAGCTCTATTATAGTATATAAGCTCACTCTCCCAAAGCCTGACATATCCAAAATCAAATTCATCCATCAATCTCACTTCTCTTCTACTCTTCCCAAACCCATCCATATTCCAAAGCTTCACATCTTTCTGTCTACAATGATCTTCTTTCTACTCTCCCTCTAATCAGTGTCTCACTATTCATTAAGAAAACTCGGATCTCATGTTTCTATTTATAAAATGTCTAGGTGCAATGGAGCAGTCTCCTGAACCTACATTCTTTACGGTCCAGATGAATGGCCACTTCCCAGGTGAAGTCTCCCATAACCCCTCCTAGGCAGAAGGACCTTTCCTTCCTCTGGGCTCCCAGAGCACTTAATCTGAAACCTTCTTTTAGCCGTTTCTACATTCATCTTCATTTCAAATCCAAGTCTCTGATGTCTCCGTACTTCTGAAATATTCCTACTTCCCAATACATTTAATAATTGTACATCCACCAGAAAAAAAATACTAGCACCCTAAATTTCCCCTTTTTTTGAACTGACTAGTGCCTTTTTTATGGGTTTCTCATCTAATAGTAACAGATCATACTTCCAGCTTCCTGGTAGATGCTACACCCTCACTCGGTTATGTTAGCTTCTATGTTATTGAAACACTCTATTAAATGGTGTGGGCACTTCTAAGTGATGAGAGAAGATATCATCATGCTTCACAAAGGGGATGACTTTAGAGTCAAATAGATGTGCATTTGATTTGGGTTCTATACTTATTAGATGTGTGAACTTGAGCAAGCCACTTAACTTTTATGAGCCTCAGATTCCCCATTTGTCAGTGGAAGGGTAATACTTTCTTTGAAAGTTTCCTACTATGCTCTTTCCCCTTTCCCTCCTCCATGAGTTTGCACATGCTATGCCTTCAGCTTAATTCTCTCACCCACTTTTTGCTGGGAAGACTTCTGATTATTCAGGCCTCAGCTTAGATGCTGCATACCTTAGGAATTCCCCTAGCCCTCAAAGATCAAGTTAGTTGTGTTTTCCATGTGCTCACTGCCCAAATTCTTGGCACTTAGTCCTTGAATTGTAATCATTTGTGTCTTGCTCTTTCTTTCCCCCTTTGAGGAACTGGTAACTCTGTTGAGGACAGGGACCATGATTTGTTAATTGTCACCTACCATCTTTGTCCTACTTCATCCACTTTTCACCCAAAAAAAAAAAAAAAGCCAGAAAAAGTAAGCCACCTCAGCTAAGGAATTCATAATTCTGAGATTCTGAAGAAAATGTCAATTTCTCACTGAGCGTTTATTACCTGAATGCATTACAACGTTTCAGCTCTTCAAATTGCTGGCTCCGTTCTTGCACTGTGTTAGGCAGTGGGCAATAATTTGCTTTTGGTACAGAAATTGAGTGATGTGTCTTCTGAACTGATGTTAAAACCCAATAGTTTCCAATTTTATAAGATTTAAAGCCAGTTTTGTATATGTGAAACTACCCAAATCACCAAGAGAATTAATTTTCTTAGGAGATTCTCATCGGTAATAGCAATTTCCACAGTTTGTTTGGCACCCCTAGTGGTAAATATTTTATTTTAAAAACTCAGCCACATATAAATTTATTGTAACAATCTAGGCACTTTGTCATAAATAAAAGCAATGATAACTGTGGTGCTATCTTCTATTTACTTCAAATGTCACTCCTGAAGTGTACATTTATAGAACATGGTAATTCAATGAGGAAGCTCCAGGGTCAGATGGCTCAGGTTCCATTACCATCCCTGACACTCACTAGTTGTGTGATCTTTGGAAAGTTATTTCATTCCTCTGTTACTCAGTTCCCAGTCTATAGAGTAGCAATAATAGCCTCTGCATTATAGAGTTATTGTATGGCTTAAATGAGCTAATACATGTAAGGGCTTATAACAGTGCCTAGCACCTGGTATAAACACTCTATAAATGTTAGCTATTGTTATTTGCCAGGAGTGAATCAAATATAAGAAGAGTGTTTGTATAAGATTACCTTTAAATTCCCTGCCAATCCTGAGGTTCTATGTTTCTATATCATTCCAGTCCCTTAGCATTCCTATTCAGTAGGGAGGGGGCAGCATTATCCACATTTTACAAACAGTAAAATTGAGCCATAGAGAAGCAAAATGTCCAGTAAGCAAGTGGCAGTCTGAAACCAGGACTCAGATTTTTAGATGTAAGTATTAGGACTCTTTCCGGGAGGCTGTGTGGCTGTACATTTAAAAGAGAATGTTAGATATCCCTTATGAGCCTATGAGCAGTGACCCCTTGATGCCCCTTCTCTGCCAAGGTTCTCCATAAATGTGCATCAAGGTCACTTCTGTCTCTACTTCTGAGATGATCTCAGGCCATATCTTTTCAGATATTTTTCTTACTAGCTTTACAAAAAAGCTATATTGTGGAGTTGGATGAAGGGCCAGCTCCCTGTATCCTCTGCCTCTTTAGGCATTCCCATGCCTGGGTTGTGCTACGTATACACATACTTCACCTGGCTGCAGACGCTGACTTTTTGGAGGGTTCCTTCTGCTGAGCCCGGACCTCAAACCACTTGAGAACCCCACAACTGACCTTATTCCAAAACATTCTATCCCAACCCATTCCACCCTGGATTTCTCCTTCAATCATGGGCAAAGGATCTGCAAAAGCTTCCATCCTCTCCCTTTCTCTTCTTATCTGGGTTGGTCAGAGGGAAGCCTCTATCTTCTTCAGGACCCTGCCTATGCAGAGGCAGCTCCAAGAGTTGGGTGCGGGGAGTATTTCTGTGCCTGAATCTGGACTGTTCAAGAGGATTTAGGATGCTTTTCTTTTCTGTCCACTAGGGGGCTGCTTGTAGGGGGATGGAAAAAACGGAGGCTTAAAAAAATCATGCTGCTGAAATTTCAGCAAGAGGGGAAAAGAGAGAGCGCGTGAGAGAGAGAGAGAGAGAGAGAGAGAGAGAGAGAGAGAGAGAGAGACAGCAAAGCAGTCCCAGGCTTCCTCCTCTCTTTCACGTCAGAGGCAGGAACCGACTGTGCTAAGGCTGTTGGCTCAACACCCAGAGGAGACGGGCAGACCCAGGGAGAGTGAGAGAAGGGGGTCCTCTCTGACCCAAGGAATTACCACTAGTGGAGTGAAGCCACCTGACTTTTTGATCTTATTTTGGTTGCCTCCTCATTCTCCTTCCACCCGTAGCCCTGACAGCTTGGGTTTCATTTCTTTCGTGGAGCCTTGTCTCTTCCTCCCAGAATAGGAGGAAGGGAAGAGAAGGGAAAGAGGAGGGCTCTCTAGGTGAGCGCATCAGCTGGCTCCAGCCTGAGCAAGCAAGAATTTTCTTCCCAGGAAGCTCCTCTCGCTCCCCGGCCGCCCACCCCCAGCCTGGGTAAGTCCAGAGCACTCGCTCCTTTGATTTTCTGGCTAACGTGATTTCAGCACCAAGGAGAGCTATGAGATGCATTTTGGTTCCTGTGTATCTGTGTGTTCTGCAAGGCATTTGGCACTAGGGTTACATCTATTTCTCTGCTGCCAGTAGAGTCGGGTTCTGCGTAGGGAAAAGAAAGGCGCAAAACTATGTTTACCGAATTAAAGGGGGATTGGACTCTGGCCTTGCGGGTGTGTGTGTGTGTGTGTGTGTGTGTGTGTGTACTGTTGCATAAGACAGGTGAGGTCTGAGCTAAATTGCGGGTGGTTTCTGCGTGTCTCCATGTAAGGCTGTTCTTTTTGTCTGTAGATAAGCGAGATGGTTTGGGGAATTAGTCGTGCACCTTCTTTAACTCTCTCCCGACAAGCCATCCATGGTGGGAAAGAGTTGCAAAGGAAGCCTGGGGGGTTGGGAGTGGAGGTAGAGTTAAAAGTTACGCACCTCTGAGAGAGCTTTAAAGAGGTGCTTTGTAAAATGTCAGTTTCCTAGTATTCTCTGGGCTCTTGCTGTGGAGAGAGCCCAACCTGACCTTTTACTTTCTCTTCTGGTGTGAACCCATGGTAAGTGGGCAGGTGCAACAGGTGAAGCTCAGGCTGGGGCGGCTTTGGGGGGTTGAGGTCCCTTCTGACTTCATGGTGGTAGGAAAGTGCTAGTGTCTTGAGCTTTGCAGAGACTGGCTGGTGTGGGTTATATTACATTTGCAAGGAGGCAGGAGGTACCCTCCACTTTTATGCCATCTTTGGCTATGGGTGGTTGGAAAGAAGACAAAGTCTGTTCTGCCCTGTTTTCTGGGGCATTTGGCAGTGAAAAACAACTAAGAATAAAGGTTTGTCTCTATATGTCTAGGGTGAGCAGAAACAAAATTAGACTTGTCCCAGACTCAGGAGGGCTTGAAGTGGTACTCTGTTCTCCTCCAGCACTGAGAGGCTCTGCAAACAGGAGCTCATTATTACTTCTTTCTTCACTGCTGCTACTTTTTGCAAGGTATTACTCTGTCTCTCCTGCTTTCTGCCTCTCTGAAGTATGTTCAGTCAATTCCCTGCATCTGCTTTGGTATTGTCTTGGAGACACTATAGGCCTGCCCCTGCCCCATTCAGTCCTGGCCACACCTACCTGGTTGAGTCATTCAACAAGTGGTGTTGAGGATTTCCTTCAATCATTCAAGTCTCCGTGGAGCCAGCATCCTACAGGGAACTTGAAAGAGATGTGGCTTCTTGTAGGAGCAAGTCTTCCCTTGATTTAACCCCTAACTGTTTATGGTTCTGGTCACTTTCTTCAAGTGTGTTGAGACAGGGGAGATACATAGGCAAGGTGGGGTGGTTTCACTCTTTCCAACCCCAAATGGACCCTAGAATGGTGATTCTTTGTCTTATTTTTAATTCAGCACAATGGGCCCCTTCTCCAAGATGAAGAAAATACTCTCTGCCTCTGGCTGGGGAGCCTTCTGGGTGAGAGACACAGTTCTGAGTGAAATGGCACCACTTTTCTTTTTTACTATGCTTGGCATTGGATCCAGAAATCTTAGCATCTCCCTAGAGTGGCAGGAAGTAGAATGCATCCAGGAAGACAGTGAAGTCAGAGGTTGTAAGGGTAGGGAAGAAAGACTGAAATAGACAAATGCAGAGCATCAGAAACCAACACTGACTCATTCAGTATTTTAACATTCCAAACCTCCTGTCCTTGAAATCTTCCAGTTTGAACAAGTGAGTGGATAGATTTCTGCATGACACATCACTGAGGATTTTTAAAAAATTATGCCCTTGCAGTGGACCCTGTCCAAAACCACAGTTTATTACTGAAGTCACCATACTTAGTAGTCATTATCTCATTAATGCCCTTAAATTTTCTCTGAAAAAAAAGTGCTCAGTGACATTATTGGACCCATTTTATAAATGGAGAGACACAGACGCTTAAAGTGGGAAGCCAGAGGATAGCGAAAGCAGAAATAGAACTTCTAGCCTGCTAATATTCCCTCACCTAGGAAATGCAGTAATGCTCATGTGCAGGAGAGAAGGAATGGATTGCTCCCCATTGGATAGACTTGCAGCCAAAGCCTTTTAGGGAACTCAGTGTGGAGCAATGGCCTCTCTCTGGTGAAGAATGAGAATCAGCCAGAAGTCTCAAGGTGCTGCTGGCCTTTACTTCTCAGCTAAGAAGATGGCCAAGAGCCAGGTAAAGAGCTCTCTGGGCTTACTGCAAAGAGAGAACCCTGGGCTGGTGGCATCTAGGCTGAACTGATGTCGTGCACCTGATTGTCACATCACCATGCCCCAGAAATCCCAGCTGAAGCCACCCTATCTGGGGCATGTTGCCATGGATGTCTTGGCTTTGGGTGTTTGGTGACTGTTCTCTCTAAGAACGTTTTTCTGGGACCACCTTCATTGAGTCCTCTGTGGCTCTGAATGTGGCAAGGATGACTAAGGAGCAGGAGAGGGCTGGGCTCTGACCACCTATAGAACCACTAGAAGAGGAGTGGGAAACTGGATACAAACTCACTTTACATATAATGCCACTTCTGCAGCATTCCTGGCCATCATATCTGGCCAGCAATCTGGAGACAAAGCCACTAAGTTCTCATGCCCAACCCCCCTTCACTGTGTAGGGGAGACTGCTGGGCTGCCACCCAGGACTGGGGAGATGAGCAGTGGTGGGGAAAGATGGAAGGAGGAGGTCAGCTGTTCTGCCCTATTCTCCATGGCCATAGGTTGCCATCTTTTACCTGGAAAGCGCCATTATTACTTTTTTTTTGTTGAAAAAAATGACATATAATTTGTATATAATAAAATGCACTGATCTTAAGTATTCAGATTAAGTTTTGACAATTGTGTACACTTGTATACCCCAAAAAAGATGTATAAAAGTTCCCTGTGCTTCTTTCCAATTTCTCCCTCTCCCAACACCATCACTTTCTGACTTGTGTTTGTGCATATGTGGTATCACCATAGCTTATGCTGCTACATTTTGCAGCAGAAATGTATTGCTGAATGTATTACTTAATAGATGTGGTATGTAAACCCTAGACTTTCAAGGGAACACCTCAGAGTTCTGAGGCTATTGTTACTGGGTAAGTAGCAAAGATGTGGGAGGGGTACATTCTGCTCCCCAGCCTTGAGGTCATGGTGTTAGAAAGTCAAGTGGTCATTTCAACCGCATTTATAGAAACCAACAATCAAATGTGAACAGAAACTGTGGAAGCTCCTGCAGGCAACTGCCTCAGAGCTGACCTGAGTTATTTGATGGAGTTCATAGAGATGATTTTGAAATTTTTATTAAAAACTTAGAATTCAGTATTCCAAGTTGGTGGTTGGTCATGTCTCCCCATCTGGGCTCCAGGAGAGTGAGCTGAGGAAAGAGTACCTATGTGAGCTTAGTAAAGAAAGAAAGAGGAGAGTTCATTGTGATAGAGCTTATACCATGAAATTGAGTCCTATCCACAAAGGTCATGGCTGAGGAGGGTGCCGTTTCTCTTTATTTAAGAGTAAATTTAGAACCAGAAGCCACTTACAGAGACCCATGTACCAACATAGCTCTATGCAGGGATGTCTCCATTCACCCTGCTTCCGTCCCTGGGTTGTGGGCTGGGTGAGGTAGTACTCTTGCATTTTACCATTAAGAAGTAACGGAGTTATCAGAAGGTTTGGTAACTTTGGTGAATGTGTGTGTGTGTGCGTGCGTGTGTGTGTGTGTGCATGTGTGTGCATGTGTGGTATCAGCACACACGTACAAATATATATAACCAGTTTGGACACCTTGCCTGTCCAATTCTCTTCTACTCTGTCCCTCATTTAAGGGCCACTGGATAAAGATGGGGAATCTCGTGCACCGTTTGTACATAGGGTCTTCCACAAGGAAATCAGAGTTTCTGGCAGATTAATCAGTAAATTAGAATCTTTAGTAGAGCTTAAAATGTGTCCAGGTAGGTCACAGACCTATTTACATGTTCAGAGGTTGCTGATGTCCTCTGCCTCCTTCCATTTGGAGACCTTATTATAACACCTTCTTCCAGGGTTTTGCCTCTTTCTGGGGTCACCTGCCTTTGAGAATGCACTCAGTGCACCCAGCCAGCTCTTTTAGGGGAAGGCTCCTGAGTCACTTCTGCCAGCTGGGATCCCACAGAGTAAAGTGTTGGTTGCTAAACCACCATGTCATGGAAAGTTAGAAGACAGCCAAAGTGAGGACTCCCTAATACAGAAATACAAAGTTGAACGATGCCCACAAGCCAATTCCAGTAGATGATTCGGCAGAAGCGCAGAGATACACTTTTGCCTCATTTTGATGATGTGCTATGCTAATAAAGATGAGATTTCCTACCTAACTAGAGTTTCATCTCCTTAAGAGACAGTCCAGTGGGGAAGGTGGAATTGGAATGGGATTGTTCAAAAGCTATTTCCCATCATATATAAGAACCACTATACTTAGCCTTGGAAACGTGACTTTGAATTACGACTGTATTGGTAAATTTTGAACACAGCAAGCTGATAATATGCCAATTGGCAAAGGGAATTCAAGCAACCTTGTTTTTTTCTCTTTCCCTCCTTTTTAAAAATATAGTTCAATGGCACTAAGTACATTTACATTGTATGCAACCATCATCACCATCATCCATTTTCCGAACTTTCTCATTTTTCCAAATTGAAACTCTGTACACAGTAAACGCTAATTCTCCATTTCCTCCTCCCCCAGCCCTTGGCAACTTCTTCCTGTCTCTATGAACCTGACTATCCTAGGTACTACATGTAAGTGAAATCATACAATATTTGTCCTTTCGTAGCCAGTTCATTTTATTTAGCATAATGTCCTCAAGGTTCAACCATGCTATAGCATGTGTCAGAACTTCCTTCCTTTTTATGGCTGAATAATATTCCACTGTATGTATGTACCACATTTTGTTTATTCATCCATCCATTAATGGACGCTTGCATTGTTTCCTATTCCCCTCCTTTAATTCTTGCCAATTGCCTCTGCTTTACTCTCCAATCAAGTAAGAAAAGGAAACTTTCTTGTCATGACACTCCCATGAGTTAAAATTGTACACTTTCCCTATGACGTTCAAGCAGGTGGCTTCTTGGAGGCAAACGGAGGAGGATACTTGGGGCTGGTGCACATGAATGAATCAGATTTATCTTCTATATTCAGACTCTCATTGCTAATCTGTACAACAGCCAAAGTTTAAGTGAGCATGGATGCTAAACAAAGTGCCCCAATCTTATGCCAGAGAGGTACTAGCAGGCAGGAAGAGGTGCAGCCCTCACCCTTGGGGAGCACGTCTCTGGGTTATGTATTACAAGGTGAAACTTCATAATGGGGGAAGGAGTTCTGGGGTCAGGGACAAATGAGCCAACAGACCCATTAGTTTATTGAAGGGTTCCAGCCTGGTCTCCTCGGGACCCCTATCCTAGAGCAGGGCACTGCCAAGGGCACCCCAACTTGGCTTCTATAATAACATCTCATGCTGTGGCTGTAAATGACTCAATAAAGGTTTATTACCAGGACCCAGGAGGAAGTTGTGGTTATTTAAATCTGGATGTGTCCTCCTCAAACTGCATGGTATGAGGAAAGACAAAGGGGGAAGTCTGGAACATTGGTCCTAGGACATTATCAACCCAGGGTGGCTAACATCTGACAAAAGCTTGGCAACATCTCTGGGCTGGAATTTGGTCTTTGACCCTAGTCCACCTAAAAATTCACATTCCTGGGCCCTGGAAGCTTGGGTCTTTCTATGGCTTAATGATAAAGCTAGTCAACACTTACTGAGTGCTTACTATAAACTTTGGCCAAGTGTTTGGCACAGAGAATGCCCTTAATAAATGTTTTCTGTCATGACTATTAATGAACATTTTGAATACTTTACATCATTTAGTGAGTAAAACATTTTGATATATACTATTGTCCCCGTTTTACAGGTGAAAAAACTGAGGCATAGTGATGCTAAATGACTTTCTTCTGGGTTGAACAGAACCAACAGAAAATCAGAAAGTTTTTATAAAGCGCTCACATTTTATAAAACCAAGCTCTTGAGGGGTTCAGAGAGGCTAACGTGCTTGCCCAAGGCCACACAGCTAGTAGGTGGCAGGGCTGGTTTTCAACCAAATCTGTTTGGAACAGAGCCTACTTTGTGTTGTTGTTGTTGTTATTTTTGTTTTTCTTTTTGCTTTGCTTTGTTTTTGAGATGGGATCTCACTCTGTTACTCAGGCTGGAGTGCAGTGGTGTGATCATGGCTCACCATAGACTCTACCTCCTGGACTCAAGCCATCCCTCCACCTCAGCCCCCTGAGGATCTGGGACTACAGGCATGTACCTACATGCCCAGCTAATTTTTTGATCTTTTTTTTTTGTAGAGATGGAGGTCTTGATATATTGCCCAGGCTGGTCTTGAATTCCTGGCTTTAAGTGATCCTCCCACCTTGGCCTCCCAAAGTATTGGGATTATAAGCAGAAGCACCTGGACAGAGACTAAGTTCTTCCACTCTCTCTGCTGCTTGTATCTTAGTCATCCCTGCTCTGGGCCACATGTACACAGAACCCATGGGGCAAAGGCATCAAGAAGCAAGACCTGGGGAGTTATTAACAGGAAACTGGACTTCAAATTCCTACACATCCCCTCTTTCCCTCACCCTCCCTCACCCCCGAAAAGCCTATAGAGATCATCACATCTTTTTTTTTTTGAGATAGAGTCTTGTTCTGTCGTCCAGGCTGGAGTGCAGTGGCGCAATCTCGGCTCACTGCAAACTCTGCCTCCCGGGTTCACGCCATTCTCTTGCCTCAGCCTCCCAAGTAGCTGGGACTACAGGCACCGGCCACCACGCCCCACTAATTTTTTGTATTTTTAGTAGAGATGAGGTTTCACCATGTTAGCCAGGATGGTCTCGATATCCTGACCTCGTGATCCACCCGCCTTGGCCTCCCAAAGTGCTGGGATTACAGGCGTGAGCCACCACGCCCGGCCCACCACATCTTCCTTAAGTTTTTTTTGTGAGAATTAAATGAGGCATGAGTACAAAGTCCCTGGGACAGTGTCTGTCATGGAACATGTCCTCTAGCCCAGATTGTGCCACTTGCTATTTAATATGGCCTGGGGACTGGGTGCAGCTTGGGGTACTTGGTGTTTCAACAAGCTAGCAATTATTGGGTTGACCCGAATTTTATATGCTCCTCAAGTGCTAATGGGTTGGGTTGGCCCTTGTTTTACATCACCTTGATTTTAGAAGCATGTGTTGGCTATTTTTTCTCCTACTCTTTTAGTACCAAGAGCCAATCTGATATTTTTAAATACCTGAAAGATGCCTCTTCCCAATTAATTACCTTGAAATTGTACTAGACTGAAATTAATTTGAGCCTTAAGGAGGGTTTCCGAGCCCTATTCTGCAGTCAGCCAGAGACCATGAACACTTGGGTTTCCTTTTTTCTACCTTCCCCTCCCTCCAGGTTCTTCTACCATTCTGAATTTTATTTATGAAACATTTTCCCTTCCTTTATAATTTTGTTTTCCATAAGAAGAACATCTAACAACCACCTCCTGGCTGGGCTAGAGTAATTGTTTGAATTTTTTGACATTGTGCAATTTCAAAGGCTTGAGTTTATATAGATTACTTTGAATTTATCTCCACAAGTGCATCGGGACAGAAGCTGCTGCCTGCTTCGTGAAGTATTGTAAGGCTTGTGGCCACTGAGTGCTGGCGTTTGTGTGGATAGCCTGTTTATCTAAATGGATTTCTGTAAAACATATACCCTAATAAGCCAGATTTTGCCAGCTTGTCCTGTGTAAGTACCTCATGATGTCCCCTGTGAATTTGTCAATACCAAGGTCAGCTGTGGTGGCTGGGCCCAGGGACAGGTGTGGAGAGCAGATCAGCTGACAGTCACGGTGCCCTCTTTCCCTCCTCCCAACTGGCCAGCTGTGAGCCAGGGGTGACAGGGCACAGGCAGACAGAGGAGAGGGCAGCGCCAGGGCTGGAGAGCCCATGTCTATCCAGGTGCTGGGAGGAGAGATGTCCAGCTGGGCAGACAGACAGGGCCCTGAACACCAGATGAAAGCCCTGCAAATGGCTGTGTTGAAAAGGGCAGAGGCCAGAGCCACCTATAAAGGGACTGTCTCCTCACGGTGACCCAGTCTGTGCCACAGAGAGATGGAACTTATAAGGCAAGCTGTAAAGCCTCCCATTCAAAGCCGTATATATTTATAGAGATATAAATGAAGTTTAATGCTGGTGAAACTCACTATAAAAGCAAAATACTTCATCTGTATCTACACTTCAGGTGCAGATCAATACAGGGCTTCCTGTCTTTCTGCAAATGAGAGCTGTCTGTGAGCACGTGTGCCCACTCGCTCACACGCAGCCCAGCTGCCTTGCTCTGGAGCCAGCCATGGGGTGGGAGGGACAGAGGTCTTTTGAGCATCTGCAAGTGAGGCGCCCAGCAATGATGCACTCCCCTTTTCTGCGAGGGCTGTTTAAAAACAGGAAGAAAAAAGAGAAAAAGGGAAAAGCACTGCCAAAACCAAGCGGCTTCAAACAGTCAGAAGCCTGGCTTTAAATAAAACAATTTGAGGCAGGTCAGCTTTTCATCTACCTTGGAAGCTGCCAGGTTCCTGCTCCTCAGAGCTCCAGATGGGATGTGACTGCAAAGCCCACCTGACCAGCTCCACCCTCTAAGTGTCTCCGCTGACCTTGCATCCCCTGCTGCCCATGCTGGCCAGGCAGAAACAGTCGATGAAACTCTGCCCAACAAGAGTTTGAATCTTGGCTCTGCCACTTACTAGCTGTGGAGACGTGGGGAAATCCATTGACTTCTCTGATCCTCAGTTTCCTCACCCATCAAATGGGGTAAATAGCTCCTACCTCTCAGAATAGCCATGTCTTTTAAATGAGATGTCATTTTCTACAAAAAGACTTACAACAGCCCTTAGCACATACAGATTCTGCAATTAATAGAGAACTCATTTTTTGGGAATTTCAGGCAGGAAGGGTGTATTTTGAGGCTGGAGATCAGGGGCACAAGGTTGCCCTCATCTATGTCAATATATGTTGACATACATTCTCCCCATGGAGTGGGGAGGCCCTATTTGGCCTGAGGCTGGCTGCAGGAACAAGACATTGCATTCTTGAGACAGGCAGTGGCCTTGAGCCCTGTTCCCTTCTCATACTGTCACCAGCAATCCCTGGCTGCAAGGCCTCTGAGCTCAAGGGAAGGTTGGCTGACCAAATAAGATAGCTCTTATCTCCATGAAGTTGCCCTTGGTGGGCCTGGCTATGTCCTCATAACTGACTCCCTCACAAGGCAAGAAGCAGGAGTGTAGCTCACCAGGGCATGGTTTCCCTGGGAAGTGTGTCTTGGGTGACTAGGGATGCCCTTCCAGACTGGACCCTCGAGAGGCCAGCAAATCATGCCAAGGGCTTAAGTTTCATTGTGGGCCACCCTCCAACCAGGAGCGGGGCCAGGTGAGATGTTCTGGAGGGGAGGAAAGCATGCTGTTGATCCAGACCCTGATCTGTTCCGAGTAGGGTGTGGGGAGGAGACCACTATCAGTCAATCTCTCATTAAAAATGGTCTGAGGCACTGTGCCTGAGTTATTAAAATGCAAAGCAAGAGTGTGCCATGCCCTCCCCTCTACCCCTACCCCTTTTTTTCGTTTGTGTTTTGTCAGCTTAATTTAGTGAGAATGAGAAACTCAGGCAGCCATTCTTGGAGACTGGGAGGGAAAGGGATGAAAGCCCCCAAGAGGGCCTGGGGTGACTTCTCCGGCCGTGTCTTCACTCTGACCCAACAGAGCCCTCCCAAGCAGCATCCTTCTTTGTGGCTGAAGGCCCAGGAGACAGTGAGAAGTGCAGAGACCTGTCTCTCTCTCTGCACTCACCCTGTTCCACTGCTTTCGCTATTTCTTATGGGAGGGGGGTCCTGTGGGCCTCTGGCAACCACAACTGACATTCACTAACTCTGTGACAGTGGGAAATCTGGGAAGGGACCCGGTTCCCACTCCTTGAAATGTTTTGACCTTTTCATTTTAAGTTCTTAAGGTCAAATATTGCTAAAGAGATTATTTGCCAGTGGCAAAAGCCTGCGAGAGGGAAAATAGCATTTTTACTTCTAACGTTTTGCATCTCACTCCAGAGCCAGGCTCAGCAACTGGCCTGACCAAGGCCTGCCAGTGATGAAGGAGGCACTGTGGCAAATGGTTACCTGAGATCTGATTTGGGGATGTTTAGGATCTCCTGGATTTAGAAATCACCAACTGGGTCCCAAAATAGCTCCACCTCTATTTTCAGTAGCAAAATAATCGCTAACATCTACATGACAAAAACTATTTTCAGGCAATGATCTAAGTACTTCATGTATAGAAACTAACTGATCTCAACAATCCCTTTTGGAATGAGGTGCTGTTATTAACCCCTTTTCACAGGTGAGGAAACCAAGACACAAAGTTTACAAAACCTGCCTGAAGACACGTGACAAATGGCAGAGCCAGAATTTGAACCCAGGGATTCTGTGTACCTAATGACTATGCTGTCTCTGAGCATCACTCAGAAACCTTCCAGGTTCCCCACTGCCAGAGAATGACACAAGGAGCTGGAGAATGACAGTCCTTATAAGCTTGGTTTGAACCACAAAGGTCAGGTTCAAAGTAAGACCAGAGCAGTCACTATTTCTCTCTGGAGCTTGGTTCTGCCAGTCCTACCCCCTTCCTTGGGGAGTCATTCTGGTTTTTAAACAAAGCCCCATCTAACTCTCTCAAGATGAGAAAAGAATCCAGGTCCAAAGCAAGTGAGTTTTCTTAAATGGGTTTTCCTTCATCCAGTCTCACAAGGTAGTGTCAATTCTCATCTATCCACAAAAGCCTCATTCACTTTGTGGCTTATTCACTTTGGGGATTATCTGGGCCAAAGCTGTAACTACTCATCCACTTGTGGGCCACTTCTTTTAACTCTGATCTGCCATCACAAAAAATGAAATTTCTAAAATGGATTCTGAAATGATGGTCCAGCTGGGCAGGAATATGGAAGGCAGATACAGCCAAGCCCAATTTATTCCTGTGGAGGTTTCTTGTTGAGCTGTGAGGCCATAAATTGAACCCTAATGGTAGCCAGAGCCTCCAGAAGATTCAAGGGGAGGCAGGGAGTGCTGGTGGGGATATGGGGCAATGCAGGGGCAGCCCAGGCACATTCCTGCTCTGGAGTCAGAGATGGAGATGACAGCAGGGTGTCAGCAGAAGAAGCAGGTGGAATGTTCAGCACTTTATAGCCACCCACAACATGCCAGACACAGCAGCAAACCATGCCAAGAGGCAGATTCCTACCAGAGGAGATGCACTGGGGTCTGGGCAGGCCTGAGAACCCCAGTGCAGGCTGGGTTAGAAGCTAGGGTTTAGCTTTTGCATCAGATGCTGAGCGGAAACAGTTGGTGGGGAGGCACATCACAGCTCTGGGTAAGGTGATTCAGAGCTGAGAACCCATGCCAGTCTTGGAACAACTACCCACAGGCAGCAGGATGCAGGGTAAGCGTGAGATCTGGGAACAGTGAACTTGAACCAGAATCTTGGCTCTGCCCGCCGTGCCTCCTTAATGAAATCATTGAGCCTCTCTGAGCCTTCATTTTCTAGTCTTTAACATGGGAATAATAATTACTGTCCATAATTTTGTGAAAATTGAATAAGGCAACATATATAGGACTCCGGGCACTTAATAGGTACTCTGAAAATGTTTATTCCCCCAGTAGAAAGAATAATTTCCTGCATTTTGTTTGTGCTTTATACTTTTCATAGTTATATACTATATTTGATCTGCACAACCATTGGTGAAGGTAAGCAAAATAATTGCTATTGATTACTGCCAATTTATAGATGGTAGAATTACTATAGAGTTTCAGTGACTTGCCCAAGATAGCACAGGGCAACAGTGACAGAATTGAGATCGCAACCATACTAACTCGCACTTTTCAGTTGAACCATTTATGGTTCCTTTTGTTGTCCTGTAATTGGGCTGGTGATTGAAATCACGAAGGTCAAGAAGACCCACTGTTCCAATGGCCAGAAGACAGAACCAGCTTCATGGGCTCTGCAGTATCTCTGTGGATACTGGGCAGGGCCTGGGGTGTCATTTAGAGACTTTGGCACCAGGCCTCTCAGGTCCTCTTATTACTACAATATGTTCTGAGGTAGCTTCCTTAGTAGCTTAGTGCTGAATGCTATAGAGGCCAAGCTTCCTTTAAGTCAAATAGCCTTGGCTTTCTGCCCCCGGACAGACATCTTGGGAACCTGAGTCACCCAGCATGTCCACTGCAAAGGAAGCAGCTTCTACCTCATTCCTCCACTAACCACAGAAGACAAAGCCTGTGTGTGCAGCAGGTCAGTAGCCTCAAATGTTAGCTCCACAGAGAAGCCCACCATAGTACTCTTATCTAAAATAGCTCTCCTTGTCACCACTCTCCCACTTTATTTTTGTTTATCACATTTATCACCAGCCAACATAGTATATATGTATGTTATTTCTTCCTTATTGTCCGTTCCCTCCCAATAGAATATAAACCTGGTGAGAATAAAGACATTCTCTGTCTTATTCACACTTACATTCCCAGCCTGGAATTCTGTTGGCATTCAGTAAATATTGGTTGAGTGAATGAACAAATGGGTTTTCATCCAGTGTTCTCTATTTCAACAAGCTGTTATTAAAGATCTACTCTCTGCCAGTCATTTCATTAAAGACTGGATGTGAAGTTGAGTGACAGATGGTTCCCTGTCTTTGAGGATCTCCCAATCTGGTTGGAGTAGAGGGGGAGTCACAAAGATAACTTCCTAGCATTGTGCTAATGTCTAGGAACCAGCTGTGTCAGGTAGGAGTGGAGTCAAGGGAAGGGTGACTCATTCTGCTCAGGGTATCTTATTAAGTTCCACAAAGGAGATGGCAGGTGGGTTGCAGGTTAAGTGTGCGTAGGGCTTTGCCAACCCAGAAGGGGCACTCCCGGTAGAAAGAACAGCATATGCAAAGGCTCGGGGTCCTAGAAAAGGCATATTGGAAGGTAACCGAGAAACGTGATGTGGCTGGAACAGAGAAGCATTGGGCCTTCATGCAGGCGGTAGTGAGAATGGTGAGAGATGATACTGAAAAAGGAGACTGGAATTTGGTCTTCCTTTCAGGATACTCATGGGGAGAATTACCAGCTGCTCAGAGTACCTTAGGCATGAGATCTTAAGCTATGTTGTAGGATGCAAGCTTGTTGCCTCTTTCATCAGAGAATTACAGGAGCAGCTTAACTAAATTTTATTGACGATTGAGATGCTCTTTTATATTAGTCACACTTTTTATGCAAGATCTCCAAGTCCGAGAGTGATGGAGGGACTTGGGGTGAGCAGATGGGACCCACATAGCTGCCAGATTCCCCATCTTCAGTAGAATTCCAGGGGATGCTGTGCTCTTCTTGTTTTAACAACCTAAGGCCAGTTCCCAGCCACCCATGCTGATTCATTCATTCTAGATAGTTTCATAAAAATGACACCACTCAAATTGGTAATATAGAGATTAAAGGCAAGATTGTTTAGTGAGAATGAGAGATACAGAAATAAATGAATGAAAGAAAAGGAAGGGAGGGAGGGAGGAAGGAAGAGACTAGGCATGGTGGCTTATGCCTGTAATCCCAGTGTTTTGGGAGGTTGAGGTAGGGGATCGTTAGAGGCCAGAAGTTCGACGTTGCAGTGAGTTATGATCTCACCACTGCACTCTGGCGTGGAGACAGAGCAAGACCCTGTCTTGAAAGGGGGACAGAGAGAGAGAGAGAGAGAGAGGCCTTACACCAGAAACTTGAATGCTCATTCTGTTTGCTCTAACTGTGGCTTATTTAAGAAAATTGTCCATTCTGCTTATTAAATCCCTTCTCTTCTGGAAAGAGGATGAGGCTGGGAGGCTCCCATGCCAGGGGCTCCACTCCAGGAAAATGCTTCCCTATTGATTTGCGTGTCAGCAATTCAAATGGGGGCATTTATACTGTGGCTGAGCACCTAATAAAAATTTAAATTATTGTTTAAAAAAAATGGAAGGAAGGAAAAAACTCGTCAAGGAACAACCTGCTAAGGAGAATAAAAAATAGCCACACATAGGATATGAGGGCCTCAGGAAAGGAACTGGAACACTAGGGTTGTGAGTTTCACCAAGATGTGTCTCAGGCCCTTGCAGTTCTCCTTTTGAATGCCTCTCCCTCTGATCCAAACACCTCTCCCAGGCTCTGCAGTTCTGACTTCAGACCCCGGCTTCATCACTCATTAGCTCGGGAGCTTGGGTAAATAACAAGCATTTCTCTCTTACCTCTTCTGTTCCTTAAGTAGGAGGAAACAATGGAATCTCCAATATCACTTATGCAAAGCTCCTGGAAAGAGCATAACACATAGTAGATGCTCAACAAATATTGATTTCCCTACCTCCTTTACCCTGTATAGGATCCCATATTCAGTTGCTTCCTCAAAGGCCATGCCCTATAGCCTATTAAAATCTGATTGCAGCCAGTTGCTGTCCTACTTGAAAGGCCCTGAGCCACTAAATCACACCTATGTATAAATGATTGATAATGAATTAATAGGTTAGGTGGTAGCACTTATGGAAAGCAGAAGGCAAGAACCAAAGGAAGCTTTAATGGCAGAATGTTAGAAACAAGTTATAGGCCTCTGCAGCGAGAATTTGGGTGATGAGGCTTCAGCAGAGTTCCTTAAATCATGCCTGCTAGGAAACCATCTCTCTCGTCACATGTAAGGACAGATGGTACACAGGATCAGAAGAGCAGGCGTTAGGACCCTCAAATTTTAATGTTGGCATCAGAGGGCTCACCCACTCCCTGACCATATCCTTGACCTTGACAGTGTCATTAATTGTACCTTCTCCAAAGTCTTGACTTCAGGCCTCCTGACAGCTTGTCTTTTCCTTCTGGCTCTAGTATTCCAACTCCAGCAATTACATAATTGCAGCCTCTGACCTTGCCTCTTTTTAGCCATCCATAGCCTCACCCTGGCCTCACCTTACGAGGCTTAGAGTCCACCATCCACTGTTACCACTGATCTCCTGCAGAAACCTCTCTGGACTTCTTTTCTTGTACTCATCTGGCAAAACCCCAACCTGGTTAAACCCAATTTCTGGTCTATCCACACTTATGTCTGAACAACTATACATTGCCAGAGAAAAATAGATAGTTGTGCTGACTGTTGTCACTTAACAATAATGACCGTAATTCCCAAATGAATACTAGAAATAGTCTGGCAAACTCACTATATTTTCCTAGTAAGTTACCTTTCCTGCCTCCACAATTTTATTTCTCCTTTCTCAAGAGACAGTTGCCCTCACTTTTTAATCTCCTCTCAGATGATGACCTTGCCTTGTATTTTATAGACAGGCAGTCCCTCATTTTCCTGCCACTACCCCATACCTCTTGTTGTCCCTGTGCCCATCCTCTTGGCCTTCCCTTTTTATTCATGGGTGCCATGGCCCTGCTTCTTGCCAAGGCCAACCCTCCCCAAGTGCCCTGGACCACACCATCTCAGGCTTCCTAAGCCTCTGTTCCTGCAATTATCACCACTTGAATCCTCAATTTCTCCCTTACTGCTTTATTTTTCTGTAAGCATAGAAATGTGTTCTGATATCTCCTACCTTGAGAAAGTGAAAGCCTCTCTTGACTCTACTCTCCTTCCAGTTTCCACCCTATTTCTCAGCTCCCATCTACAGCAAAACTTACTGAAAACATCACTGTTTCCAATTCTCACTTCCAGTCTCTCTTCTCCCAAGCAGGCTTCCATCCTCACTACTCCAAAGAGACTGCTCTTGTCAAGGTCTCCAGTGAACTTAATCTCACCAAATCTCCTGGTCCTTTTTCTATGTTAACTTGGTACTTGGCCTCTCAGCATTATTGGACAATTATTCGTACTTACTATTGGGAAAACTGGGGTCCATGATAATTACTATGGAGAAATTTGGGGTTTTAAACAAAGATCTTATAGATCCAAAGTTTTAGGCAATGTGTACCTTCTAAAAAGATTCACAATTTTTTTGACTCCATATGCACTGTTAAGTAGACAACAAGGTCAACCAGCAAGGTCGTAGAGTCAGGAGAGTTCCCTTGTCATTGCTTAGGCAGCCCCCTTGTGAGAGCCTGGCCTCTTTCTCTGGAGTCATCAAGGAGTAGGCAGGGAGAAAGGGTCTTCATTTCAGTCCAGTGTTGAGCCATGGCTTCTTCAAGCCCTTGTTTCTGCTTGGCTGTCACTCCTTACATGCCACATTGGGGCTCATTCAAGCTGATTTCCCCAGCCCTGCCCACTTCCACCTCTTTGTTGATTTACCTATAATCAAGAGCTATTTGTATATCATATTTACTTCACTGAAAAACAGCCATTACTTTGAAGGATTTCATAACATGCTATCAAATAAATTTTTTGAAAAAATAATATTTTAAAAGTACTCAGTCTTTGCAATAATTTGTGATCACATTTTGTCTTTCAATTTTTCTTTTATATTTTATATTATTGGCCTGGATTTGGTCTTTAAAAGTCTAAACCTCAAATGCAGATCTTGCCTAGGCATTTGCTGACCTACAACCAATGAAAAAGATGTTTTCTTAGTCACAGAGTATATTCTGCTTTGCAGAGGTACTTTCTCTGACCACAGACAAGGAGGGTAGTTTTGTTCCTAGTGAAAACTCACTGAACAACACCCTCAGACTCTTATTTGACTACAGGTACCTTAGGAGTTTGAGGAGGGATATCTGAGATGCAACTTTACTTTCATATTAAGGTTCAGGCCTAAACTGCAGAAAATCTATACAATCACACTTTTTAACTTAAAACTTATTAATCAGCAGCAACCTGGACTTCCTCCTACATCTCCAAAGATCCCACCAAATATATTGCTGCTCATCATTTCCTGGTCTTCTATAGCACTGCTGAATGTAACATAGGGTAGATGCCTGTATCATCTGAGTAACAGATGATTAGTTGATGGGTGTTGGTATGGCCTTTTATTACTTATCTGTGTAATCTTTGAGATGTTCTTGAGGACTGGTACTTTAGCATACCCAATAGCACTAATAACTTTATATGTTTTTCTGTTATCATATTTACTATCATTTAAGTAATCAATTTTCTGCCCCATTTATTTGTCCATTCTATGAAAGACGTGCTGGAAACCTCAGGGTGGCTCCTAAACACTCTAAGTTCTTTTTTCTCATTGCAGTTTTTATGTACTTGGCACCTCTAATGCTTCCTCCCATCATTCCACTTTCATTTCCATGACATATTCTGAAGTACAGAAACAAGAACACATTGTAGAGCCCTCAAGTAAGAGGCAACCAGGCTTCAGGAACTGTCCTAGGTGCTGAATATCCAGCAGTGACGAAGGCCTCTGAGCTCCTGAAACATTCATTGAGGGGAGACATGTAACACATCCATCGCCAAGTTCTGTTGACTTTACCTCCTTAATATCTCTTACATCAGGACATTCCTCTCCATTTCTAACCTGCTAGCACCTTAAACTGTCTTCGTCTTTCTCTTCTACTATTAAAACAAGTACCTATTTTCCCCACATCTTCTCTTGCCTGTTATTTTTTTCCCCAAATTGTGATCCTTTATTTTCTTTAAAATAAATAGTTGCCATGACTGTTATTGATGAAGAAACAGATGTCACTGAACTATTGAGAGCTTTGGTCATCGTGGATGTTGACATCTGGGATGTGTTTTGTGAACATTTGTCATTTTAGTTATAGAATTTAAAGTGGTGGAAGTCGTATCTGTTGAGACCCCTGATGTTGCCATTTTTGACAATGCTGTGGTTTTCATGGTGATGACTGTCATATTGCTTAAGACTGAGGAAACTAAAGTTTGTGATAATTCCACAGTGCTATGGGAAGGTTCACTTATATGGCTGGAAAGCACATGTTGGATATTCTAGTTCTAGAGATTGGGAAGTTCAAGATCAAAGCACCAGCAGATTCATGTTTGGGTGAGAGCTTGCCTTCTGTATAGATGGCACCTCCTCATTGCATCCTCACATGGTGGAAAGGGGCCTGTTGCTTTTTTCCAATCTGTTCTCTACACTTCCATTGATGGTCTCAGCAATATGTACATCTGATCATGTCACTCCCCTGCTTAAAACCTTCAAGCACTTCCCATTGATCTTAGGACACAGGCAAAAGTTCTTAACGAGGCTCTATATGATCCAGTCCCTGTTTCTCTCTCTAGCTTTGCCCCCTCTCACACCCTGGGCTCAAGCCACACTTGAGCTGTTTTCTGAGTTCCCCACACTCCCTAGGGTCTGCTCTATGTTCTTCCCCTTTTTCCTTCTTCCTCTCCCCTCCAGGCCATTTCGCCACATCTTCCTCCCTCTGCCAAACTCATTTTTATCTAAGATCTCAGCTGAGATGCCCCTTCCTTCAGGAAGCCATCCCTGGCTCCCCAGACCAAGCCAGGTGCCATGGTTACATGTTCTCATAGAACCTTCTAAGTTTCTCTTTATCATTTGAAAGTTTTAAATTGTGAAATGTAAAACATGCATAAAAGTGTACATAAAACATAAACATTAAATTTAATCAATAACAATAAATCAAATTCCCCATAACCACCCTTCAGGTCAAGGAATAGATCATTACTAAGACACCAAGAAGAACACCCCTGATATGGTTCGGATCTGTGTACCCACCAAATCTCATGTCGAATTGTAATCCCCAGTGTTGTAGGTGGGGCCTAGTGGGAGGTGATTGGATCATGGGAATAGATTTATCATGAATGTTTTAGCACCATCCCCCTTGGTACTGTCATCATTATAGTGAGTGAGTTCTCACTAGATCTGATTGTTTAGAAGTATGTAGCACCTGTCCCTTCTCGCTCTCTTCCTCTTGCTGTGGCCATGTAAAGTACTGGCTCCCCTTTGCCATCCGCCATGATTGTAATTTTCCTGAGACCTCCCCAGAAGACAAGCAGATGCCAGCATCATGCTTCCTGTACAGCCTGCAGAACTGTGAGCCAATTAAACCTCTTTTCTTTATAAATTACCCAGTCTCAGGTGTTTCTTTATAGTAATGTGAGAAGAAACTAATACAATCCTGATCGCAAACCCTCATCTCCACTGGCAATAACTGCTTTCCTGACTTAATGGTAATAATCTCCTCACTTTTGGAGGGTTTAGAATTTATAAACATAGAAATATATACAGTTTATATATCCAATATCAATTTTCTCAAATTTGCTCAAAATATTAAAAATAAAAATATTATATTCTGTATAAACATATACTTTATATATAAATTTGTGAGTTTTTCCTGTTAGGAGCCAAGAAAAAATAAATTTATTTATTTATTTATTGAGACAGAATCTCACTCTGTTGCCTAGGCTGGAGTACAGTGGTGTGATCTTGGCTCACTGAAACCTCAGCCTCCTGGGTTCAAGTGATTCTCAGCCTCTTGAATAGTTGGGATTACAGGCGTGAGCCACCACGCTCAGCTAATTTTTAAAAAATTATTTTTAGTAGAGACGGGGTTTCACCATGTTGGCCAGGCTGGCCTCGAATCCCTGGCCTCAAGTGGTCCACTCGCTTCGGCCTCCCAAATTGTTGAGATTACAGGCATGAGCCACTATGTCTAGCAAAATAAATTTATCAGTTTAGAAATACATACGTATATATTCTAACCATATATATAAGACTACTTAGTTAATATCCATGTTTCCCAGTAGACTGTAAGCTCCAAAAGAGCAAGGATAGAGTCTCTTTTGCTCACCTTTGTCTTTCCAGAGTCCTGCCCAGTCCCTGGAGTGTAGTGAATCCTCCATACATATTTGGAGACTGAGTGGAGATGACACCCAGGTAGACTGCAGATAAGGGCTGAGCTCCTATGAAAGTCCTTCTGAGGACCCCTTTTTAGAAGAGGGCTGCAAATTGGGCATTAGGGCATCCACTGTGTATGAGGAATATGTTTAGATGCCTCTGTCATGTTCCTCCCAAAAACCTTAAATAAGAAAGGTGATGAAGAAAGCTATGTGGGAAAATAATTAAGTCTGTCTATTGTGCATCTTTCTATGTATCTCTTTGTTTATCTATCCAATCATGTAATATTATACAAATGCACACCTATTAAAATATATTAGAGGCTGGGCACAGTGACTCATGCCTGTAGTCCCAGCACTTTGGGAGGCCGAGGTGGGCAGATCATGAGGTCAGGAGCTTCAGACCAGCCTGGCCAACATGGTGAAACCCCGTCTCAATTAAAAATACAAAAATTAACCCATCATGGTGGTATGTGCCTGTAATCCCAGCTACTTGGGAGGCAGAGGCAGGAGAATTGTTTGAACCCAGGAGGCAGAAGTTGCAGTGAGCTGAGATTGTGCCACTGCACTCCAGCCTGGGCGACAGAGTAAGACTCTGTCTCGGGGGCAGGGGGGAAGCAACTATATATATATATAACAAAAATAGGCCAGGCACAGTGGCTCATGCCTGTAATCCCCCAGCACTTTGGAAGGCTGAGGCAGGCAAATTGCTTGAGCTCAGGAGTTCAAGACCAGTGTGAGCAACGTGGTGAAACCCTGTCTCTATAAAAAACGCAAAGATTAGCTGGGCATGGTGGTGTGCACCTGTAATCTCAGCTACCTGGGAGGCTGAGATGGGAGGATTGCTTGAACCTAGGAGGCAGAGGTTGCATTGAGCTGAGATGGTGCCACTGCACTCTAGTCTGGGCAACAGAGTGAGGTCTTGTCTTAAAAAAAATTAAAAAGACAGGAAAAATAGAGCATGGTAGAAGAATAGGGTGGGAAAAATGGTTACTGTCACCATAAGCAGGCATAAGTATTGGCGTCCATTCATGACCTACAGGAATAAACCCTTTCCCTGTCAGCAACTTGGACTAGAGGATGGTGAAGAAATAAACTGTGTCTCAGGGATTTGATTCATGAGGCAGAAAACCCGTGGCAGGATCATGGAAACACATGAATTATTCACAATTCAAACCGATAGGGGAAGGAGGAGGAGGGGAATGACCAGGAAAGGAACATCAAGGAAATGAAACCCTCCATGGCCAGGGAGGGCCCGGAGGGTGGCAATGGGAGCTGCCGCCCAAGGGGACCAGGCCAGAGTGATGGAGGGAGGAAAGCCCACCAGTGACTTGGACAGGGGAACTGAGAACACCTGGAGGGAGTGAGGGTGGTCTTGCAATCCTGGGATGGGTAAACTGAGGGAGTGTCCCTACATCTGAAAGCCAGTCACAGCTGGGGTAGCAGTCCAGCAGCTCATGATTGGGTTTAAAAATAAATTCTGATGCCAGGCTCACAGCTGTCCTGTGATTGCAAGAGAGGGGAAGCACATCCGACCGGGGAGGCAGGCTGGTCAGTGGGGTGGGGGGAGGGCGCTGGTGGATCTGAGAATTGGGGGAGAGTGGATGCGCAGGATGAGAGCAGGTGTCGCCCTCTGGGAAGAACTTGCTCTTCACTCCAGTTGATTTGAGTGTGTGAACAGGGTTGGGGAGCTAGGGAGAAAAGACAAGGCTTGTTCCTCAACACTGAAGACAGACTTAGGGGTGTGCAGAAGTGAGAGGGAGCCCATGGTGAGTAAGAGAAAAAGGTGAAGGCAGGTTTCAGGAGCTGAGTAAGGCAGTGCAGAATGAAGAGAAGCCCACGGCATTGTCAGGAGCAGGATTACAGCTAACGGGTTTCAAGAGAGTCAGTTAGGAGGCAGCTGGGTGGAATGGCGACAGATCAGTCTGGTTTAAAAACCTGGGTGGGGTGAACACAGCCAGTACACGTTTACTGCCCCACTAAGAGCATAGCACAACTCGGCATGCCCACACATATTTGTTGAGCACTTACTATGCGCCAGGCTGGGCATGCAGAAAAAGGTCATCTCTCAAAGAGCTTACACTCTAACTCAAAGAAATAGATAATAAACATGTAAACAAATAATCAAGTAAGATTATTTTAAATACCCCAAAGAGCTATGGAAACAATGAAATAGGGTGATTTGTTAGAGACTCACAGGGTATGTGGGAAGTAGAGGTGGGGCTGCTTTAGTGAGGGCAGTTAGGAAGCACCTGCCTGAGGAGGTGGCATTTAAGCTGAGCCCTGAATGATGAGCAGAAGCCAGTCTTGTGCTCATCTGAAGAAAACAGAAAGCAGAAAGCTCAGAATGCAGCTAAGCAATGAAGATGAATATGCATAAGACAAGGGTCCCATGCCCTCACTGTAGCTCTGCTTCCTCCATCTGAAAAATGAGAGGGTTGGGCAAGATGATTGCTAAGCCCTTCTCAGTGTGGCGTAAAATCTCAGAAAGTCTTCATGGAAAAGGTGGGACTTGAGCTGGATCTTGAAGAAAGATCCTTAGAGCGCTAGTGTGGTTATTTAAACCAGCATAAAAGCTATATAGTTTTCTAAAACCTTGAATGAGAGCAAAACAGGAATATCTGCTTCCTCTGGATTGAGGCGTAATCCTCCTTCCTCCACTGGGCAGGAAACTTCTGTCCTAAAAGGCAGACATGCTCAAACTCTGTTGCCTCTGGAAGCCTTGTTGCACATTAAAATCTATTACTTCCTGCTCCCATTGCAGAATACCTCTATTTGACTGCTTATCTCATTATGCCTTTTAAAATAGTTCATAAAGCTATCAACCTATTGAAACATCTACTTCCTTTACTTACGTGTAAACTCCTTATTAAGCTCTGAGCCCAAGCACAGTTCCCGTCTTGGGGCAGGTGTCCCCATGGAAGTTAAAGGACCAAATGAATTGTGGATATGTTAGTCAGCTAAGGCTGCCATAATGAAACACCATAGCCTAGGAGGTTTAAACAACAGGAATTCATTTTCCACAGTACTAGAGACTAGATGTTCAAGATTAAGATTCTGGCTAATGAGATTCCTGGTGAGGGCTCATTTTCTGGCTTGCAGATGATCAACTTGTCAGTGTATCCTCACATGACAGAAAGAGAGAGAGAGAGAGCACAAGAGAGCAAGTGAGCTCTGGTCTCTCCTGCTTCTTATAAGGATGCTGATCCTATCTGATCAGAGCCCTACCCTTATGACCTCATTTAACCTTAATTACTTCCATAAGGACCCTATCTCCAAATTGTCACACTGGGGTTTAGGGCTCTAACATGTGAGTTTTGGGGACACATCCAGTCTATAACAGTAAGTGAAGATATGAGTGAGTGAGACAGTGCTGGAAACAGTCCAGATCTCCCTCTTTGGGCAGAAACGTGTTGCTCAGCAGGGCTGTCCCGGGAAGGCAGCAGGCAGTGCCCTGCCTGGCAGGCACGCCTGCCACTACAGGAACTGTTGTGGAAATGAGAAGATTTAGGAAGAAACATACTTGGCTCCAACAGGGTCCCACACAGGCCAAATAAGTGGAATCTGATCCTGGTCTGAGAGCTGGTTTGAAGAATGGGGAGGGTATTAGAAGTGGGGTAGGGAAGGGACAGCAGGTAGGGAAATAAAGGAGAACTTGCTGTATCTCCCAGCGGGGTCTCTGCTATCATTGTGTCCTAGTCACAGCCTCTCTAATCAGGGACACTTGGGCTTGGCTATCTTTCCTGCAAGACTGTGACCATTCTACTTGGGCAGCCAGGGGCTAGGCAAGAATAACAGCAAAACAAATGAACGTGTTTTTGAATGCTTACTGCATCCCAGGACAATTCTAAGTGCTTTATGTGTGCTAACTTACTGCATCCTCATACTGGTTACCTCATTTTCATTGGAAAACTGAGGGAGATGAAGTACCTGCCTACATCCTCACAGCTGGTGATGGCAGCTGGGAACCTCGGCTCAAAACTCTGCAGTCAAGACTCTGATGGCTGCACAGGCTGCCTCAGGGCTGTGGCCTCTGCCACTGTGCACACTTTTCAATGGGGGTGCTGCAGTGTGTGGATGGGGGAGGGGTGAGGACCTCTCTGCTAAGCCACAGTAGCCTGAGCTTCTTAGATCATGCCCCAATATCCCGACACCCCTGTGTGCAGCCCAAGAGGTGGGCCACAGCCCGGGGACAGCTGCCACCTCTTCTGAGGCTTGGGGTACTCCATATCCTCACTTTTTGGGCCTTTTCTCACCCATGCTTCTGTAGGGAGGGAGCCAGAGACAAGGAGGGACTTGAGACTGGAGGAGGAGAAAGAGAAAGAAATACCAGGGAGAGAGAAGATAAGCAAATGAAGGCCACAGATAGGCCTGGATGGCCACTGGGGACAAACCAACTGCAGCTTCAAGGGACCTTCTTGTCTGAAATTGGCAGATTGTGGGATTGCGGGGAGGGGAAAGTGAACGTCCTTGCTGGTAGAACTCAGACAAGCTGTTTGTCAGGGATAGTTCTCTTGCCCAGCACCAACAGAGTCTAAGTGTATGTCTGCATGCTGGAGAAGCACTGGATGGAGTCGGAAAACTTGCATTCTAGGCTTGCCTTGGCCATAAATGACCTGTGTTACGTTAGACAAGTCATATAATCCCCCGGGCTTCTGTTTACATGATATGGCCATGTGACAGATCTCCCAAGCCCTTCTAACACCTAACGACGTTCTTGGTTTGTCTGACCCCTCAGGGTTATGCGGTCTCAGTTTATTTGTCTATTTAGGATGGAATGAGAATATTACCAGACCCATCGAGGGGAGATAAAAGTCTCTGTGGCTTTGCCACAAGCCCAGGTGGACCCACCCTACTAAACTGCCTAGGCCTGACAAACACCGTGGGTCCTGCCCCTCACTTTCCTGCTCCTTGCATTTGCCTACCTGTGACCTTGGCCACCTCCTTCCCCTACCCAGGTCTCCAGCTCCTCTCTGGGGTTTCAGGGGATGAATAGGATAATGCTTTCTAATTAGTGCGAGTGCTGCGAGTCAGGATAAAGGACTCTTCTAATCTAGTTGTTTCTGGGATTATTCATCCAGAAACATAAATGAGCATTTAAATGAGAGTGAAGGCTGGGGAATGCAGGTCAGAGAAGGCCAGGACAGGGGGTGCTGGGGAAGGACTGGGGCAGAGTTCTGGGGAGTTGCTTGGCAGATGCCCTTGGCTCTACATGATATTTTGTTTCACCCATGATCTCAGTCTCCTCGAAATTCAGCTTTCACTGCTCCAGAATTCCCCCACACTCATGCCCCTCTCTTGAAAAATACATTTTATTAACTCATTCGATGGCTGCGCCAAAAGGGACCAGCTACTAACAACTGACAGTAGGCATCTTTGGTACTTACGTGAACAGAAACCTCTGCCATGTGTTACTAAGAGCTGCAGACCACAATCTCCAGGCTCAGTCCTTGTCCCTGGAGTGCTGGTTCTGAGAGCACTTGCTGGGGGAAGCTGGCTTTCTCGATTATGCAGGTATCTATGAAGGGCAGAACAATTTATTAGCTGTGTGTGTGTGTGTGCATGTGCGCTCACCCATGAGGACACCCTGCATGCAGACACAGAAACTGTGACATCTGTGCTTTTGGTTTTGATACCTGACAAAAGGGACAAAGGGACGTGGTTTAAATGTCACAGCAAGGGCCTTTGACTAGGGTAGTTAGGAAAGCAGATGTCTCTGTGCCTGACTCCACTGTAGGAAGCACTGGGCCCATGACCTCAGGTCCCACACCTTAGTGCATTGACTTTCTAATTTGAAATTATTTTCAGGAGGAGAAAAAAAGTCTAAGATAAAAATATAGATATATTCACGCCTTTATTCAACACCCACTTATTAAGCACTTAATTTGTCCAAGCCACTGTTAAACAACATGAAGGGCAAAAATCGCTGTTAGACTACTAATGATGAACACTTTAAAAGTGATTTCAACTTCTATTTTAGATTCGTGGGGTACAGTGCAGTTTTGTCACCTGGGTATATTGCGTGATGCTGAGGTTTGGGGTATGATTAATCTCATCACCCAGGTACTGAGCATAGTACCCAATAGTTAGTTTTTCAACCCTTGTCCCTCTACCTCCCTCCCTACTCTACTAGAACTTTTATAAAACAGATAAGAATCATGCTTCCCATTTTGCAGAACAGGAAACCGAGATTTTAAAAAACATATCCAAAGTCTCACAGCCAAAGTTTTATTTATGAGGTGTCAGAACACAAATTTAGCTCTTCTGGCTCCAAGATAAATGCTCTAAGAAATGTTTTAGTCTTTCAAGGAGGTGGCATTTAGATAAAGAGGATATGGCAAGACCACAGAGCATAGTACGAGGAAGGGCAGGGCATACACTATGGCTAATGTATAAGTAAGTGCTATGGTAGTTCTGAGGAGGGCTCTGTAATGGAAAGGTCACAGAGTGGGTAAATTGGGCTCAGCTTGGAAGGATAGGGAGCATTTTCATCTATGGAGGGAGAAGTGGAAGTCATCCTAGGCAGAAGGAAGGGTGACAGCAAAATGACAAAGGACGATGTGGACAGAAGTTGGTTGCATGTAGCAAATGGTCTAGATTGGCTAGAGCAGTGGTCTTCACCTGGCTACGTATTAGAGTCACCTGAGCAGGCTTTAAAATGACCAACTCCTGGGCCTCATGTCCAGCTTTTCTGGTTAATTCATCCTAATCATTGGTCTCATTGGTGTTTTATAAAACTCCCTGAATGATTCTATTTGCAGCTTGGATTGAGATTCACTAGCATTGTTGAAGGACTTGGGGCAGGGGATGGTTGGTTCCACAATGGGGCCATCACAATCACACAGGTACAACATCAACAGGATCTGAATAAAGGAGGTGAAAATGGGAACAGAAAGAGAGGGTTGGGCAAGAGCTCTTTGAAAGGCAGTACCTCCAGGACTGAGCATACACAGGAACTTACAAGCCATGACAACTAGAATGCAAGCCTGGGTGCCCTTCACAGGAATGAGAAAACAACAACCAGGGGGAAGGGGAGACAGATGTGGGAGGAGTAAGGTTTGGATTTGAGATGTCTTGAGTTTAAAGGCAATGATTATTAGGCCATCAGACAGGAATGCCCAGCAAGTCAAGTGGGTTTAAATTTAGGTTAAGAATGGAAAATGGAGAATCTTGAGGACTCATCTTCCTAAAAGTGGTAGTTGAGGCTGAGGCAGTGCATGAGCTTTGAGACACAAAAGAGAAAGAGAAGACCAGAGGGCTCAGGTGGGAAAGCCTAGGTCTAGGAAGCAGAAGGACAAAGAGGAGCTTAGAAGCAATTCCTAAATGGAGAATTGTTCCATTTGCATTAGCCAAGGCCAGTGTCTGCGGGGGATGGGCAATGGGCAACAGAGTCATTTTTCATGGGCCTGGCTGCCTGCTACTCGGAAATTGATCAGCTGAGTCAATAGCTCCGTGCTCAGACACGAAGCTTCACTGATGTGTGTGCAGGAAGTAGGGCAGTTGCATCCCAGCTCTCCCTCGCCAGAAACACAGCCTGCTCAGTGTTCTGACAGAGAATCTGAGCTCATTTTGCCACCACTCTTGGCCTTCAGTAGCAGGAAGGAGGAATAAGCCCCAGACACACACAGGTTATGAACTCACCCATCACAAATAAGTCATTTATTCTGAGCCATCCCAAAGATGAATTCCTATTCTCCTGGGGAAAACAATGTAATCAGCCCCCACTCTTTAAAGGGGACCCCATGAGAGCATCTCTTATGACATCCCAGCATCATCCCATGGTACCAACTTAGCTCCTGAGAGGAGCCCTGTGGGTTTCCCTGATACTCAGCCTTCAAGAGTCCCAAGAGCTGAGGAGGGCAGGAATCAGAAACACATCAGCTTTAGGGGTCCTGGGGCCCAGGAACAGGATTCTGCATCTGTGCACATAGCTGGTCAGGCTTCATCATGGATGAAAGAGAAGGGAAGAATCTAGTGTGGACAATCAACCCTCAGGTCCTCAGTTTACCTCCCTGCCTTTGGGGCAAGCTCAGAAGTGGAGGGAAAAGAATGAAGATGCCATGGAGTGGAAAATAACATTTTAGCATTTATGGGCCCTTCATACCCTAAATAAAAAGACTCTAAAGAAACCCTTCTAGGTGACATAAGTATTGACAGGCCATGGAATGGGTACTGAGAGCACAGTCACTACTCCCTTCCAGCCCTAGCAAAGCAAACAAACCCCAGGATGTATTTTCAAACTGTGCTTCTCATCCTTCAATGTGGGGATATTGTTAAATGCAGAACCTGTTTCAGTGCATCTGTGCTGGGGCTTGAGCTTTTATGTGTCTGTTTTCCACAGGATGCTGAAGCTGCTGGTCCTGGGACCACACTTTGAGAAGCATGGTTTTAGAGGCAGTTGACTGAGTCAAGAGCCTGGGAGAGAGTAGAAGGGTTGGCTTTGTGTCCATCCCATGCCCCCTACCAGTTCTGCCCTGGGATCTCTTTGGGGACTGCCTCTCCCCTGCTGCTGACCAGGGAAAGGGGACAGGAAAGCCATAGCGGGAAGGTGAGCAGGCAGCCTCACAAGGCTCCCCGCAGGCTGAGCCACAGACTCTGGGCTGATTGTCTTGCACATTGTCCAGTGCCTGGCGGTCTCTGCTTATTGGCTCCTGGCTCAGGCAGAGTAATTACAGTTGAGGCCCTGATGAATTGGGGGCCAGTAATTAAAGCGCCTATCGATTTTCCACTTAGGAGTTCCCTGTAGCTGGAAACAAAAGTGGAGAGGGTAGAGAGATAAACAATCCCAGGAAGGTCTTTCAAAACGGGGGATGGTTCAGTGTGCATTAGCTGGGCCTGGCAGGGCTGAGAAAGGGGCTGAGTGGTCATTGTTTATCACCAGCCCATCTATCTAGAATTTGAGAATTGATTGGCCAGTCAATACGCTTCTGGGGCGCAGTGCCAGCTGGGGTGAGGGAGGGAGGACTGTCTTCTGCAAAGGGTTCATCCTTAGATCTCCAAACCATGAATCTGTCTTGTTTTGCTGCTGCTTCATTTGGCTTATTTTAATTATGTATTGAAGCAATTGCCTCATTTATATCATCTGCCTTCATCAGGCAACAATGGGCTTTCCGTCACTAGAAATTTGGCTTCTGGTGCCATCTGAGGCCAGATATGGGAAGGCAGAAAGCATGGGTGTGGAAGAGGGGCGTGATGGGTAGAAGGAGATCTGAGGACAGCAGAGGGAGTGGGAAGAGAAAGATGCCAAGGAGGGCACCCAGGTGGGCCAGAGCTAAAGGGTGCAGGAGTTTTAAAGAGAGGGCAGCTATTGGAGTGAAGAAACCATACAAGCAGAGGACAGAACAGCACATAGAGAGAGAACAGAATCAACAAGGGAGAAAAGAGACAAAGAGAAGGCACAAAGGAAGGAGCAGGGCCAGCATGAGGGAGAGAGGAGAGTGAGACAGGAAGAGGGTGTAGGTAGAAACATAAAGCACATTTACGCCTTATTTAAAGATTGCTTAAGTTATTTTGGTGCATTTAACTCTTAATTCATCTTCCTTTCACTGAGCTAATGTGAAGTGTGAAAGAAAAACTAATGAGAAGAGGGCCTAACTGGCAATTTCAGTTTAGTCAGCGCTGGGAGCTCTCTCCTCCTTCTCTCATGCAGGTCACTTGATCAGAGATGGTTCTTTTGTTTCTCAGAGAAATGTCACTCTTCTCCTAAGACTTTTTCCTTTGCCTGCCTGTTTTCACTGCAGCAGCTGGTTTGGTGGCTTAATGACAATGAAGTTAGATTAGGACCTGGGTTTTGGTGATGATTGAAGCCAGGCAATGAGAAGCGTTTTAGCATAATTCATGTTGAAACACAATTACCCATTATCCCAGTCAGGACAGACAATAGGGGTGGTGGGGAGTAGCGAGTTGTGGAGGAGTCAGGAGGCTGTTACTTGTTATAAGTTAGACTTTAAAAATGTTCTATAGAAATAGTGAATGGATTTAGTCAGCTTATTCAACCCACAATGTTCTTGCATCTGAAAAAAAAATCTTCTGCAAGTATGCCCGATAAATGGGGAAAAAAAGGATAGGGGCAAGAGTGTTGTTTATGGTATTAAGTAGCTGCTGTGCATAGACGGTTGTGCAGTACATGTCACACAGGAAACCCAGGTCCTGTCCTCACAGGACTTAAAGAATTACAAGACTTGATTCTTACGTGTAACCACATTTATCTGCCTCAAGTCTTAATGGCATCTTTGTCTGCAGAGCAAAGTTAACCTCCTAAGCCTCATAGGAAAGACTTACCTTGGTTGATCCCAGCCTATCGTCCAGCATTATCGCTCCTGCTTCCTTGGGTGTCCCGTTTGCACTGGCCTGCGAGGCTCCTTATGGACTCAGGTCCTGACTCTTCTCCTGTGCTCCCCATCTCAACCAAAGGGTACCACCCTTCAATCAGTTCCCCCAGCCAGGAGCCTATAGACATCATGGACTTTTTCTTTATGCCCCCACTGCAATAGGTCCCTGTACTAGCCATTCTTTCATTCTTGCCTTGCTGAGATTGGGTAATTTATAAAGAAAAGAGATTTAATTGGCTTACAGGTCTGCAGACTGTACAGGAAGTATGGTGCTGGCATCTGCTCAGTTTCTCGGGAGGCCTCAGGAAGCTCACAATCATGGTGGAAGGCAAAGGGGGAGCAAGCACTTTACATGGCAGAGCAGAAGCAAGAGAGAGAGGGTGGGTGATCTCATGTGAACTCAGACTGAGAACTCACCTATCACCAAGGGAATGGCCTAAACCATTCATGAGGGATCTGCTCTCATGATTCAAACACCTCCCACCAGGCCCCACCACCAGCATTGGGGATTATAATTCAATATGAGATTTGGGCAGGATCAAATATCCAAACCCTATCAGCCCCCAAGCCTTGTCCTGCTACCTAGTAACTCCTGGATCCTATTCCTTCCTTCCCATTCCTGCAGCCACAGCCTGAGTTCGTCTTATGTCACCTCTTGCTTGGACTCTTGAGTTATTGCAGTGGTCTCCTCACTGGTCTCAAACCATCCTATTCTAGCTGCTATGCTATCCTCAGAGCAATTCATCTAAAGTGAACATTTGATGGTGTTATTCTCAATTTTTTTAATGGCTCTTCACTGCATGAGCATGAAGTTCTTTCCAGCTGTGTGAGCTTGGGCAAGATACGCAAGTTCTCAAAGCCTAAGATGCCTCATCTGTGAAAATGAGAATTCTGGTAGCTGCTTCATGGGGTTGTTATGAGAAGCAAATGAGGTAATATGAGTAAAATAATTAGCACAGTGCCTGGCACATAGCAGTTATCAATAGTGGGGTAGAGATGATGGCAGTGATGAGAAGAGGGGAGAGTAGTTTTTATTATTGTTATTATAGAGGAAAGTCTTTATCATCTGAACCCAAATTTCTATCTGCAGCACCGATCTTTCTCCTGAACTGCAGATTCATGTACATAACTGGCCACACAGCATTTTCACCTGAATGTCTAATGTACATCACACATTTAGCAAGTTCAAAACTGAACTTATATTCTATCCCCCAAACATGCCCTGCCCACAACTCAAATGACAATTTCCCAACTCAGATAACAATCCCTTCCTCCCAGGAGCTCATACCAAAAACCTCGACTGCTCTCACTCTCTCATGGATCCCCATTCGTTCCATCTTTAAGTCCTGTTTCCACGTCTGTGAGATCTATTCAGAATTCAGCCCCTCCCACCACCTCTCTCAGTGCTTCTGTTGTCCTGGGCCCGGCCACAGTCCTCTGCCTGGGCTACTGCACTAGCCTTCTCCCCAGTCCCTCGCTCCTGCCCTCACCCTTTGTGGCTTATTCTCCTGCAGCAGCCAGAGGGCTGCTTTTATGGCAGAAGTTAAATCACTCCCCTGCCCCGAATCTTCCACTGGGGCAATCCGGGTGCTGCTCCATCTGACTCCTTCCTGCTATTACGCCTCTTATCATCTCCCATTGCCTGCACCCTCTCTCACTCCACTCCTGCCACACTGGCCTCCTTCCTGTTCCTTGAATGTGGCAGGCATGCTCCTGCCTAGGGCTTTGCACTTGGTGTCCCTCTGCCAGAAACACTCTTTCCCCCAGGGTGAGATGCTTCAGCCCTCATCTCCCCAAGTCTTGCTCAAATGGCACCTTCATGGTGAAGCCTGCCCTGGTGAACTTACAGCAAATCACACCCCCAGCACTCCCAGTCTCCTACTTGGCTCTGTCTTTCTACACAGCACTAATCACCCTCTGGCATAGTATATAGTCTACTTATTTCTTGTGTGTATTGCCTGTTTTAAAGACTAGGGAGAAACCAATGTCAGAAGGTAGATGTTTGTCTCCCCATACAGAGGCACATCCTCTTATTTCACACATCATGAGTCCTTTCAGCATTCCTCCTTAGCAGGTAAGAGGTGTAGAAGTGGAGGAGGTGCCGTATATCACCTTTGATGGGGAGCACAGAACAGGTAGAGGACAGCAGCAAAGGCACGCCTGTGTCAGCTAGCCCATCGTATGGAAGGCTCTGCATCCGGGTGAACTAATTATGCTTTATTGTGCAGGAAATGAGAAGACTGTGAAGGTTTTGAAGGAGAAAAACAACATGACAGGAGCCAAGCATTAGGAAAATTAGTTTGGCAATGATGAGAAAGGTAAATAGAAGGGAGTGAGTGAGACTCCTGAGACCAGACTGTTGCAGTCATTTTAAAAAAGTGGTTAGGGCCTAAGCTTGGAGAGTGGAAGTGGGAAGGAAAGGGGGACAGATTGAGGAAACTGCTAAGGGAATAATTGTTGATAGGGCTGGGTAACTGGTGGGACTTAAGAGGGCTGTCTGGAGGGCTCTGTACTGAGGGCCTCTTCACTTGGCACTCTGCACTCTCTCCCAAGGTGATCTCAGCCATTCCCATGGCTTCAGCTATCAACCGTAGGGCCAGAACTCCCAAATATGTCACTCCAGTGCAGGTCACTGAGCTATAGACGCTTTTTAGAAGCTCCCCTGGGAGACCTCACAGGGACCTCATGCCCAACATAAGCAGGACAGAAATCAACATCCCCACCCTTTACAGCCTGCTCCATGCCCACAGCTCAGGGAAGGCTTCACTGTCCAGCCAGGAGCTAGGAAACCATCTCAGGTCCCTCCCTTCCCATGTCTACGCACTCCCCATGTCCTCCATGACTTTCTCTCTCCTTTGCCATCACTCTAGGCCTGGCAGCCATCCTCTCTTTCCTAGACAATGTCAGTAGCTCCCTGAGTGATCTTCCAGGGGCTCCTCTTGTCATGCTCCAATCCATTCACTCTAATGGTGTTTTATTTACTTATTTTAACATAACCTAAGTGACCCTCGAATAATGCAAGTCGAATCATACTTTTTCCTATGAAAACCCATCAATAGTATCTCATTGTTCTTAGAATAATCTACCAAATCCCTAACGTGGCTTCGAAGCCTTGCCACTGTAATCTTGACCCACATCTGTCTCATCCTCACTTTGCATTAGAGTGAGTTTCAGCAATGTTGGCCTCACCTGATAGTCCTTGAGCTCTTTGAGGATGGAGATCATGTCTGAACACCAAGCAGAGTGCCTGGCATATGGGAGGTACTAGGGATGTTGTTGAATGAAGCAGTAGGGTGCTCAGTAGGATCAAATGCTGCGAAGAGGCCAAGAAGGGCTGAGCAAAAGGCTTTGGAGTTGGCATGGGAACAGAAAGCAAGTTTGTGTACCACAACACGATGTCTAGGAGCAAAAAGAGATGTCACTGAGCATGTGAGGCCTTAATTGTTTGGCCTGTTAGGGGAATGAGCATTCTGGCTAACTAATGTGTCTGCATAGGGTGAAGATCCAAACTTTTCTGTTTTAACTCTTGTTGGCAAAATGATTTCTTTTTACAACACATGTGTTTTACTTCCCTGCCTTTAGCAATTGTACCAAAGCAACTAACTACAGAAACCTAATTAATAAATGGGGGATTTGGGGAGCTCATTTGAACTTTGGTCTTATGTTTGAAGCAAAGGTAGAGAATGTGCCCTAGACAGCATTTTGAATAAATTCCTGATTTCTCCTTGTTGGAAGTGCGTGTGTGTGTGTGTGTGTGTGTGTGTGTGTGTGTATGTGTGTGTGTGTGAAAGCAAGGGAGGAAGCCCAATTTTGGCTGTATTACAAAGAAGCTACACACAAGGCATATCGTCACATTCCACACATTGTGAGTCCTTTTGGCATCCCTCCACAGGAAGCAAGAGATGGAGAAGTGGAGGAGGCCCTGTATATCACCTTCATTGGGGAGCACTGAACAAATAGAAGGCAACAGCAAAGATCCATCTGTGTAGGCAGAGGTCATCTCATGGAAAGGCCTTCATCTTCCCCCAGTGAGGCGACACTCACCACACCAATATCATGGAGCTGTCGTGAGGATTACATGATATAACATGCTCGCCACGTGGGGGTGCTTGTGTGCATAATGAGATATTTGTTTATATCTCATGTCTCTATGAGACTGTAAGCTCCTTTTCCCCTCCAGAGCTGGCTCATAGTGCTTGACGATATCACAGATTGATTAGCTGTAAGTAACTTGAACAATTGAAAATGCAAGTAGAATTTCCTCCTGTAAAGTTCTTCCAAAATGGACTCAGACTCCATTTGTCTGAAATGGTTGGTTGGTGGCTGTAAGATTTCCTTCTTAAGGCCCGAAGTGTGTTCCCTGTATCATCTCACCACCAAGTCCATGGTTCATTTGTCTGTCAGCATCGCAGTGGCCAGTCTTGACGACTGGTCAGGAGGTAGATGTCTGTCTCCACGCACAGAGGCACATCCTTTTATTTCCACGATCCTTCCATGCATTGTGGAAGGAAGCCAAGTGCTTGGCACATGGTGGATGCTTCCTTCCCGTTACAAAACTATAAACCCAAAAGTGTGTGGAAAATCATAAAGTGCGAGGATATACTCTTGCATGGTACAGACGTTTGATGAGATGAATTCAGGCTTTCATTAACCCAGACCCTACTTTTCATCATTTCTCTCTTCATAATTATAACAAGGAAGAGTCTTGGTTTGGAGAAAGGGAGGAAGCTCTAGGCATCAGATCATTATTCTCCAAACCCCAGGAGGGTTCAGGGAAGGCTTCTCCTGGAGAGCCTGTCCTTTTGGTGGGAGCTCAACAGAGAAAGGAAGGAGGTGGCCCTGCCTCAAGGCCAAAGCAGTTCTCACCATGAGCCCAGGGCAGAGGCCTGTGGCTATGGCTCTGCCTAAATTGGGCTTTCTATGTTACTGACTCTCTGTAAATGGCAAGTAATAAGTTATGCTGTGCTAACATTTTCCCAGCCTTGCTGCATTAAGATGGAAAATTACACCTAGGTTTAAATACACACACACACACACACACACACACACACACACACACACAAACACACACATGGCTCTTTGTACCTGTTCCTAGTCATTAAAATGTGTTTCTGAAGTGCTAAATTTATAGTTAATTGCACAGTTAATTCATTATGTAGCCCTGTTTTTTCTTTATAAAACACCAAACTAAAGCAAACCTAGGCAATTACTTGAAGTCTCAGAGATATCACAAAAGGAACGACTTAATTTAGTAAATAATTTTAACTTAAATAATTATTTACTGAGAGAGAGAGTTTGCTGAGTGCCTCAGGAGATTGCCTACTATTGGCCTCATAATAAACCTTCCGAATAATTTCTGATTAATTACTTACACAAGCAACATTTTATTTACTTTGAACAAGTTGGGTTTTAAAAAGAGGCTATAAAATATCAGTGAGGACACCCCAGCAGCACTTCCTGGTCTTTTTTAGGCCTGTGAAAAAATGGGGTTGGTGGAGGATGAGTTCCAATTCTGTACCCTCTAAAGGCAGATCAGCCAAACTACCTTTTGGACAGTTTGTAGCTCAGTGTTTCTTTATAAATTTGGGATTTCATTTCATACCACGGTCTGAACAAATTTACTATGGATTTTTGATTTTGTTTTTGTTTGTCATGTATTTCAAGGTATCATGCACAAAACAGGCACTCAAATAAATATCAGAAAAATGGAAGTTTGTAGTAATACCAGCAGCAGAATTTAAAAATATATAAATGGCTGTCAGATATAGAATAGGAATCCACATAACATTCAGAGTATATTAAGAAAATGTAAGATTATTAAGGTATTTTAGACTAGAAAAATGGCAAAATGAGCCAATGATTTCTGCTTGTTTGGAATTGAGACCTGGAATTTTGATAGTGCTTTTAAAGTGCTCTAGGGCATATGTCTATTTTTGAAATTAATGTGAGATAAAATAGTGTTTTGAGAATTTTGTGTAAACTAGAAATACCCTAATGTATCAGAAAAGTCACATTTAGGAGTCATCACTCCAATTTCTAAGACTGTAGGCCCTGGATGACAGGCCAGATGCAATACCAATGAGGTCATATCACCGTAAGCTTCTCACCACTCATGGTTGCTTCTGACCTGTGCAAGGGGGTAAGAATCCCAGTCAGGCCTTATCTCCAGGACCTCCAGGACACATGGAGGACAGAAAGCTACAACTTCTTGCGGATTCACCTTTCAAAACAGACCAGTTTTACTTGGAAGGGTTTTTTTGGGGGTAAGGAGGTGGTGACTATCTCTCCTCTTGGCTTATTTGAAGGGCTGTTTATGTAGAAGGGGAATTAGATTTTACCTGCACGGGCCCAGAGTGTTAGAATCTGGGCCAGTGAATGGAAGGGTCATAGGGAATGAGATTTCCATTCAGGGTAAGGAAGAAATCTGCAATAGGCCCATCAGAAGGTGGTTCCCTCGGGAGATGGTATGTTTCTATCCTGTTTTTTCAAGCAAGAACTGGCATCCATGCTGAACAGATGCTGGGAAAGAGCTCAGCTGGGTGGAAAGGGTGACAGCAAGGAGACCAGTGGGTGGACGTGGCCAGATGAGACCTTGGTCCTTACCACACACCTTTAAGATGCCTTCCTGTCATCTTTTCCTCTTCTCTGGATACTTTCTGGCTTGTTAATGTCCTTCTCAATGGGTGGTGCCCAATACTCCAAATTCAGGGTAGAATATGGAGTGGGGGTAATGATGCTGTTTGATTTGGACCCTAAGTTTTATTAATACAGCCTAGCCTGTACCAAGTCCTCCTTTGCACCCAGGCTTGACACATAGCATTCTGATATTTGGTGCTTAATTTAAAGTTAATTAAATCCCTGTGACTTCTTTATCCGAACCACTATCAAGATAGATCTCTGATACGTGGACTTTATGGAATGAGTTTTTTAAATCAAAACTTTATTCTGTTACATTTTATCTCATTGATGTCAAACTATGGTGTTATTGATTTTGGTGGGGGGTTGGCGGGGGTAGAGTGGGTAACTTTGAATGCTGACTCTATCCCCTAGGCCATAAGTGGACTTCCCCTTGTTGTCTTCTCTGGCTGTGTAAGCACATCTCCTACATTTTTACACAAGTCAGGACTGGGCCTTGAAAAATCTTGGGAAATATCTTTTGAGAACTTCCTTGAAGTAATACAATCACAGGCTGAAGAAGTGGAAAAGAACTTAGTGGATATCTAATTCAACTTTTTTGTTATATACATGAAGAAACCTAGATTTATAAAAGTTATAATCTTGGGGCAATGTTGTTGTCGGCTTATATTTGTTAATATCCTGACCATGCTTTTCCATTTTGTTCAGGAGACATTATTTTAAAAGTCTTGCTGAAATCAAGACACATGGGATCCATGGCATCTGGTATGGACATTTTATAATATGGCATTTACCTAAGACCAGTATAACTACTTCAGCCAAATACACACACACGCACGCACACACACACATACACACATACATAGGTACACACATCACACATACACACCATTGGTTTGGCATCTATTTTTGTCTTATGCTGCTTTGAATGCACCAACTTTTTCTTTCCAAAGGCTCATAAACCATATCTTTATCTTTCTAGAATTTAGATCAATCTTCAATGTAGAGAACACTTACATTTAATTTCATAAGCCTTAGAAAACAATGTGGCTTCTAGATCACAGTGGCTTTTTAATGTCTTTCTTCCTTTTTAATTTTTGACAAAAGAAAAAAACTAAAATTCAATTCAGCATACATTTTAAAATTTATTCTAGAATTTGGGGTTTACAGTGGCTGAGTTCAAGGCTTTATTATACCTCCTTCAATTTCCTGAAGTCAGCCTGCTCTTTTCTAGAAAAAGTCTTTCTATCTCTGAGACCATGGCCTCAATACTGAAGAATGGGAGGCAGGAACCAGGTGCTATGGGAAGTTGTCATATCTGCAGGCAAGGGTGAGACTTGCCTGTGTCAAGGAGAGCTCACACCAGGCGCTCACGTTTGAGACCTTCCTGCCCTTAGCCCAGCTGAAGGAGACTCTGGACTCTTGCTCTGGCCCCACCTCCATTATCTTCTTTGCATCTCTGTTTTCACCTTGCTGAGGAAACAAAACATCCCCCGTCCCCTCACTTCCCTCCCCTGCCCAGACACACTGCATAGGAACTTAAAGGAAATTATCCCGAAAAAGAAGGGAGCCGTTGATAAGCCTCTGTGGGCGTCTGTGAAGGCACACATCATCTGAATGACAGGTTTGCATGTAAACAGCCGCAACTCATGAAAATAGTTTTTAATCTACTTGAAAGGCATATTCTCAGAAGGAAATCAAGCTCCCTCCAGGTGCATGGCAGCTCTTTGAAGGAGGAGCTGCTGCAGCAAAAATACAAGCCATTAGGAGATTCTACTTTTTATGACCCTTTCTTCTCCTTCTGCATCACCTCCCCTGCTCCTCCCCATTGGGGAAAGCATCTCTGGAGGGCTGTTGACTGGAGAAAGGGGGAAGGAGGAGGTGGGGGAATTACCTTCTCTCCTGGCAGATCAGGGCCGACTTCCAGCAATGGGGTACTGCTTGACTTCACACAGAATATCTACCTAATTTTGTTTCCCTTCTTTTTTCCAGACTATCCTTCTCTAGGCAGATGCCCCATTCCCCAATGCCTCTTTCTCCAAGCTCTGTCCACCAAGCTTTCCAGATCCAAATTCTGCATGTCTTTAAAGACTCAACTTAAATCTCGTCAAGTTTTGTACTCTGTGGCACAGACTAAACCTTTGACTAAAGTCTTCCTCTTGTCACATGTTATGGTACAAAGGATTTTCTATTAAGTCACAACTCGTTTATTATGGTAAAATCCACGTAACATAAAATTTAACATTTTAATCATTTTTAAGCGTACAGTTTAGTGTACTTATTAGGACATCTACATGGTTGTGCAGCAACTATCACCACTATCCATTTCCAGAACTTTTCCATCATCCCAAACTGAAATGCTGTATCCATTAAACATTAACTCTCTATTCCCCTTCACTACATTTTAATTATATAAACAATAGAGGAATGCATTGTAAAAAATAAGATAACACAAAGAAATAAAGTCCTCTTTGACTACCATACACAATACAATACCAATTAATATTATTAACCCTCTGCAGGCTTAGTGAAGTTAAAAATCTTGTCTTGGGGCCTACATTGGCAAGTGGTAGCCAGGATTTAGACTCCGCCTGACTTCAGAGCCCATACCCCTATACGCTGTGCCATTTTATCTGACTGCTGCCCATCTGATGGTTTAAACATGGTGTGTCTTCTGGGTGTTTTAATTTGCACTTTGTGATTGCTTGTTTGGGGAACATCTTTTCATATGTTTATTGGTCATCTATACTTTCTTTTTTTGTGATTTACCTTTTCATATCTTTTGCTCATTTGTCTATTGGGTGGTTTATTGATTAGTAGTTTAAGAAATGCTTCTGTTCTGATTTCTTTGGTAAATGATCATTACTTACATCTTAATTAAAGTCATCAGTACAGCCAAGTGTTAACTGAGTCTAGGCCCTACCCTAGCTGTAAAATGCAGGATATATAAAATTCAAATATTCTGGTATATATTTAGGCAGTTTTCATAGAAACATAAACATTGATTTGCTCATTCATTGAATACTTCTTTTAATTGAATGATGCCTCTGAACCAAGAACTGTGCTAGGTATAGGAAAAACTATTAAAGTTTGCAAAGAGTGCAAAGGAACATCACAGTTCACAGAAGGGTTAGTAGAGATCTTATTAGAAACAAAGAGCTATTAACCTTTACAGTAAATTGATCTATAATGATTGCATTACTAATTGTTTTCACCTGCTTTTGCCAACAGCCTTCTACTGAAAATATGTAGACTATCAATTAACCAGCATAAGAATCTGCCAATGTAAATATTTTTAACATTTATATATTATTAGCCTATCAGAGAAAAAACTACTCTCAGAGAATACTTATTTTTGTCTTCCCTCCCTTCCATTTTTTTTTTTTACTTCTTTCCTTCCTTCTTTTATTTAAAAAATTTTCATGGAATGTCGAAATATGGTGTTCTGTATAGAGCAGATGCTAAGAATTATAGATGGATATTTTGGATTACTATATTTGAGCAGGAAACTGTCTGTGGTAGCAAACTGAAAACTTTAGGAATAACTGTGCTTTTTAAATGGAGGCAGATCCAAAGGATTTTACGTGTTTCAAGCACATTTTTACCCTGAGCAGAAAGATATCTACATCCTCATTTGGTATTGATCCAGAACATTCCCCAAATGTGGAACATTTAATGGCTCCAGATGTTTTTCTATGTGTATTGGGCAGGTGCACCCACATCTAACCCCAAATCTCGTGTCACTGTAGTGCAGACACTGCCATTCGGATGGAAATGTTTTCTTCCTTGAAGCTCTTTTTGGTAACTGCTCTGTATACACACACACACCTGCTGTGCCTAGAGGTAGAACTATTTCCAGTGTGTTCTGACCCTTTACCCCATTTCAGCATGGGATAACCAGACATTGCCAACCCCTCATATTCGTTTTCCTGCCCCTCATCCAGCAAGAGGCTGGGTCCAGGGTACCTGGCACCTGCCAAGGATGCCTTTCTTCCTGTCTGTGGGTCTGGAAGCTGGAAGGTGCTCATGGATCCAAAAATCAATGTTTCTGGGACTCTCTTTCTTTGGAGCACAAAGAATCCTGGCTGGGTGACAACCCAGAGGTGGCATGTCAGTCTAAGAATAGCTTGGGGCACTGAGCAGGCGTCTCAGTGGGTGGGGCAGAGCTGAGAAGCTGCCTCTGTGATTTACTCACATTTGCTTGCTGCTCCTCACCAAGTGCAGGCTCCTAAATTGCAGAGCGGGGTCCCAGTGTGTGGTCATTTAGCACACATGGAAGATACAATAACCACAGAATGTGTCTCAGAGTCACCCTTAGAGTATCTTACTTCGGAAAAAAACCCTGGAAAATAAGTAATTTGACTTGCCCTTTATAGAAGACAAAAATAATTAAGGGGCAAGACTGTTTAATCAATCTGTCAGTAAATAAAATTGATTCAGCATCTATTGTGTTACAGAGAGCTCCTTGCACTCCACTATAAATCGACTGCCAAATATCTGTGTTCTGGAGCCTCTAACCTGGAGAAAGGAGATGCGGCTTAAGTTCTCTAATTGGTTCTTCTTATATTTTAATGTGCATGCAAATTACCTGGGGATCCTGTTCAAATGCACATTGTGACTCAGTAGGTCTGGCTGGGGCCCAGAGGCTGCATTTCTAACCAGCTCCCTGGTGCTGCTCCTCCTCCAACTCTCTGGAGTGGCTGAAAACCCTGCTCTCACCCAATGCTGGAATTTCTTCTTAATCAACAGCATTGTTAATACAATTGAAAGAATGGTGAATTGAGTGTCACTATATGTGAGTTCTGGCTCAGCCACTCATTAGTGGGTAAATTTGAGACACTCTCCCTCCCCTGTAGAAGCCACATTCCACTTTATTATTTTCTCAACTCTAACCTCATCCCTAGTCTCCAAAAGCCCCTCTTGTTGTAGGGGTGCATCCAGTGTGGACCACGCCAGTCAGCTGGGGTTGAGGAGCCAAGGACTTGTTGGACTAAGACTTTCCTGTCAATGGCCCTGCCTTTGGAAGGTGTTTTTTGTTTGTTTGTTTGTTTGTTTGTTTTTAGGAGAAGACTATTTTGAGAGTAATGCATTGGTGACTTATTCAAGGCCACCATGAGAAGAAGTGGTGGGTGGGGCAAGTGGATCTGTGAGATCCATTTCGATGGTGAAGAGAGGAGAGCAGGAACAGGAATCATGAGAGGCAGGAGCACAGCAAGAGGGAGTACGTCTAGGGAAGGAAACAAAACAAAAATGAAAAAAGAAACTGCAAAGGCAAAAAGCAATAGATTGTGTTGAGGAGGGGAATAACTGGAGCATGAACCAGTGTTTTGGCAGCAGGCATAAAAAGACAGAGAATTTGAGAGGTAGCACAAAAATGATATGCTAAGCCTTGTGGAGGGGCGTGGAGTGAAAGGAATTGCAGAGGCAAAGGGAAGTCAAGGGTGCAGTTTGTGGTGAAAGTACAAACTGGCAGGGGCTGAAGATGGGTATTTATTTGGATGGCAGGCCTGAGAAATCAGGCTCGGGGAGGCGGACGAAGGCTTTGAGTGAGGTAAGGTTTTGTGAAGGCTGAATTTTCAGGTGTCAATGAGTAGAAAATGCAGGACAGAGAATCTGGTGGGACGTGAAGAATGCCAAATGGATGGAAGAAAATAGCCTTTCAGTGGAGACCTAGAGTCTGCTAGTGTCAGCAGAGGAGTGACAAATGGGACCCAAGAGGGCCCCTGATTCTACCTCCGTGGTCACCTGATGTATGGAACACTGTGCCCTCATCCTCTCCAAGCTCAGCTCCTGCAGACCCAGTGCTCATTCTCATGCCTGTTTTAACAGTGGAGGCTGGACATGAGCTTGGCAGTGGGCATACACGGTGCACCGTCTCCAAAGGCACAGAGACTTCTCAGAAGTTAAGTCAGTGTGGAGAGTGCTGCTATGTGTGAAGGAAACCAAGGAAGCTGCATGTTGCCTATCTGCTTCTCTCAAGACGATCTCAGCACCCAGATCTTAGCAAAGGGCTAAAAAGCTCAGGATAGTGAATTTAAGAGCAGTGACATCACTTCTGAGCTTGGTCCCGTAGCTACAATAGTGTGGCATGCGTCAGAAGGTGCTTCATATCACTCTAATTATGGGCAGCATAATTGACCATGGGGCCAAGCTTCTGGACTGTGAAACCCATTGCTGTGTTAGCTCAGCCATGACTGGATGTGTCAGGGAGGCCAAGAGAGGGCTGTTCCTGGGACAGGGACTCCTCTGACAGTTATCTTAAGCTAGAGGACTCACTGACAGCCTTGCCAAACCTTCTAGCCTTCCTTGGACTGCACGGCAATCTAGGATGCTTCCATCCAACGTGCTCCCTCTTTCTCCTTCGCTTGGGGTCATGGTGGTCCGGCAGCTGTCCCAGCCTTACCCACTCCCTCCCCATTCCCTCTCACATAGATACTACCTTTAATGAAAGTCTTGTGTATTTAATCCTTCTGCTTCTTGTAGGACCCAGACTAACACAAGTGGAGGCCACTGAGGAGGAGAATAGGAGCCAAGTTTGTATCAGCTAGTGATACAAATACCAGGAAGGGAGAGGATTCTTGGAAATGCACACAAGCTGAAGTGAAGGAGCTGAGGCCAAGGTATGGAGATATCAGGGAAGATGATCCTGGGCATTACTTATTCCCATACTCATACCCTTGAACCTTTTGCTAAAGTTTCTATGCCCCTTCCACAATCTCTGTTGTAAGCCTGTCAGTCGCTGGCCACCACCACCTTCCGTCTACCCAGCTTACTCCTCTGTATCCCCACTCCAACAACTCTCCCACCTACCAAAATAGACAGCCCATGGATCCTGCCTGCCAACTTTAACTGTCCCTCTCCCCATCTTCCCTTGCCCTCCTTAGCCTGCTTAGCCCTCACTGATTATTATCATCTCCCCTGTGTATCAGTGCATTCACTCTCCCATTGCACTGGCTGGCAAATCTCCAACCTCAGTTAAAGCCAACTCTGCACCTACTCCATACTGACACGAATGCAACTGAAAATGGCTAGAGGAACAAAAAAATCCATGATGTTACTTTAAACTTATGGTCACAAACCTCAAATGAGCCCTCAGCTCTGGTGGGCAATGCCACACTATCTTTCCTGTCCATTCACTCTCCTACATACGATTTCTCACTTTCTCTTTCCTCAAACAACTCCTCTCCCTTTCACCATTTTTTTTCTTCTCCATAATGGTGACTCCATTATTCTAGTTACTCAGGCCAAAACCTTGAAGTCAGCCTGGATTCTTCCCTTTTTCTCACATCCTGCATCCAAGCCATTAGCAAACCCTGCTGGCTCCACCTTCTAAGCAGCTCCAAAATCAAACCACTTCTTATCACTTCCCCTGTCTCCATCACCTTGTGCCTGGGCTGCTGTGGCACCTCCTAATTGGTATTCCTGCTTCCTTCTGATCTTGCCTGCCCACTCCCAGTCTATTGTTAACACAGCAGCCAGAGTGATCAAATTAGATCATATTGTTTTTCTGCTGACAACCTTCCCATAACTTTCTAGCTCACTTAGAGCAAAAACCAAAGTTGTTATGATAGAAGGCCCACAGGCTCTGCCTCCCGTCACTGCCAGCACCACCTTTTTTTTTTTGAGACAGAGTCTTACTTTTATTGCCCAGGCGTGATCTCAGATCACTGCAACCTCCAACTCCCAGGTCCAAGCGATTCCCCTGCCTCAGCCTCCTGAGGGATTACTGGTGCCTGCCACCATGCCCGGCTAATTTTTGTACTTTTAGTAGAGAAGGGGTTTCATCATGTTGGCCAGGCTGGTCTCAAACTCCTGACCTCAGGCCATCCACCCGCCTCTTGCCTCCCAAAGTGCTGAGATTACAGGCATGAGCCACTGCACCCGGCCGACACCACCTCTTATTTCCCACTGGCTTTGCTCTTTCCACTCTAGCCTCACCCATCAATCCTCCTTGACCACCCTGCCCCTGCCCGCTGGTCTCCTCACCATCTCTTGGACACGTCAAGGATGTCAGCACCTTTGCACTCACTGTCCCCTCTATATAGAGCCCTCTTTCCCCACTGCTGAATTCCTCGGTTCCTTCACGTCTGCTCTTCGGTGTCACCTTTCGATTTGGCCTCCCTGGTCTCACCATATGGAACGGCAAAGACTTTCCCCACCCCAGCACTCTATCCTCTGTAACCTGCTCAGTGCATTCTCCTTACTTGGCACAGAGTGCCACCCGACATGTGGTATGTTTGACTGTTCGTTGTCTGTCTTCCTAACCTAGATTGTAAGTGCCACCAGGGTAGTGTCCCTGCCCACACACTGGTGCACAATATATAGTAATTGGATTACGGAATGAATGGAAGTTAAAAGAGGGAATAGGGTCCAGCTAATGAGAGAAACACAGAGGGTAGGTTCAGACCGCAAAAGGATGTTCTCAGGGGAAATATTTTAGTGGAGAAGGCAAGAAACACACGGGGAGAGTCGGAGAGGTTCTCATGATGGAAAGGCAGGGCTGACTCTGAAGTCAGGACTCCTTCCATGAACATGAAGCTCCCATTCTGAGCCTTAGTCACCTTATATCTGCAAAATGAGGATGGGAGTGGCCTGCTTCCCCTGGTTATTGTGAGGCTCACATGGAATGGTGCTTGCATGAGGCCTGACATGTGGGGGGACTCAGGAGGGTTGGCTGGGCTTGAATCGGGCCCATGGCAGGGCCAAGTCCCCCTGTGCCCTCCCAAGTGGAACTGAGGCTGAATATCAGCCACCATTTGCTCCTTGCAGAACTAATTAGATCATGGAAACCCATCTCAGGTGAGGGGAAAGGTCCACAGGGGTAGACAGTTGCAGGACTTGAAATCAAAGTGCAGTAAAGAAGGAAAGGATGGGGCTGGGAGTGAAGTGGAAGGCATAGTCAACCTGTGGGGGGCTGGGCGGGGACTTCCCAGCCTCTGCCTGTAGCCACAGGAAGGAGCAACCTTAAGGGAAAACAAGTGATGATGTATTTCTGTATTCAGAACAGTGACATTGCTCCAGAAAAAAATGAGAGGAGATTATGCAGGAAGAGAATTGAGTCTGTCAGGAGCTTCAAGAAAGAAAGAAAAAAAAAAAAGACGTAGAAAGGAGCTGTTTGTTGCTCTTTGTTCAGGTTTTTGTCTCAAGAGTCTGTTTATAAAAATGTTCTCTCTTGGCCAGCCTCTTTCACTGCAGCCTGGATGCTCTGACCCCACCCCCTCCCCACCTTGCTCTTGTTTGAGTTAAAGCTCTTTCCTTGATTAAATAATGAATAAAAGCTCTTCTCAAGCCTGACTTTGCTGGTCCTAGGGAGAAATTACAGATATATGTACATACATATACACGCAAACTGCCTGAGATAAAGAGGCTTGGGATAAACAGGTTTCTGGTTTTTTTTTTTCTTTTAAAGAAATGTTATTCACAAACTACACTCACAAATAACACAAATGTAAACTAGGGCAAACCAGCCCAAGTGCAGCTAAATAGTTTGACTTAATAAAGCTCTTGGATATAAAAGCATTTACTTTCATTTAAAATTATGATATTCTTTTTTTTTTTTTTTTTTGAGATGGAGTTTCGCTCTTGTTGCCCAGGCTGAAGTGCAATGGCACGATCTCGGCCCACTGTAACCTCCACCTCCTGGGTTCAAACAATTTTCCTCCCTCAGCCTCCTGAGTAGCTGGGATTACAGGCATGTGCCACCATACCCGGCTAATTTTGTATTTTTAGTAGACATGGGTTTTCTCCATGTTGGTCAGGCTGGTCTCAAACTCCCGACCACAGGTGATCTGCCTGCCTTGGCCTCCCAAAGTTCTAATGATATTTATTTTTTAAAATCGGTTGGGGCCTTCTCCTCTAGGGTTGCTCTCTCAGATGGGTACTGAGCTATATGTATTATTGTCTGTACTTGGCAGGATTATCCAATTCATAACCAATGTTTTTATTTGGCTTTTTTTCTCAAGGCTTGTCAATTAAGGCAAAACTATTTGCAGTGTACCATCTGAACAACCTTTATGTCTTCAGTCCAGAGGACTGGCCTTGCCCATTTTCTCTCTGCCCACCCTGCTCTCCACGTGTTAAACCTCTCTAATTGTATCCTACAGCTGTAAAAAGGAGGAATGGCACTCCCAGCTGGCCCGCCCATTTACCTGTGGGGGCTTTACCCTTTTATCTGTTCTAGATTGGTCCCTTAAATTTTGGAAAAAAAAAAAAAAAAAAAAAAAAAAACTACAGGAAGGCTCATTTAATGGCATAAAATGAGCAAATCATGTACAGATTTCTGAGCCTAGTTCATTCATGTTTAGCTACAGATTGGTTAACAGTATTTGTAAATTCACAGAGGATCCTGCAGCCAGGAGACTAAATAGAAGCACAATCCTGAAATGCAAGACTTGCTCCTATGCACATATTGGCTAATATTAATCTATCTGTCCATCCATCCATCCATCCATCCATCCATATATCCATCTGTCCATGCATCCATGCATCCATCCTTCCATCCATCCAACAATTATGTATTCAATGACTATATTGTATAGGCACTGGGAACACAGAGATAAGTAAAAACAGCACCATGTCTGGCCTTGAGGAGCTTGAAGTCTAGTGAGGAAGATAGATATCAATCCAATAATCACCCTAATGAACAAATAATAATGAACTTAGGAAAGTGTTCTGAAGGAAAGGAACATGGTTTAATAAAACATATTACTGGAATGGGGTCAAAAAAGATTTCTCTGAAAAATTAATGCTTCAAAGAGATCAAGACAATGAGTAGGACTCAAATAAGGAAGAATGTAGGGGTACATTCTAGAAAGAGGGGTTTAAGGAGCATAGGGAATTTGAGCAAGAGAGGAAATGAGGCTGGAGCTCAGAGAGCAAGACAAGAGTGGTGAATGATTAGCCTAGAAGAATAGACTCAAACCGTACTAATTATCTATTTCTGCCTAACAAGTTGCCCTAGAATTTAGCACCTTAAAACAACAAACATTTATTGTCTCATAGTTTCTGTGGGTCAGGGATTGTGGAGCAGCTTAGCTGTGCAGTTCTGATTCAGGGTCTCTCTGAAGTTACAGTAAAGACACTGGCAAGAGCTGCCATAATCCGCAGGCTTGTTTGGGACCACAGAATCTGTGTACAGGATCTCTCACTTACACGGCTGTGGGCAGGAGGCTTCAGTCCTCACCATGTGGACTCTCCACTGGGCCCCTTGAGAGTCCTCATGATGTGGCAGCTGGCTTCCCCAAGAGCAAGGGATCCAAAAAGGAGAGCAACAGGAAGCCCTAATTCCTTTTATGTCCTAATCTGGAAGTTACACCTTATCCCTTCTACCATGTTCTACTTCTTAGAGGGGAGCCAGTAAGTGTAGCCCACACCCAAGGGGAGAAGAATCAGCTCCACCTTTTGAAGGGGGAGTGTCAAAAAATTCATGGACATATTTTAAAACCACCACAAAAGCCAAGAGGACGTTATAGCTTTGTTGAGATGTGTTTGTTTGCTAAGGCTGCCATAATAAAGTTCTACAGACTGAGTGGCTTAAACCATAGATATTGACTTTCTCATGGTACTGGAGGCTAGAAGTCTGAGATCAAGGTGTCAGCAGGGTTGGTTTCTTTAAGTTCCCTCTCCTTTGATTGTAGATGTCTTCTTCTCACTGTGTCTACACATGGCCTTCTCTGCCTGATGGTGCCCTAATATCTTCTTATAAAAACACCAGCCATAGGGGATTAGGGCCCATTCTAATGTTCTCACTTTAACTTAATTGTCTCATTAAAGTCCCTATCTCCAAATAAGATCACATTCCAAGTACTGGGCGGGGTAGGATTTTAACATATGATTTTGAGAACATAATTGAGCCCATAAGGATTTTGGTATTTATTGTTACAGCAATAGAAAAGTACTAGAGTAATTTAAGCATAGGGGTGGCACTATTTGCATTTAGAATTTCCTCTGGTTGCAATGTGGGATCTGATTGGACAGTGAACAGTGAAATTCAAAAATTTATTTATTTGAATGCAAAACTGATAGGACTTTGGATAGATTGAATATGAAGGGCAAGAACAAGGGAGGTCAGGTCCGTGATGATGCTTGGATTTCTGGCTAGAGACACTGAATGGTTGTGACGTTTTATCTCTAGTGAGATAAAGAATGATGGAACAGGTCCAGATTCAGAAGTGATGGCAGGAAGACCATGAATTTGTTCTGATTGTGGAGTGTTGAAGAGCCTGGAGGTCAACCAAGTAGGGATATCCCTTGGGATACTGTATGGTACTTTGTTATAAGACTGAGAGGAAAAGTCTAGACTGTAAATATTGGATTCTGAGCCATTGGCAGAGAGGTGGTGTCTGAAGAGAGGACATGGGTAAAACTAGACATAAATACAACATGAGTAAGAAGAGAAAGGATCCTGGGATTGAGCCTCAAAGAACTCTGGCATATACAAACAGTGGATTTTGAAGGCTTATTCTTCTACTTTTTACATATACTGAATTTAAAGGCATTCCTCAGCTAAGTCTTTATAGAATTTGATGTTTTATATACATGAATAAGTTAAGGACAAGAGAGCAGTTGAAATGTACTTCAGCATGGTCCATGATTTTATTGTACAGAAAGTTATTGCTCATCATCCCTCGTGCTGGACACATGCAAGGAGGCTGGCTTCTCCATTTCATGCATGTATACACATTGCTGGAAATGAGATCAAATCAGATGAGATTGGGCGCATTCAGGGTGTTGGGGCTGTAGACGTGAGATTCAATCAAAGCATTCTCAGTCCTATGTGGCAAATTTTAGAACAGTCACCTGTAGAACACAGTGTTTGCCTCATCCCCATCCCTCTTGTGAGTCAGGAATGGCCAGGAGAGGAGGCATTGTGAATGACAGCGTACAGATGGGCTCCTGGGAAACCTAAGAGGAGGGAGGGAAATTAATCATCAAAGTCTCCTTGGATAACCACATTTCCCACATGTGACACAGGGGATGATCAATGGAGACGGGGCTCTAGGGCCCTGGCAAACAGGTAAACAGATCATCTTAGAGGAGGATTTCTGTCGGGAGACAGTTTGTGTTCCTAAACTAGGATGGTTAATTTGATGCCACACATGATTGAGCACCTTCTCTGTGTCCCACACATGTGTAGTACAGGTTACAAGGGAGACAGGTGGATGGTGGAGGGTGTTTGAGAAATAAAAGAGAAGTGAGCAGTGTGGCCACTCCAGCCTCAGAGACTCCTGGAGAGGTAACAGAGAGCAAGCTGGGATTGTGTGTGATGATGCAGTACTTTTTGGGAAATAAGTCTCTTTTTTCCAAAGACTGTGACCTCATTACCTCTAACATTCTATGTAGTTTACAACTGTTTGTCATGTTTGTAGTTTATTGTCTGTGTCCTGTCACTTGAATAACTTTACAAGTGCAGAGGTCTGTGTCTGTTTTCCTCAATGGCATATTGCAAGCACCTGGAACAGTGCCTGCACAGAGTAGATGTTCAATGAATATTTGTTGGATGAATGAATGGGTGAACATTCTTCCCAATTCTGTGAAGCAGGACTGATATGGTTCTCCCTACATGTGATGTTGTCTCCCTGCATACGTCCTCACCAGTTCACATAACAATGTGTAACAAATAATCCCTCTTTACCCTATTTGTCTCTGTTTGTCTGCACACCTTGAAGGAAGGTAGGGCCTATACTAGGGCCTGTGAAGTTCATGACTCTTCTTCCCAAGTCTCCCACTGCCCTTTTCATGAGACCTTCCTCTCCTCTCCCCTGTTAGTGGACCCATTCAGGGCAGTAACTCCTCTGGCCACCTCTCCACTGCTTACTCCTGCTTAGCCCTCAGTGAGACTGATCTTTGCCCATGGTGTTCTCTCAACTGTACGTGGGAAAATGAGCTTACTTGTTTATAGCTGCAAATTAAAGACTTTATTCTTCAAGTGTGCAAATTTCAGACCCAAGGCAGATGGAAAGATGGATGAAGGGAACTTGAGGCACTCTCCACTTATATTAACCATCGCTAGGGCAGATGCCACGCACACATATATTTGGTCCATCTTGGAAGGATGTGACAAGAACCAGTAAATTCCCAGATGGCCCCTGTGCCTCCTCTCTGGAGGTCCAGCCAGGGCCATGTCTAGCTGCACAAGACCATGTCCCAAGCATTGCCAGGGGCAGAGCCAGGTCTTTTCCCAGTCCTGGAGTGTCCCGACCCAGACCATGTTTTCCCTGGCTCTCTTCAATGGCCCCTCTTCTTGCATGTGTCTGCCCCAAGGTTAATTGGCATCTAATTTCATTTTATCCCTCTTATTCCCTTTCCTGACACCCACGGATACATTTTGCTCCATTCATTGTTACTTCCACCTCTGGTAATAGCATTTTGACTGTGAAGTATGTCATGGGAACCGAACTACTTTGCCGATGCAAAGTGCAAAATTGAACTTAATTAAGAATGAAAATTAATTATATATGAAATAATTTCTGAGAGGTTGTAGAGATGAATGTGGGTATTCTTCTCAAGGAAGCCCCTCAGAGGAGGTGAGGCTTGGATGAGTCTTGAGACAGGAATTGGAGCCATTTCAGGATGGCATGGGATAGCCCTCCTGAAACGGAATGCATGTGGGAATATCACACGATGGTTTTGGCAGCTAGGGAGAGAATGAGCCTGAAGAAAAGGTTTGTGTTGGAGAATAGAGCAAAAATAAGAAATCTGATTACTCCCCACAGCTGCAGGCTGCCTGTCTGTCACCTAAGCTAACAGGTTTCCCCTGATCTGAGCATTGAAACCGACAAAGAGATTAATAAACCAAGTTTGGGGCTGAAAAAGGACAGGACCTACCGAGAACTCAGTCAGTACCTGTTTAAGGCTCTGAAGCTGATTTTTAGGGCCTGGAAAGAAGGGGCTGGGTCTGGCTTGTTAAGGAACACAGTGGGTAGAGAGACCAGAGATTTCACTTTTGAGTAGCCTCTCTGTGCCTCAGTTGTCTCATCTAGAATTTGGAGAGAATAACAGTATCTCCTTTTTAGGCTTGTTGTGGGAATTAAAGTTAGTTAAAACACAGGAAACTCTTACAACTGTGCCTGTCACATAATAAGTTCTTTGTTGTTACTACTACTACCTTCCTCTTCCTCCTCCTCTTATAATTATCATCATCATTAATATTACTATTTTGAAACCGTTGATCTCTCAACTTCCTTGACATCACTTTCTCTAGGTTTTCTTCCTACCTGTGGCCTGCGTTTCCCATCCTGCTCTGCAGAGCCACCTTGTTCTGCTCTGCTGCTGGGTGTTAAGGTGTGGATAGGACTGGACACCCTTCTCAGCTGCATGCTGTCCATGGTGCTATCCAACTACTTACTATAGAGATGTTTAATTAACATCTCAAGTTTAAAATGGCCCCAAAGAACTCTTGACTTCCTGTGCCAAACACCCCAACAAATTCTTCATCCAACAGTCCATTTTAACAAATGCTATCATGACTCACCAAGTTGATTAGTTCCCAAACCTAGAAGGTTTCCTTGATTTGTCATTCTGCTTCACACCTCATATCCAATCCATCAGCCAGTCTCATGTATCTTACTTCCTAAATCTATCTAGAATATGTTCAATCTTCTCTCCTCCTTCAATGACTCCCACCCTTCCCTCAGCTGCCATCACAATAGTCTCCTAACTCACTCCACCTGTTTCTCTTTTGTTCTACTCCAATACTTCTCTGCGCAAAGCCAGAGGGAACATTAAATAATTACTTCAGATCAAGTCCAGTGACTTGTTATCACAATCAAACTTAAACCCAAATGGCTCCCCCTGGCACTTAAGCCAAGAGGATCCAGTCCTGCCTAGCTCTGCACCTGCCTCACCACCTCTCATCCTCCCAACTGCTCTGCTACAGCCACACGGGTCTTCCCTCCTGTCCTCAAACCCACCCAGCTTATTCCCACCTGGGGACTGAGCTGTGTCTTCTGAGAGTCATGTGGAATGCCCCTTCTTGCTCTTTATGACTCAGTGTGACTGTCACCTTCTCAAGAGGACTTTCCTGGTCACCCCATCTAGAAGTAGCAACCCCATCACTCACTCTCACATCAGTCTATTTTAATGCTTTGCACACTTGTCACCAGATCATATGTTCTTGTGTAAACATTTGTTGATTCTCTTATGATGTCCAGACACTGAAGCAGAGACCTCATCTGTCTTTGTCACTTCAGTACTTCAGAGCCTATAACAGTACCCCACACGTAGTAGGTACTCAAATCAAAATTTATTATGTTTATTGAGTTATAAAGATCCACGGCAATGTAATAGAATAAAAAGACATAGCTTTGGCCCGGATCTAAGCCAAAAGCCTGGTTCTTCCTATATGAACTTGTAATTTTGCCTGTAAACCTGCTTACAGCTGTATGACCTTGAACTTGCTTACCAACTCTGAGCCTTGACTTATCCATTTGTTAAATAGCAGTACCATTATCCTACTTAATGTTGTGACAATTACATGAAACAATGAATCATGGAAAATAGTGTGTGTTGCCTATTATTGATTCACAACAAATTCTACCTATTAGTATTGAGCCTCTGGGTAGTAACGGAAACCGAGGCCTCAGGTATTGGAGAAAAGGACTTAGTGAGAAAGAAACCCTCTGCCTGTAGATTGAATAAGCACAGTGAGAGAGAGAAAACGCAGCCTGCAGTCTTCCCTCACCCCTCCCTGTCTGGCCACCCTGTTATAATGCTGCTGTTGGCAGTGCCATTAAAATGTGCATAAATATTGGTGCATTCTAATGGGATGGCATCGAGGCCAATAAAGGCAATGAGAGGCAAGGTTATTGATGTCTGTCTGAGGGCCTCCACGGGACCCAAGCCAGGGCTGTAACAAGGATCCAGAAGTTGCATCAAGCCAATTGATTCTCTATCACCCCAGGAAGACACGCATTCAAGGGAGCTGGCAGCCTGGCCAGCCATAGCCTGCGTTAATGAAAACATGCAAATAGCCCTGCTCCCAGCATCATTTCCCTCCCTGGAAGCTTGCAGGCCTCCAATCTAAGAGGTATTTGGCACCTTGGATTTGTACAGATGAAAACAATGGGGAAAAAAACCTGGGGTAGATTAAGGTATTCGGTCATGCTACCTGGTATCCCTGTGGAAAGACGGGCTCTTTGTGACATGTTTTAGCAAGCAGGGAGGTGATGAAGAGGCAGTGTGCCACTGTCTGGAGTCCCTCTGGGTGGCCAAGATGTTGCATAGTGGCCTGGTGAAGGACAAAGAGCCCTAGGCAGAAGCCAGGAGAAGATTCCAGGCTCAGGCCTCTGGTCCTCTCTGGGCTTCACATGAGCCATCAGTGGGAGGGTTTCCGACGTGGTCCTACAGAGACAGCCAGGGCATTGAGGCCTGCAGGATGCCAAGAACTCTAGTTACCTGTGTGCTTGCCATCTCCTCACTAGACTGGGAGCCCCCTGAGGTTAGTGGCCGTGTTTTATTCATTTATGGATTCCCAGAGCACAACATAGTGCCAAGCATGCAGAGGTCACTGTATAATGTTTGCTGAGTGAATGACTTTGACAACACCATCTCTGGCTTCTGTCATAAAAGACATGGCCTTGGCCTTGCAGCATGGAAGAAACTCTCTGAGAGGGCAGAAAGATGAGAATGGAAGTGACTTACAGAGAACTGGCTCATGGGTAGGGAGTTTTGGGAAAAAACAAACAGAAACTTAGGGCCTAGTCCTCACTGCACTCTGACTTTACCAAACAAAGTCACATGTTGCTTCTGAATTCTGTTAAATCCAGCCAGCTTTAGGGATTGCTAGTGGCAAAGGCAAGGCCTCTCAGGTACCCACACCATGCAAATTGCATCCTCATTTCCTTCCTTTCTAACTGGTCCCACTGCCCTCTGCTTCCTGGGTTACTCAGTGGACAAAACAGAACAAAACTGGGGTCTGTGGCATTTGGGGTCTGCAACAGACTCAGTCATTCTCTTCCTCATTTGTTCATTCATTCATTTGCTCAACTAATGTTCATTTAGCATCTGCTTTGCTCCAGGCAGAGAGATTTCCTGGGCAGTCACAACAAAACGGAATAGCAAGCCTCATCACAGTTATTTAGAAAGCTCACTGCCTCCTTTCTTCCCGGCCTCTTCTTAAGTCAGGGCTGATTCTGAAGTGCTCATTCTCAAGTCTGCAACCCTAATGAGAAGCACAGGAGCTGTAGATAGGCTTGTCTGCCACAACCCCCGTGGGACTGGGGCTCCTCCCTGTACCCAGCCTAGAATGCTCTGGAACCTTGGCACTCAGCAGAGCTGAGGGCTCATTTGACACAAGGCATCCAGGGCCCTAGTTATTGAAATGTCAGAAGTGCTCATTAGAAGTCAGTTTCCTCTATGTGAGACGCTTGTTCTCCCATCGTGTTCCCAAGGAGGCTGGGGAGAAGGGGAGTACAGCGCTCTGACCCATCTAATTTAATTTATAACTTATGTCACAGCAGCAATTAGTATGTATTGTTTACATTCCTTCTTAACACTTTCCCCAAATCCCTGGGTGTTTGAGATGGCTGGTGTATTCACGCCCAGCTTGCTGGAAGATTGGAGCGTATTCTGGGGGAGGGGAGGGTGTGGTGGGGGGCGCTAACAGCAGAAGATAGGGAGGGCTGGGCAGTCTTCAGCCTGAGCCATATGGGATGCATCTTGCTTGAAGCATGTGATCCTGACAGGGCATCTGCCTCACATTGTGGCTCATGTTTTCTCGGTGTGGGGAGCAGGGGACTTCATCATGAATTCAGTCCCCATTATTGTCTTTCGAAAAGAAAAGAAGGCACATGGGAGATGAGGCTGGGCATGAGCTAGCTCAGCATACCACCTCTCTTCTTCATTTCGGGGTTAACTATGTCTAGAAAGGTTTAGAAATGGGGAAGAAGTAAGCTGGAAGTTTCTGGGAGAAAGAAAAGGAAAGGAAGGGACAGAACATGTTGCTTTGTTTTGAATGCTATGTTCTTCCTATTATAGCATGCTTCCTTTCAGTGGGTGTAAAGAATTGATGGGACTAATGCAGACTGAACATTTGGAAAAATAAGCCTTTGTAAGAAGACCGTAATGCAGGGGTAAAGGCAGGGGCTGGAGACAGAGTAAGCAGAGGTGTCTTAGAGAAACTTAAGGGCACGAAGGGGGCTCTAAGAGATAAGAAAAGTGAGTAAGAAGAGAAGTGAGATGGTGCTTGTCAGTGGAAATGATGATGTTCTCTTTTCTCCTCTGGCCAGAGCTTAGTGGAGGGAGGCAGGACAGGCACCAGTGGAGAGGAGAGGGAGGCACCAGAGCAGGCAGAGCTGAGCCCAGGAGGACTCTGACTAAGCTTTAGCTCATGCCATGGTGCCTTGGGAATGTCTGGGGCTGAGCATAGATGCAACTGTGCTCCCAAGTCTTTCCTGCCCTCTCAGGGAAAATAATCTAGAATCCCTAGCAATCCCACTACTGGGTATCTACCCAGAGGAAAAGAAATCATTTTATCAAAAATACACCTGCACTCACATATTTATCACAGCACTATCCACAGTAGCAAAGTCATGGAATCAACTTAAGTGTCCATCAATGGTGAGCTAGATAAGGAAAATTTAGGACATGTACACCATGGAATACTACGCAGCCATAAAAAGAATGAAGTCATGTTCTTTACAGCAACATGGATGCAGCTGGAGGTCATTATCCTAAGTGAAATAATGCAGAAACAGAAAATCAAATACCACATGTTCTCACTTATAAGCGGGAACTAAACAATGGGTACAAATGGACATAAAGATGGAAACAGTAAACACTGGGGACTCCAAAAGAGGGGGATGGAGGGGACAAGGGTTAAAAAACTACCTATTGGGTACTATATTTACTATTTGGGTGATGGGCTCAATCGAAGCATTATGAAATGTACCAAGCATTACAAAATATACTCTTGTAACAAATCTGCACACATACCCCAGAATCTATAATAAAATAAAATAAGAATCCCTAATGGTAGGCAAAAGGGAATGAGTTTTGCAAACTAAGACTGGCCAGGAACTCTCTTCATCTATACGCAGTCTTCAAATTAATGTTTGGTGTGAGCATTACTAGTGCTCTCTATGACACATCTAATGACTCTGTTGAATGTGGTTTGTCTTCTATTTTAGATTTTCCAAGATGATTGAAGAAGCAGGAGTGATAGGTGGTACACCATGAAAATAGTTCTCAGTTTTATCAGGAAATGAACTTGGGGGAATTAACTAGCCAGGGATTACAAGAAACTGGCCTTTAGTGTGGCCTATAAATGAGTGTTCAGTAAGTGTTGTTTGAATACATGAATAACTGTTAGCTGGAGAAGCAAATCATGGCAAATAAAAAACTTATGATTTTTTTCCTTCTTATTGAAAAACACTCTGTGTGTGTGTGTGTGCGTGTGTGCGTGCAATCAAAATTGAGATCCAGTCTCAAGCCTGGTGGTAGAAAGCTTCTTGCAAAAGGAGCCATAATGCTTATAATTCTACTGTTGAATAGTAACATTTGTTTAAGGCCACTTCTCTCATTTCTTCAGGTCCAGATGAAATCTCTGAGCAACACATGAGAACCACAGTGTCAGGGGACTTAAAAAAAAAAAACAGCTAATGGTTTGTTTGAGTAAAAAAGGAACAAAAGGCAAATGTTAGCTATTTCCCAATGAAATAATTATGGGATTTTGCAGAGGGAGATGTTTGGGGGGATGATTTGGGACCTGAGAAAACTAGGTAGAAGGCTGATGTAGGGAAGAGCTGATGGTCACTTTGACATACTTAATATGATGACGCCTCTAATCCCAGGGTATAGACTTTGACTATTTTTTTCCTTTAAAGGCGACAAATTGAACCAAGCCAAGACACACCTTCTTATCCTGCTCCTTCATGCCATGGACACCCATTTGAGAGAATATTGGCCAGGATTCATGGTCATGGGCAGAATGAAACTCATGGGCCCAACAGGGGTCAAATCCATGAACTTAACCTTATCCCCACAGTTCTCTAACTGGTGGAATTGACTAGCCAGAGATTGCTGGGAGAGTGGCCTTTAATGTGGCCTGACAGCAGTGTGCAATGAGTATTGTTTGAATATGTGAATGAACTGTTAGCTGGAGAAGCAAATCATGGTGGAGAAAGGTCACAGGTCAGTTATTGGATTTGTGATTTATTCATAAGGAGATGATTGGTGAAGTTTCAAGTCTTTTCCTTGAGTACTTAGGAAAAAGCAAGCCTGAAATAAATTGAAGATCAATTACTGAGGGACAAAAAGGTGAAAAGATCTCAGAAGCAACTCAGAGAGAACAAAGTGAGGAAAATCCAGAGAATAAGGGGTCCCAGAATTCCAGGGAGAAGGGCTATCCAGAATGTGGAAAGTATTGAAGAGTGGAGGAGAATGAAGAGTCAGATCTAATATAACTTAGAGGGGAAGAACCAAGCCCCCTTGATGAAAAAAAGGAAATAGGAAAAGCCAGAAAGGAAGGGTTGGATGTCTAAAATAAACAGAACCTTAACTGATTTGGGGTTTCCCAAAGTTCTGAGGAAGAGGAGTGTGTGGGGTTGAGTTACATCAATAAAGGGGCTTCAATGATGAAAACACTTTGGGAAATTCTAGGTTAAACCATGATAAACAGAGTTCTTTCCCATAGACTTCGGAGCCTTTAATATGATCATGTATACTGTCAACCTCCATAAGGAAAATGCATTACTGGCATTTTCTGAACCTAGCTAACTATAGAGCACTCTTTTTCATGGAGCATTTGACAGAGAAGGTATTCAAAGAACATACTTCAGAAATGTTCAATATGCATCATTCATACTGGGTCTCTTTGGATTGTGGCAGGGTGGTGTGGCAGGAAAATTATTTTAAGAAGGAATGGAAATTTTACAGTCCTAGCCTTTGTCACCCACCACCTGTGTAACGTTGTTCAGTTATACCACTTCTCTGGGCTTTAGTTTGCTCACATGTCAATTACAGCGAGCTAGAGGATGTTGATGTCTACTTGATTTTAGGTTTTATAGTCCTAATTGATGCCCTTTGAATATTGAAATCATGTGAAAATTATAGGATAGATGGATGAAACCCATTCCTCACTCAATTTTCTGTCCTCCTCTCTAAACTGTAAGTTCTGGGAGGGTAGGAGGGTAGGCTCTGCATCTATTTTGTGCACCCTCTTGACTGTAGCACCTAACACAGGGCCTGAGACAGTCGAAGCTCAATATATTTTGTTGAACGAACAGATGAGTGGCTTCATATTTGATGAGCCATCATGTAATGCCTGTCAGAAAAGAAGATGGAATGCTGACATCCCAGACCTCAGCCTTCCTCCAGTGACTGAGTCAGTCTGATGCACACACCCAGCACAGAGGTTCCACAAGGACATTCTCCCTAATAGTGCAGCCAGGCATCAGAGTCCATAGGAAGTCTGCACCTCTGGGTTCCTGAATCCCACTTTGGCTGGAGTCTCCCAGCTCCCGGAGCAGGCTGGCTCCCTTCCCACCTTGGGACTGGCTCCCACAGTCACTCTCCTGTTGGTGTATGGGCACGAAAGCTCACAAATTGCCTTCTCACAGGACCAGAGCTGCCTGAAAGCAGAACTGACTGCTTCATTGTCAGCTATTGCAGACTTGGTGGCTGGCAGTGAGAATCTATTTTCTCTCACTAAATTAATCACTGTTGGAAGCTGATCTCCTGGGGTTTCCTCAAACACACCCTCACATACTCTCACAGCTCTTCCCTCTTTCCTCATCTGTCCTTTCCCTGCCCTCCCCTCCCCCTCCCACTGCAGGTGTTTGAGCTGAGGTGGGAGACAGCCTGACAGGTACTGGTATGCAAACCACACAGGTCCCTGTGGATGTCCAGCCTGGGCTGGGGAAAGAAGATAGGGCACATCTGCCTGCCTTGTGCTGAAGGGGCATGGGCAGATGAAGCAGCTTAGAGGCTCCACCTGCCAGACTCACCCTTGGTCAGTTTAGACGTTTTCAGAGCCTTTTTTGGAGAAGGATGGTGGTGGAATCACTCCTTGAGAAAAATTGTTCCAGTAAAAGCAGCTCTGACTTGGAGATTGTAGGGTTGGTCACATCCAGACTAAATTTGATCAGTACTGGTAACATGTTACCACCTGCTGCCTGTAAAGACAGAAAGAAAGAAAAATATGATTTTTCTAGGACAAGCCTTTGTTATCTTTCTTGATTAGATCTCCGTGAGGTCTTTAATCTCATAAGGAAATAAGCTGTGTGTGTGTTGTGTGTGTGTGCATGCACAGTTAGTAAGGAGAGAAGGGCATGGAAGCTGGCTCTAAGCAGATCCTCCTTGGGATCTTTTGACCAGTGCACAAAGTCATTCAAGTGGACAGGGAGAGAAAAGGGGAAGCAGGAAGAACTGTCACAGGCCCACAGACTACAGTCAAGTTGGTGCCAATCCTTGCCCCCAAGCTCGCCCATTGTTTCTGGGAATATCTGGCCAGGGGTAGTTTGAGTCCTGTTGCAAAAAGAAATGGCGGCCCCACTATTTTGTGGACTTTCCTGGCTCTAGCTACACATAGAATACTTCCTTTCTGCAGGAGTAAGATCTTAGGCTTTGGATGTTTGAAAAGGGAAATCACACCATTCCAGCACCCATGTAGAGTGCGTGTGGGGTCCCAGGGGTGAAGGGTGCCATGCTCTTGCACCCCTCTTATTACCATAAGAATTTGTGAGGAGGTTCTTTGGTACAACCCAGTTCTGCTTCCACCTGAAGTCCAAGCAGTCCATGACCGAGGCAGGAAGGGAGCAGAACTGACATCCGTCTCAGGGCAGGCACCTTTCAGAAGGCTAGTCCTCTCCATCAGAGTCTTGGGATTATGCCATAATCATAAGGCGTGATCATAAGGATGGTCTCAGCTGAGCCCAGCATTCCATCCCACAAGGGCAGAAGATGGTGGGAGTCAGGACTTCCAGTGGACTGAATATAAAGTAGAATGTGAAATGAAAAAAAATCCACACTCCTTAAGAGAACCTGTGGTAGATTTAGATATGGAAAGAGTGGAGGCTCTGGAGGCTGCACCCTGACTGTCTGACTGTAAAAGGTACTCGCCTCTCTGAGCGGCGTCTCTGCCTAGAACACAAGAATCGTCACCCCCACTCCATAGAGTCATTGTGAGGATTTAGGAGCTTATGCATGTAAGCACCTGGGCCCGGGGAAGCTCACAGTAAGTGATAGCTATGATTATAATATCCATGACCACAAGTGAGCATAGTCAGTTAGTAATTAATACATTGTAACTTTTTCAGAGGGTCCTTATGTTTGTTACTTCAGGCTCAATTCCAACACCATGAGCCTGGTTTAGTAAATGTGGGATTGAAGATACTGGATGCCTGCATTTTTCTCAGGATTAAAACCATCCTTATGCTGTTGAGCTCTTAACTGATTCAGGAACCATCTCTGATGACAAAGTGCCATTTACTGAGAATCACCTACTCTGCAAGGCACTGCTCTCAAGCTGGCTGTGTCTCCTGCATGAGTCGCAGCTCCTTTCTTGGGGGTCGGGGGGCAGAAGGAGAAGTTATCCTTCCTCCCTTCAGACCCCCATTTCACCCTGAGAGCATGAAGCCAGCTTCAGGTGGCAGGTGGAGACGCCAACAGAACTAGCTTCTGGCCCATTCCCACCTTTCTCCTTCTACCCTACCCCACTCCCCACTCCTGCTCCCAGCCCTTCCCTCTGCAGTTGCTCAATCTGTGATTCTGCTCACTGACATCTCTGCACCTTGCTTATGGAGTGTGTCACTGCTCCCACTGTTGTACAGGTGGAGACGTGGTTACAGAGGAAATCATTTCCTAGAGTCTCATATCAGTTTAGGAAGAATAAAACACAAGCCATCCCTGGAGGGCAGGAGACAGGAAGGAGCATGCTGAGTGAGAGATGGCGGATTTAATCTAACTTTCTCTTCCTGGGCTTTATGGAAGGATCAATGGGGCAAGTCGCAGCACCTCCCTATAGATGGAGCCTTCCTCCACACTCCTCGCTCCTGCTCTCTTTGCTGCAAGCATAGTTTGCCATGAAAGCCAGCTCTTCCCTTGGTTCTCTTTGACTTCCTGCACCTCTGGGTCCCACTGGCATCCCCAGCAAGCCAGTCTTGCCTTCCACATCGCTGCTTTAGAGTCTATTTGACTTTGACCTGTGTCTCCTTTCTCCTTCTCTTTCTGGGCTCGGGCTTCCTCACGTGGCCTCCTGCACTGATGCGTTGTTGGGAGCTGTTCTTTCCTCCTCAGCTCCATCACTCACAATGAAAAGCATGCCTACTAAAATTAATAGACTTGTAAATAAAAGGTGGCTCACCCTTGGCCTTTGCTTCTCCCTGCCCCCCTTCTTCCTGTCCCTTTTTATTTGTTTGTACTCACCAACCTGTCTGCACCTGGAGCCCTCAAAGGGTCTTCCTATGTGCCAGGCACTGCTCTAGGTGCTTTCATACAATCCTAGAGGCAGCACTAATATCATCCCCATTTGCACAGGGGGAAACAACTGAGGTTCAGAGTGGTTCCAACTTCCCCAATGTCACACCACTAGAAACTGGTAGCACCAAGATTCCTACCCAGACAGTCTTGGTCCAGAGTTAATACTCTGAATACCACATAAAGTGACTTCTTTATACCATGGCAAATGCAAGGCAGGCAATGCTGCCCTGTTTGTAGACACACTGGTACTCAGTCCTTACACTCAGACCCCACGTGCTCATAGCACCCCTTTATAACTCACTGTCATCTCTGTGTTAGTCCCCCATGCCCTGTCCCCACCCCTTATTGCACCTCTTTTGTACCTTAGCATGCTTTCTGACCCCTTGAGGCTCTGTCTCTGTCTCTCTTGCATTTCCCCAGCCTTCGTGCTTCACTTCAAGCTGTCTGCCTCTGTATTTTTCTCCTTCTGATTTCTCTCATCTCTCTACTCCGATGGCACACAGGGTTCAGCTGTCATCCTGCCAGCATCTCTTCTCTATGTCTCTGTCAATATCTCTTTCTCTCACTTCCCCTTTCCCATCTTAACACACTCCCGCCTTTCTCACTCCCTCTCTGCCATGCTTCTCTTTTGTCTCCCTCTCTTGTTCCTTTAGTGGCCCCATTTATTACTTTAGGGCTCAACCAAGAGCATCTCTGTCTGTCTCTGCCTGCCCACCCTGCCCCCTCTCCCTTTTCTGAGACTCTCAGCTGCAGATGGGAACCATGTTCAATCCAAGCCCTGTTCCTTGCCAAAGAATAACAATGAACTCAGGAACCACAGAGGCACAAGAAAGAACAGCTCTGTATTTCAAGAGACATCGCGATCTCTTGGGACAAAATGACTTCTTTGCTTTATTTATAAACTCTGGGGCTGGGGAGTGCCCTGCATACAGATGGAGCAGCTGGGTGGTTGTTGGCTTCAGCTGGGGGTGTACATGGTTCTCAGCTAGTGCCTCCTCTCAAAGCCAAGGCCAGGCTGTAGTTAGGTGGAGGCTACATGATCATGGGGAAGCTCTGTCTTCCCTCGAGGCCCTCAGCAGACAGAAGCACAGTACTCGGAGGACCTCTGGACTTGATAGGCTGGCAGTGACCATGAATTATCTCACTGGCACTGCTATCATTCAGGCAGATGAAACAGAAGTCAGAGCAATGGAATGACTTGAGCCAAACAGAATCTAGGCCTTCCTTTCCCTCTCTGCAGGCTTCTCTCCTCTTCCACGCTGCCTTCTGGAACGTTGCTTTAATAGCAGGGAGCCACGCAGGCTCTTGGTCTCCCCTGTGGCCTTCTCATGGACAGTCTTGAGTGGCCCATCCCTCACACCTGCTCAAGCCTGGCCTCTTCCAAGAAATCTTTGATTATTCCAGCCTCCCTCCAATCCCTCCTTTCCTCAGTAGCTTGTCTTTTGTAGCTTGCTGGTAATGGTCTGTGATATAATCTTTGTGGCTAGGCAGATAGCATCTCATAATAGAGTGGACACATACTAGACATTTTGCGTATCCAATTGAACTGTAGGTATTTTGAACACAGGGATCATGTCTTCTATTAATGTTGTCTCTCTCCCTCCTCTAGCTGCTACTTTAGCATCAAGCACTCAGTAGGTGTTCAGTAAATATGGTCTATGGCCCAGAGGGCTTGCATCTGGCTGGAAATTTGGACATCTCTCACTGGTGCCCCAGCTGTCTGGCCCAGGAGCCTGCCCCGTGGCACAAGGAGGATGTATAAAGTCTAGCAAGCTTCAGAGAGGGAAAGCAGAGCCTGAGTGATGTTGCAGCTTTGCTCCGAAGCACCCGCTAGGGCCATCCAAGCAAGATTGCAAAAAGCCCTCCTGTACTTTACCCTGACCCCTAAGGGTAAACTTTATCAATAGTAAAATATAGAGAATTCACTGGAACATCTTTTCTTAAGCCCTCCCGCAAGTCAGAAGCTGCTTTATGTGAACTGTTTGTCCCACTTCTGGCAGAACTGTGCCCACCTGACTCAGAGATTCCCCGGCAGTGTGGACAGACATAGGTTTGGAAGCAGGGCAGAACCCAATTGCTCTCTAGAAATGGCAGGGAGCATAGCCAGTCACCCCAACTGACCACAGCTTTCCACTTGTACTCTGATGATGCAGATGATCTTGCCTGAAGGATATCTCCTAGTCTCTCTGCCTTCCCAGAAGGGCAGGGCCACAGGCCCCAGGGATTCTCTATCTCTCCTCCCTGACCACTATGCCTTCCCACTTGGTCTTCCTGTCTCTGCCAAGCCCTTTGGTTTTAGGCTCTTTGTTTTGCTTATTTAGCTGTCAATGTCACCTCTGCCTCTGGACTTTGTCTTTGAGATCTCTCTTTGGTCAATGCCCTGAAGCTGCAAGCTAGCCTACTCCCAGATACAGCTCCCTGGACTCTGAGTCAGAGGAAGGATATCTGGCCAGAGGAAGCAGACAGGGGAGGTGGGCAGGGCAGGGAGTCAGGATTATCTCAGCACTGTGTCTTCCAGAGGAGACCCCTTTCTGTGAAATGAGGGGTGACGAGAAGGCAGCTAAGCCTGCAGACTGGCCCATGTGACTGGGAGGGCATGAGATAAAGTGGTGGTTTTCAAAAGTGGCTGTGTATTTTAAAAAAATACAGATGCCAGGGCCGTCCTCTGGAGATGTGAATTCAGTGGGTACAGGGTAGGGCAAGGGAACCTGCGTGTTTAACACGTGCCCCCTCTACCCACCCACTAGGCAGACCTATGTCTGGGGAGCACAAAATTCCATCATTCCACCCCAGCCCACCTTCCATGGGGTACTCAACGCCACCTCCCTCATCCTTAGGAAGGGATGCTGTTTCTAGGATGGCTGAGGGTAAGAAATGGGAAATTTTGTGTACCAGGCTGGGGCTGGGGAAATAATGAAAAGAATTGCTATGATATAACCCAATCACAGGTGCCACAAACTCTTAAGTCTTATAATTGATGCCCATTAGGAACAGCTTTTTCTTTATGATTGTCTAGAACAGAATGAACATTTGACAGTGCCTAATGCACTTCTCGGTGGGAAAGCACTCATTCCTGCTGGCACTTACTCCTAGCCCCCTGGCTTCTCTTTCCTCTCTCTGTCATTCTTGATCTTCCTTCTTCTCTACTTAATAAAAACACCTTTCATTTCGGTAGCCCTTTGCCGTTTTCAAACCTCTTTCCTGTCTATTATTTAGAATCCAGCGAGGTGTGCAGAGATTTTTAATTCCCAGTTAATAGATGAAGTTCAAAATGTGTACTGCCTTGGCTAAGGTCACTGCACCAGGAAGTGGTAAACACGGCTTTGTTCTAGCCTGAGCCTGCCATTGCCACAACTCTGCCTCTCCTTGTACCTTCTCTCCATCTTCTTCTCCTCCCTGCCTGTCTTGGCTTTTCCTCCTGGGAAAGAGTTGTTACGGAAGCAATTGCTAAGAGGTTTTCTAATGCAGAGAAAGGCCTGCAATGTTGTCGATGTTGTTGTGAAAGGGTCTCTGCTTTGGTGCCCAGCCCTGGGAGGGAGTGATGTGCTCTGATGGGAGAGTCCCTCGTGAGGATGACTTCTCCCTCCTGTGGCTACTTCCAGAAAGCAAAGTCACAAAATAACAGAGGATCACTTTGCCTCCACCAACCAAAGAGAGACAGCAGTGCCCAGGAGCAGAAACACTAGGAGGCAATGGAGGGAAATCTAAGAAAGTTGCTTAGAGGCCAAAGGGGAGGTAGAGGTAGAAGAAGACACCCAGGAAATCCTCACTGAATGCACTCTGGTTACAACTATTGACATACTCCCCTCAGTTTTGCATGCCAGCACAGCATGCCATCTGGCAGTTAAGGAACAGCAGTGCAGTTATGTTCCAGTTATATGCCAGCCCTTCTTTCTTCAGCCTCTCTTAATACTTCTTGCCAATGAACAGTAGCCCAGCAAGGGAGAAGTAGAAAAAGCATTCCCCTGGGATTGCATACACTTAACCCCAAATCCTATCTCGGCTACTTCTTTTCTGAGTGGGCTCAGGTGTGACTGGTCACTTACCCTCTGAGCCCCAGTCCTCTCACCTGGAAAATGGGAACAATGCTTGCCTCCTCCCAGTGTCGCAGGAGGGTTAAGTGAGGTCCTGTGTAGAGGAGCTAGCTCTTGTTTGAGATCGAGGAGTCCTGGGTTCTTCTTGTAGCTCCACTTCTAACTAGCTCTGTGTGCAGGAGAGTCCCGTGGTTCTTTGTGGCATTTGTATTCAAGAGTTCCATATATGTGAAAGCTTCTGAGAATAGTAAATGCCCATACCAACGTAAGGAATAATTATCGACTAGGAGTAGACAAGTGTAGAAGGAAGGGAGAAATAGGATTTTTTCCCTTTCTGGCTGCTTTTCCTCTTTTCTAGCATTTTTGGTTGTTGCTGGTGAGTCTTCTGGCCTTTCCAGCTGTGATCCTCATCCCCAATCTCTTTTCAGTCCTATTGGGAGACTTGTCCTTTGTTTCAGTTCCAATGAGAGTTCTGCCAGCTGTCCCAACTCTGCACACACAGCCAGGTCTGCATGGCCTGCTCCGCTTGCTGGTCTCAACACTCACCAGGTTAGCTGGGAGGTGCCCTGGCCTTTCTCTGGAGGGACAGTTAAAGTGAGGGCTTCAGTTGGCTCGGAGCTGAGTATGGAGGTGGTGAGGTGCACGCTGGGGAAAGAGCCCTCTTGCCCTCCAGAAACTGATGTTCAAGGGGTTTGGCTTTTCCCTTTTCTGAGATAAAAGGTAGCTCAATTCCACCCACCTGCCTCTCAGGTTTGCCTTGGGGATTAATGCAGACAACTGGTAGCTGAGCTCTGGTGAGATATCAAGTGCCTGGAAACTGTTAAATCGCAGCTTTCTTGCCCTAATCTTATCACCTGCCATTAAAGATCAGAATATGAAAGCTGTACATTTGTAAAGCTCAGTGCAGTGCCTGCACTGTGCTGCAACACAGAGAAACTCAAAATAGTTCTTCTTCCCCAGCAGTTACTATGGCACCATGCATATTATGGATTAATATTTCCCCCCACCACTCCCTTTGAAAGGTAACCCTGACACTGAGCCCTCCCTTTCACATCCTCCCCACAATCAGGTGTGATGTTGACAGAATCCAGTGTTTCCAGGGCATCTTTCATTGCCTAGAGTCACAGAACACCAGCCCAGCGTCCTCCCAGAAGCCCCCTCCCCACCCCTGTACATGGAGCTACCTGCCAGAATGAAAGTGACAGCTGTCTAATAGCTATGCCCCATCCCACCCAGAAAGCAGACACTTAGACCTCAGGGGGAGAGTGGGAGGTTCCTGCTTAGGTAGCAGCAAGGCTAAGGAAGAGATAAACTTTTCTCGTAGACAGAAGGGGTCCTATGTTCAGGTCATGTACCTATGAAGGATGTGCAGATATGCCCCATGTGCATTACTCTGCTGGTAACTCCATCTGTGTGTACACCTTACATGCTTCTGCATGCATTTCTGCTGTGTGGAACCACCATGATACCTGCATGCTTGAAGTGTACAGCATACACTTATGGAGCATGTATACACTGCACACTCACACAATGCGATTGTGTGTGCATGCACCTGTGTGGTTAAGGGGAGTCATGAATGCAATATTTGTGTTCACACTGCTGTCTGCCATGACAGTGGGGTTCCACAAAGGGTTACGGGGCCCACTGGCTCTGGGTTGGCAGTGCCAAGCCGTGCTACCCTCTGTGAGGCAGGTTCAGTAACGAGGCTTGTAATACTCAGCCGTTATCCATAGAGCTTTAGAGGATCCACAAAGCCCGTTCATTCAGGCATTGCTAACAAGCCAGCGGCGACAAGCCGATATGCACAATGGGACAGAGTGAGAAGCTAAGAGAGGTCCTTGTCTGCCTGGCTGCTCTGCAACTTGCCAACATTTTGCTCCTGTCTTGCAAACTTAATGCAATCTTTCTACATTATATGTCAGAGTCCCCACCTCACCCTGAACAAAAAATAAGCTCAATAGTCATTTTGCAACTCCAGCCACCCCCATCTCCCCAAATCCTGCTCCCCCTTCTCCTGGCTTTTCCTTCTTTTTTTCTGCACTCCCACTAAATTAGATTAGTCACATTCTTAATTAGCTGTGCGGGTAAGAGCTCTATTAGGTATTAAATGTTTGTCACAATCCAATTAAAAAATCCATCACAGCAGGACAGGTTTTCTGAAGTCCAGCAGATTGATGCTGGGGGGCCTGGTCCTCTCCTCTCTGTCAAGGGATGCATAAGAGGAGCAGGACTGAGAAGGCAGAGGGAACCTGGGGAGGAACTACCCAGGGAGGCCACCTGGCCTGGCGCTAGGACATTGCTGTTTGAGCCTGGAGGAGTCAGGCTACTGTAGGGTGAACAAGCGTCTAGATGGCCCAGGACTGTCTCAGTTTAGCAAAGGGGTTGGTTGGCCACCCTGGTCTCCAACATACTGCTCCCCCTAACCCCACAGAGTGATGTAGTAAGGCCAGTATGGGGCATGTGTGCTGTGTGTGCACATTCATGTGCACATGTGCATGTAGTGAAGTGAGATGGGCTGCAGGGTAGAGAAGGGCAAGATTGACAGCTTAAGCCTGGTGGGAGGCTTTTCAGCTCAAATATAAAGAATGGACTTTGATGGAGTTGGGTTGTGGTTTCCAGGGGTCCAGCTCCACGCCAGAGCTGCCATTCAGAGCTATGTCTTTCTGTTCCATTTTAAACAGAATTGCTCAGGAGGGGAGCTATCTCATGGTAAAAAGAAAAGAAAATGAGCATTCATCCCTGCATCCCCAGCCTTTCTTTCTACACTTCCTTGGCCCTTTTCCCTTTTCCTTTAACTTTTCCCCAGGTAGGACTCCTCCCTTTGCATCTCCTCCCTGGTCAAGCTGGGCACACACAGGCCCTGTTTAATGGGCACCTGGTTTTAGACCCTCACTCCCCCAGTTCCCTGCACCACCATATCCTTCTCCCTTGTTTCCTCTTTGCCACCAGGATGGGGAAGAGTTGAGGCACACAGCACTATTATTCCACAGTGCTGGGCCCTGCAGTGAGAGGGTGAAGGGGAAGTTTAGGCATCAGTGCCTCCAGCACCTCCTAGGTGGATGGCACTATGTACTTAGCCACTTCAAGTCTTCCGATGTGGTTTTTTGTTGTTTTGAGTTTCTTGTTCTTTGGGTGCATCTTTTGTGGCTCTGTCGACCGGTAATAACTATACACTGATTGCTTTTTATTATGATTGGCATGCCAAAATGCCCTGCACTCTCAGTTCTTTCTAATTCTACCCTCCCGTACCAGCAGATCTTAAAATCTGACCTTGCAAAGAAGGCTGTCTTGTTCTGTCTGGATGAGGGGAAGTGTTTACTCACTTCGATTGTGAGGCCCTGAGGGGCAGGAAGCAAGACTCATTCATCCGCACATCCTCAGCTAGCAGCATGGAGCTGAGTTCAGAGGAGGCACTTAGAAGCCTTTGTTGAAAGACTAAATGAATGAGCTCACATTTGAGACTCCCTTTTTATTCTTCCAGCACCCTACATATGCTTGCCCCTTTACTTCCACATAAAGCAAACACTTAACTGTTTATCCAGCACCTGCTCATTCCTCTGAATGCTTCTACATTCTCTATCAGAGTCATCTTGTCTGTCTTAGTTTATAAACCCCTGAAGGGCAGGATCCCTGTCTGTTTAATTGCCTCCCCATAAGGCTTGCAGCCATGCTAATTCTCGGGACAAATGAACATGCTTGGTGCTGGCTCTCCATTGTTTCATCCATTCTCTAATCATCCATTGAGTGCTTCCTCCTGGGTCAGTGCAGGCTCGGGCTTGAGAAGGACAGGAAAGAAACGTCCCATTCTGCCTTTCCCTCCAAGAGCTTGCCATTCAGGTTGAGGGGACAAGGCATTCAGAGGAACTAGTTTCTTAGTAAGCTCAAACCAGATTTTAGTAAGGGACCCAGGTGAAGGATGCAGATGCACCTGCTTTGGGAACTCTGAGACTGGTAAGGGCCCTGTGTGGCTTCAGAGGTCAGAGGATGCTGCTCAGCCTTAGCTGGAACTCAGAAGAGGCCTTGGAGCAGCGCTGTGGCAGGGCATTTCCAAGCAGAGGAATGAGCAGAGACATGCAGACTTGGAATAAGAAGTGAGTCTGTTGATTGGGGGAAAAGAGTAGTGACGAACCTAGCAGGAAGCAGCATTGCAGAAGGTACTGTAGAATTGAAAAGGGAATATGAATGCAAGCTGATGACAATGATAAATCACACCCAAGCCCTGAAGGATGCACCTGCTTCCTCCTCCTCAGCACACCTGAAACAGTGGGACCCCAGGTCTCATTTGGCTTGGGGAGTGGTTTGGAAGTTTCTCAAGTGCTGTCAGCAAAAAGAGCTGTGGGATATCCTCTTGTCTGGTTAGAATTCACCTCTGTGAATGCACAGGTTGTGGCCTGTATGTGGCTGTCTTCACTGAGAAGGCCTGCAGAAACTGCCTTTGGATGGAGAGTGAAGGCTTGTCAGTCAATGGATATTAATTTACAAAGACAGTTTATCCTCACTTAGGGAGAACAACACTTGTGATTGCCCCACCTTCTACTCACTACATTAAAAAAATAAAATCAAATGGTGGAAGTCAGCACATCTCTATTCCTACTTCAGGCCCAGTCCCTGAGTTGTCCCAGCTCATGGGCCAAAGTCAGGGTGGCAACTACAGAAGGATGCTATATCCATGAGAATCTCCTGGTTCATGTTGGCCACAGGTAGATAGGGTGGGGGAATGCAAGCTGGCTGACCAGGGGAGGCAGGGCAGGGATGGGACATTTGTTGAGTGCCTGTGCTTGACACTTCACACAAGATTTTAAATTTGGTCTTCATAATACTTCTGCAAGAAGGTTTTAATGTCCCCATTTTACTAATGAGGAAATTGAGACGGAGAGATAAGTAACTTGTTCAAAGTCATTCTGCTTGTGGAGCAGCAATTTGAATCTATCCATCCATCTCTTTATTCAAATATTTATTGGGGTTCTGCTATGAGCCAACTAGTGTGTTGATGCCAAAGCCTGTGCCCTTCAGTTAAAGATTGGTATTCCTTTCCCCCTCTCCAACACACACACACACACACACACACACACACACACACACAGGTACAGCTCATAAGACTCCCTTGGATAAGGAGAGCATGTGGCAGGGCCTACAGGTGCCAGCTTGGGCTGCCCGAGTAATTATGTTGCTACTACTATCACAAGTGCAATTTTATGTGCCTAGTAGGATCAGTTCCTGGAGGTAAGCCTTGCTTCACTCCCTTGTAGAGTCATTAGATTTAGCAAATAAAAATATGACAAACCCAGTTAATTTGAATTTAGTAAACAATGAATACTTTTTAAGTATAAGTGTATCCCACACAATTTTGGAAACATACTTATACTGAACATTTATTTGTTTATTGTTTATCTGAGATTCAAATTTCACTTGCTGTACTATGATATCCAGCAAACTTATGCCCTTGCCACCTGTCACTGCCACGATGCTGAGTGAAGACTGGCATCACCATACCCATTCAGGGGCCCTGGCAAGGTGGTAGAAGTGCCAGGGGTACTAAATGGCTTCTGCCAACCCAGAAAGGGTCAGGGCAGTCCCCACTCCCTCACTCTTGGATGATCAGTGCTCCTCAGCATGGCCAGCTTGCCCAAAAGGCAGCAAGTCTGCCTGGCTGCACAGTGTCAGCTGCTGGGTGAGGCTATGTCTCTGCATCTCCTGGCTCCTGAGAACTGAGCATAAAGGAGGAGTTCAGTAGGCACCATGACCTGGGTGGTCACAGGCTCCTCAAAACTTAAACCCAACATGTCCAAAGCTGGCCCATCGTCTTTCCCCCAAGCCTGCACCTCTCACCCTCAGTGGGCTCAACTTTGGCCAGTCTCTCTTCCTAGACTTAGATACCCCTACGGGTGTTCAGTACCCACTCACGATGTTCTTCCTCCCTCAAAACTCTCTCTCCATCCTGTCCTCCTCTCTCCATCTCCATGTCATGGCCTGAGTTCCAGCCATCATCATCCTTCACCTGAATTATTTTAATAGCTTGTAACTCATTCTTCCTCCAACCTACCCCCCACAGAGCACTCTCAGAGTGATCTTTCCCAGATTTAAGCCTGATTTTGTACTTGCCCATATTCAGACTGTCACTGGCTCCCCATGGATTTCAGAACAACATTAATATCTTTAGTCCAGGGTATAAGCGTTTGATAATTTGACCTCTTCCACATTTTTAGGTCCATCCGACCCTCCCGTATCCACATCCCCCTCTCTCTAAAACCATTCACGCTTTCCTGAAAATGTCATGCTCTTTCCTAACTTTATTTGTCATCAAAAATTCATCCCAATTGTCATCCCTTATGAGAACCCCTCCCCTCTGAGGTTATGCAGCTGCTCCTCTTGTCCCCAGCGACCTGGGCCTGCTCATCTCAATCACTTGTGGCACTTTGTGTTCCCGTGTGGAGCTGCATCTACCACCTGGTAAGTGCTCACTAAATGATAGCTGAATAAGTAAATGTACAAGCAATTACCAGATTGAAAACTTACTTACCAAACTCTCTGAGCTCACAAATTGCCAACATGGGATTAAAATGCTTTTTTTCCTTGTTGTTCAGATGCTACCCACCTCTGCCTTTTTTACCCTCTTCTGAGGGATGCTGTGGTCCCAGGAACTCAACAGGTTCTTCCCACCAGACTTCCTGCCCTAGGTTTGAGGCTCTCACACCCTGGATGACCAGATCCTGATGTGATTGAAATCCCCAAATGGGCTTTGACAGCTCTCAGGGGTTAATGAAGTAACCAGCCTCGTGCCCCTGGACATAGGAAATATTGCTGTGGCTGAGGTCTCAGTATAAGAGAAATGAATTTCATGACCTCAATCTGGAGCCTATGCAGGCATTTTCCAATACTCCGGAAACTCAAAGTGGCCTGTTCCTGCTGGCTGACTACTGCAGGAGAGGTGAGAGGATAAAGGGAGAGGCCATGCTGTGGGTTGGGCTGGCTATACATGGAGGCCTGGCATGGTGTGAACCACACAGTGAAACAGAGTGTAGAGTTCCCTGGGGAGGACCAAGGGCCCAAGCCTGACCCTGAGGTTCTTCCTGTGCCACGTGCTGGAAGCAAGGTGCAGAGAGAGTCCCTGTTCCTGCACTGGAGATGCTCAGAAGCAGTAAAGGTGGCAGCAAAGGTCATTTTTTCCTGACATCATTAAACCAATGACTCAGATTGGTATTTGGAAGGGAACCACCCATTCCTCCTCTGTTCTTGCCTACTCCCAGAAAAGCCCTCTCCCTGCAGCCAGCTCTGATTCTGCATGAAAGATCTTAGAGGTTTCCTCTCTGCCCACACAGACTGCACCCTCTGGAAACCCTGGCTCGGCTGGTGATGGTTGACATTAACACTCTTGTAGGGCCTTTTTGCAAAACCTTAACTTGGACTTCTACTAGGAAATGATCCATCTGGGTAATTGCATGCCCTGTGAGAGGAACACCTGAAGATTTACTAAAATATGATTAACTGTTTTATCACTGAACCTTGGTGCAATGGCGCTCTGTGGAGGGCAAAGTCACTCTACAGTGTTGACCACTGCATGGGTGCCCTATTTGATGTGGGTAATGGAGTATGTATGCAAAGGATAACCAGGAGTGGAATTAGACAAACTTGGAGGTTTTCATTCAGTTGTTCATTCATCAACCATGTTGAGCGCCTGGCCCTGTGCCTGGCAACGGCCTTCCCAGGGAATGTTTTCTACTCTAGATTGCAGAGAAGAAGGGAGTTCCAGCTGGAGCAGGACTGTGATGATAATGGTTACCGCATTTAATCTTTCACATGCTTTACCATCATTACCTCTTCAACACTCAGAGCCCTGCATGAGATAATGAATTATCTCTCACTGCTGCCTACTGGGAGAATATGGGGAAACTGAGGCAGGAGCTGATGTGATTGGATTCTGACAAAGGAGGAGGGCCTCTGGGGAAGCAGCTGGGCAAGCTCCTAGGGGAAGCTGCCTCCCAGTGCAGCTCTCACTCAGCCTTGGAAATCATCCTCCTTGTAGAGGCCCAACACACTGGAACTGAGCAAGTGGGGCTGCCACACCCCAGGGGGCTATGCACACCAGGCCAAGGAGGTAAGAGGCTGTGGGAACCTGCAGGCTTTGGTGTAAACAGATCTGAGTACATATCACAACCCTATCTCTTGCCGTCTGTGTGAACTCATGTAAGTCCCTGGCTTCTTTTAGCCTCAGTTGTTCAATTTTAAGAGGAAGGTAAGGCTGCTTTCTTTGTAGAGCTCTTGAGATCATTAGAGAGAATATGTGTAATATTAGCATGGTGCCGGTCACGGTAGGTGTTCAATAAATGGCAATTCTTATGCTCATTACAGCTGTGTCCGGTGTAAGTCCCTGACTCTTTTTGAGATGCCAGGTGTCAGTATTCGTGACAGCCAGCAAGTTCTGCTTCTCCCTTTTGCCCAGTCTCAGGGCACTTGCATCGTTCTACCTCCCGCAAAGGGTGGATTGCTTCTCAGTACCCAGTGGGTGAGTCTCAGAACAGCCATGCTTAGGAAGAGCCCCCTCCCTACTGTGGGGATGCCAGATTGCAGGCATGGGTTGCGGTGCAGGGACACAGCAGTTGGCAGGAAACAGAGCCTGGGGCTGACGATGACACTTAGACACCTCTCTTCAAACAACTGCCCTGAAAGCCACCTGACCACTCAAACTGAGGTCTACCAAAACGTGTGGGGCTATCCTTCCTCCCCCTGTGTCTCTCACACTGACTTCTTTTCTCTGGTAAGATACTTTATCTGTTAATTTCCCTCAAGCAAATTTCTTGGGTAGATGGTACACAAGAGATGCCCCCAGGTCCCATTTCTACAAGGCAGGATTCTGAGTCTGCTCCCACTAAAGCTCATCAAAAGGTATGTATTAGACCAGGGCTTTTACAGTGTGAATAATAAGCATATGAACCACCTGGGGACCTTGTTAAAAATGTGGCCTCTGATTCAGTAGATCTGGGGAGAGGCCTGAGATTCTGCATTTCTAACATGCTCCAGGGTGATGCTAACAGTGCTAACCCATGGCTACACTTTGAGTAGCAAGGCATGAGTAGATTGTGTCTCTTTGGCTGACCTGCTGACTAGTGCTTTCTGCCTGAGTTCCTCCAACTTGTCTTTCCATTCCCACCAGCTGGGGCAAGCAGATCCTTTTGCAACATACAAGAAAAGTGTATCTGACCAAGAGGGTACAGGCAGGAGGAGAGAAGGAAGTGGGTGCATGAACAATCAGGTAAGGGAATCAGGGAAGAGAGGATGCCAAGAAGCAGGATCTGCAGCTCCCTGTGCTGTTTCATCCCACACATCAGCTGCTCCCGACAATGCCCATCCTCTCTCGCTGCTGTATCTCCCAGTTTGTGTTAGGTGTGCCTTCTTGGTACTTCTGATGTGAAATTCCCTGTTTACTTGTATGCCTCCCCAATCAGACTGGAAATTCCTCAAAGAAGGGCCTTATTCACCCTTGTGTCCCCAGCATATGGCATAATTCCCAGCACATAGCAGGTGCTTAAGAAATGTTTAAGAATGAATAAGGGATGATTTATTCACATACAAGCTGGATGGGTTCCACTTCCTGCCTCTTTATTTTCTTATATTATATGAATGTTTATAAAGCATTAGGTGTGGGCTGGGGTTTAAATGGAAAGCTAAAGCATGGTCCTCACTATCACAGCTTCCAGGCTCTTGAGGGAGACTTGCTATCCACAATGAACTGCCACACAGAGCAGACCACGTGTGCAAAGTGTCATTTTGTGGGGAGAGCACAGAGGATGGAGAGACAAGGCCTGGCTTAGGGAGTGAAGGAAGATGTCATGGAGGTGGTTGTGTATGATCTGGGACTTGAAGGAAGAGCAGGTTTTCAAGTGGTGAAGAAGGATGAGGAAGGTCATTCAGGAAGAAGGAACAGTATGATTAAAAGAGGGGAGTGGCTGGGTATGGTGGCTCATTCCTATAATCCCAGCACTTTGGGAGTCTGAGGCAGGAAGATCGCTTGAGGCCAGGAGTTCAAGACCACCCAGGTTAATATAGTAAGACCCTGTCTCTATAAAAAAAATGTTTTACAAAATTATCCATACATGGTGGTGTGTGCCTGTAGTCCTAGCTACTGGAGAGGCTGAGGTGGGAGGATTGCTTGAACCTGGAGTTTGAGGCTATAGTGAGCTCTGATCATGCCACTAGACTCCAGCCTGGTGACAGAAAGAGAACCTGTCTCTATAAACAATAACAACAACGAATCTAGGGAGCAGAGAAAGTTTTGATTCGAAAGCAAGGCCCTGAAGCATCCAGAATAGGTTTTCAGAGATGTGGGAACTGAATATTCTATTGGGGCAACCCCGGGTCCAGCCAGTCCGACGTTCGTCCTGCCAGTGGGAGTAAGCTGGCTTCACTGATGACGGGCTTGGCAGCACGGAGCTTGCAGCATTATACTGGGAGCACCGGGCAGCTCTCTAGAGGCTTCAGCACCTGAGATAAGAACAGAAACATTGGAGAGAAGAGAGGAGATGACTGGCCTCACTCCATGTGGCTGACAGCCTCCCTCAGGGCCTGAGGCTGGCCTGGAGCTCTGGTGGTTTGGAGACTGGGGTTCTAAGAGTGGTCAAGGGAATGCAGGGAGCCCTGGTTCCATGACAGCATGTTTAGAAAGCTGCTCCTTAGGATACAAGAAGCAGGAAGGGAAAGCACCAACACCCTTGGACTATTGGCCAGAGAGATAAAGCCAGGCAATGTCCCATCTTAAAGGACACTGCAGACAAGAATTGCCCTAGTTCATTTTGGGCAAGTCGTACAACCTCTCTGAGTCTCAATGTTCTCATCTGTATAATGGGTACAATAAATAATACTTACCTTTCAGGGTTATATGACGTTTGAGTTTAGTCATGTATCTAACACCCCTGAGAGGACAGGTACTCAGTAGAAATTTAATATATGACTAAGTTTTTCTTTCCCTTATGGTAAATTAGGGAGGTTTCTCAAGAAACTGTTCCCTTCCAAGAGGATGGAATGATCTTTGTCATTACTCAAGTTTTGGCACATAGTAGGTATTCAGTAAGCAGGAGCTTGTAGGGTCAGCTGTCCTGGACTCTTTTAAGCAGACTCAGACATACCTGTCCCTTGTTCCATTGTACCATGAACGTAATAATCACAGGGCATTTCCTGTTTATGACCTAACTGCCTCCTGACTTCCTCGCTGAACTATAAAACACTTAGGACTGGAAAAGGTGAAGGGAATTCTCTACCCTTTTATCTCCAGTATCTAACAGTGCCTGGTACAGGTGAAACACACAAATGTTGGATAAAGAAATAGATAAGCAAGTAAAAGACTAAGTGACAACTATTCATTTCCTTTTCATCAGTAGAATCATTTTTATTGCTCCCCAGAACAAATGTGCTATGAGGTGACACCACAGCTCTGTGTGGCTGCTCTTATGAACCACCCTGATAAAAAGGAACATTCTCTGGGTCCCTTGCTGTCCCTCGGCTGTCCTCTGATGGACCCTCCAGGATATGAGTGGACAATATGAGAAAAGTGCCAGCTTCCTCCTCCTCTTCACACACCCACCTGCCTTCTGGGCCCCAGGGAGCACCACAGCAGTCCTGAGGTCACCACCTGGAAGCCAGTCGGGGAGCTGTGCCTGGCAGTATCTCTTACACATGGAGGAAAACCAGCTCACAGAGAGCATGGGTTTGGGCCACAGAATTAGTATACCAGGACTCAAAGACACTTTAGAAATCAAGTCACCTCATCCAACACCCTGATTTTAAATAAAATCCCCAAAGTGCTAGCTCAACTTTCCCAGGATTGTGGCAGAGAAAAAATGAAACAAAACTGTGCTATAGTTATTTCTTCATTTCAAATCAATGTCCAGCATTTAGAAGACCAACTGGCTAACGTTGAGACCAAGCTGTCAGCATTACTGCTCATGTGAACGTTGGCTGTATCATTCACTCTTTCAGGTGGGTAGGAAGTTAGATTCACCCTCTTCAGATTCTGTCATCCTTTTGACTGGTTTTTGTTTCTGCCTGAGAATTTCTTCTACCTTCACTAAGCAAACTCACTCAGGTATGCTGTCTTTGGGCCATCCCTGGAAGTTTTGCCTTCTGTTATATTTCCTTGTCTTTGTCATTTTAGAGCATGTTTCCTAACAGCCCCACATTCCAGCCTCTTCTGCCTTTGATTTTTGTCAGTCTGTGCTGATCACATTTACCAAGTTGGATTTTGAGTACAATAAACAGAAAAGTAGGCTTATTCTAACCTGAATCTTTCATTGGTTGTTTATGTAAATGTTGACATCTTTTACCTCTCCTGTGGTCATTGGAACGGACAGTATGTTTGGGAAAAGTTCACACAGTTCTAGGGAAGCTTTGCAATTATAGAAAATAGAAGACTCACACAGGTGCTAGATGATCTAGGAAATTCTGAAATCCCTGATTTTTTCAGAGTAGCCTACCACATGTTAGAGTTCTGCCCTGACCACCTCACCTTTCCCTCTCCCCATTTCCCTGCCTCAGAAAGGTTTCAACCAGCTATCAGAGCAGTCCACTTTTATACCTCACTCCTTCCTTTACTTACCTACAGACATTCACACATGTATCGCACCTGATGCAGTGGGTGTTTGGCAAGAGGCCCCTCTACTCTGCTCCTGGACACCATACCTCTACCACTCTGCCCCTTCTGATAGGAATTTATCCCAGCTGGGGAAGATAACCAGGTCATCCTATTCTCCCAGGTCCCGCATGGCCAACCCCACAGGGAGGAAGCCTAGGTCCAGGTTTTTGCCCAGAGGCCAGCTGGCTGTAGCTGGTCAAGGAGAAAAACAATTTAAAGAATTAGCTATTCATCAAATAGCTACTGAGGGTTAGACGGGCCCCTTTGGCCATGCAGCCTAGCCTCCCTCCTAACACAGAAGTGACCAGGTCTCTGGCCTCCCTGCAGTGAGGTCCAGACTCTGTTCACATGCCACCCACATAAGCCCACTGCCTTCCCCTGGGACCCACACTTGGACAGTTCTAAATGCTGGTGAGCTCTTTATTCTGGACAGGCCATCTCCAAGTTACCCCTCTCCCCAGTCAATATCTCCTCTGAGTTCACATGGAAGAGTGAAATCCCTCTTTCAGGCTTCCTGTCAATTGGGTGATATGATGCCCTTGGACTCTCCAGTTCCCCAGACTAAAAGTATTTTGGTCTTTCATCTGCTCCCTGTAAGTCACAGTTCTCCATCCTCAGCCGTCCTGGCTGTTCTCTTCTAAACACACTGTCTCCTCTGGCATTTAAAGGGTGAGAGCCAGGCTTGAGATCCATAATCTAACAGAGTAGTTAGTGTAGGACTTCCCCCTCCCTCCTTTTAGTCACTATATCATAATCATCCATTTAGGCTTTTCCCTGTCTGTAGGTTAGAGTTGGCTTTTTTTCTCATCCTATCACATCCTTGGTTCATGGTGAACTTAGAGTCAACAAAAATCCTTGTGTGTTTTCTGTGCGTGCTGCTAACAAGCCATTTATCCCCATCCTCTACTTGCAAGCTTGCTTCATCTTTCTCGTCTTGCTGGCAAATTAGCCATCCAGGGCAGTCCTCTGCCTGCCTGTGCACTACAAATTCTTCATTAGGGGGCTGTTTTCCCCCTGCTCCTAAAGTGCAGTTCTCTTCTCCCTCATACTCCTCCTGGGAATGAACCCTTGCAGTGACCCGGCCTGACTGGCACCAGCGTCTCACTTGAGATTCTGAGGGGAAAAAGAGAGGGCAGTGTCCCTGAGTGAGGGGCCAGAGCTCAGGGTGGGTGGATCCCCCGCCAGCGTGGCGGCTTGGGGAGCTGAAGGAGGTCTCTGTGGCTCCTGGATTCTAATGGTTCCTTGACAGTAAGGCCCAGGCAACCGGGAGCCTGTGACCTCAAAAGATAACAGTATCTGTAATTTTTTGTGCACTTACCAAGGGCTATGCTGAGGATGTTACATGAATTATCTCGTGTAATCCTTTCAACAAATCAGTGAGGTAGACATTAAACCCATTTCACAGAAAAATATTTAGAGATATTTCTAGCCCAAATGGGATTTGAATACAATTCTATCTGAAACCAAATCTGAAATCTTCATCATTATACTTGAGGCACTATAAGTGTTCACTCTGTAGACATGACCTCCACCCCAAACAGCTGAGCAGGTGAGACCCTGAGGGTACCCCCAACCTGAGGGAAACCAGTAATAGGCCTTCTCGGCCTCTTCTTCCTACGCTGCCCCCCACACCCAGACTGTGGAATGTCTTGCAGAGTTAATGAAATAACTACGTTCTTTGGGTCCTGAGGACAGGTTACAGACGCCCTCCAGCTCCATTCTGTTTGCATCACAGTGATAGAAAGAAGATGCTCATCCCTGCCTGCCTCACAGGTTTGGATAAGACTAGTTATCAATTCATCAATCATACATTATCAACTGCCTACCTGATGCCTAGCACCCAGCCAGGCTCTGCCCTGTTACAGAGGAAGCATTAGGCCTGGCTGGGGCCCTAGGGGAGGCCCAGTAGGGAGATAAGACTTACACACAGGCAACACCAAGAGGAGACAGGCCAGGGAATGATCAGGAGTCAAATTGTGAGAAGGGGCTGCTCAGGGATACAGGAATGAGTCCACCGGGCTTTGTGGAAGAGGCAGGACTCACGGTGGGATCAGACATGACAACTGGAGTAACTAGGGGAGACCCTACAGGAGGAAGGAAACAAGACATATAGAAGAGTGCCTTGAGACGCTGATAGGGTGATGTAGAAAACACCAGCTTTTATGAACCACCATGTCATATCATCATGGTTATTCTTGCCCACATCTGGATTTCTGACAACTACTATTCGCAAGCCTGAATCCACCCCACCTCCTTGCTCACCTGTGGTTTCTGGTCCTAATCCCCATGCTCCAATCCTGCTCTCTTCTTCCTAAAACATGAAGACAGGCAAGTGTCAGGAGGCCAAGCTCTTTGCCTTTGAGGTTGGATAGTGTCAGGGGCTGGGGATGAAAGCGGGAATGCCACCTTCTAGGTCCATCAAAAGAGTAGCTTTGTCTGGTCTTAAGTTTATGAGCAGTGAATGCAGCCTCTCAAGGCCGGAGAGCTGCTGTGGAGGCAGGAGAAAGAGGGGTGCGGCAAAGAGACACAGTTTGGGAAGAAGTTCTTGGAGGGAAGAAGAGAAAAGGGTGGGGGGAGGGGGGAGGGAAAGAGGATGAGCAGATGTAGAGGGGGAGGAAATAAAGAGGGAGAAAATAAAGTCAGGGAGAGAAATGTCCAGCAGGGAGCAGGGAGAGGAGGCATGTGCAGTGTGGCAGCTACCTTAATCTCTTTGAGTTTTTCTTCATTGATTAGGGATTTGCAGAACAATCCTTGTCTATGGGAAGACATTTGCTTTACTCCCACCCTGCTGTCAAGCAGCGGGAGGCCTCTTCTTGGGTGGAGCAGTACAACGTGAGGCAGGATGAAGAGGTCTAGAAACCCTTTTCTCTCAAGGCCCAACCCAAACCCATTGCCCCGGCCAAGTCTTCCTTGATGTTCCTGCCAGAAGTGCTCCTCCACGGCCTCACCCCAGCTCTGAGTTCCTATTTCATTCTCAATTACATCAACATTTAGGGGGGCTTAAAACAGTGACTATCTTTATCATTTATCATAAGCTCTGGGGTTAAGAATTCAGACAGGTACAGTGGGGATGGCTCATTCCTGCTCCTTGTGAAGTCAGCTGGGGTTGGAATGCCTGAGATGCTTCTCCATTTGTGTGTCTGGTGCCTCAGCGAGGGTGGCTCCACTTGGTCATGGGTCTGTGATCTCCATTCTCACTGTTGACTGGGCTGCCTGGTTCTTCTACCAGATGTCTGGTGGAGGGCAGGAGCTCAGGAAATAAGTGTGAGTGGGATGCACATGTAACTGAAGAGTGGAATGGAACATTACTTGGGGGCACCGCCCAAACCCAAGAACTCTGAGCATCATGATAATGTCGACACACATCCTGATTCTGGCTGGGCACAATTGTTTCAGGCGGCAGTGGGTGCCAGACATTAATGCCATTCCTGGGGGCATGACCCTCACTCCCAGGGCCCTGTACAGCTGGAGCCTCCTCTCCTATCTCTAAGGCCCCAACTCTTGTTCTGTTTCTCCTGGAACCTCTGCTGAGTCAGTAGAGATGAATGAACTTCCCTCCACTTCTGGGACTTGTAGACTCAGTGCTCCATGGTTTGTCCAGCTACTTTCTTGAGCTGTTCCTCTCTCCTATAATCCAACAGTAGCTCTATGCATCCAAGGAGCTGTGGTCTCTGGGTCCCTTCTCACCAACTTCTCACTCCCTCTCCAATGTCTGTGATAATTCTGGGTATTTTTTGTGAGTCCCATAAATATTGAATGACGGAAACTTATTTGTGGACAGTCTATGCCTCTATAGGGTTTGTATAACTATCTTTTTACTTGATCCTCATGGAAAGCCTGAGAGCTATACAGGGCATTTTACTGAGAGAGACTGAGGCACACAGAAAGATGAGAGGATTTGCCCAGGGTCATATGACCAGTCAATAAAGTGATCTATAATCCCTAGGAAAATTCTTTCTGCTGGTTGGATCAGTGACCTTCTCGCAGGGCCCAGGGCGACTGAGGTCCCCAGGGCCTGCCTCTGGAGCTATTCCCAGCCCATGTGCGGGCTGGGGCATTGTAGGAACTGAATGAGCTAAGTAGCTCAAGACAAAATGGTAGAGTCATTGATTTGTTTCTGCTCTGTGCCTGTCTCCCAACCCTGACTTACCACCCTAGTTGGTCAGAATGCCTGATTCATGTCACATGCAGCCTTTCATCAGAGCCTCTTGCTAGTTCAATGCTTTCATTTTAAATTTGTGGAAACTGAGTCCAGAGAGGGGATGACACTGCTTTGAAGTCACTGTATTCTCCCATAGAGGGTCTTGAATTCACCCACACTATTTCTTCTGCACACACTATGCATCTATGCATCTAAGTCAGGGGTCAATTTTCTAGCATTCCACCCAGATCCACCTCCAAAATTTATATCCAGAAAAAAACTGGCGAAAGAAAAATTAAGAGCAGCGATGAAGGCAAAAAAAAAAAAAAAAAAATGACACCCAAAGGACTTCATGTAAAAGTCCAGGTTATTTTTTCTAACAGGCCCTCCTCCCCACCACACCTGCCACCTCCTGGAGTTATCCCAGTGGCCTGATCCTGCAGCAGTGAGGCTTTGCAGCTGTGGTCTCTGTGAGCAGTCCTCTAGAGTGTATAGACGTCAGCTCCTTTGGCCCACAGAATGACGCTGTGAGAAAGGCAGGACAGGGACCATTCTTCCCATTTGATGGCTGGGGAGACTGAAGAAGCAGTGCTTGATGAGGCTCTGAGCCTTTTGATAAAGTCCTGGGCTCCTGGGGTCTTGCTGCCAAGATCTTCAACTGGCCTTCCTGGTTTCTTACAAAGGGATCATTCTGAAGGTGAAGAAGGGAGGTGTTTGGTGCACCAACACACACAAGCAAGAATGAAGTGGAGCCCATAGGTCAACATGCCTGGTCACCTGGGCTGCTTCATCTGGGAGAGGATCTCCTCCCAGTTCTCCCCATCCTGGCTGGCACACACAGTCTTTAAAAGCAGCTTGCTCCAGGGATATGTTCATCCTTGGCAGAGACCTTCCTCTTTGCTTTTATACATAATGGGTTGAAGAGAATCTATTTCAGTTGGGTTCTGATCCACTAGTCTTCCCCTGTCCTCAGCTGCTTCCAATAATCTAGGTGTGCTGCGGCTCCAGCCTTCTTGGGGAGGCCATGATTCTTTTAGCCTCACTTACCTGATAAGGATTTTGACATGAGATTCTAACTAGCTCTGCCAGTGGAGGCCTGAGCTGCTAGCTGGGGCTTCTGATGAGCTGAGACTGCTGGGGCAATGCTTGGCATCTTTGGAAGTAGAGTCAGGGGCGAGTAGTGGCAGAGGTGGCTTCCACCCCCATTCTCTTTTCTCCCCTTCTCCCACCCTGGAAAGTGCTTAGTTTGAGAATCCCTCACTGAATATTTGCCAACTTCCTCTGGTCTAGCTCAACTCAGGAGTGCCTAAAACATCGATGTGAAAGCACAGCAGCTTGTGCATAGTCAGTGCTTTAGACTTGGTTTTCTTCCCTCTCTTCCTCTAATTTGGTTCAGTTTCCAGAAAATGGGATCCAGGGATTGGCAAAAGAGGAAAGGAGAAATTCTGTCTTCTGGTATGAATTTTGGAGAGAATCCCTATTTGTGAGCCTCTTTTCAATGAACCAATGGACATGTGTTTATTATAAAGTCTGTCTGACCCCACCAAAGGTTTGAGTGGTATAAATGACTGGAAGAAGAGAGAAGGGAAGATATATTGCCAGATCATGAGCATTAGCTCTGAAAATGTTCTAGCCATTGGGACCACTTGAGAATAGAAGGTTTCTGCAAGCTACTTAGCACCTCCCTGTGTGTTCCTGGCCAGGCCTTTGCAGCCCATGATTTAGCAGCTGTGCCGAAGGTGAGGTTTTACTTTGCCCTCAGCACAGGTCATTCTTGGCCTTAGCAGCATACCACTTGGAACACATAGGAACAACTTCCTCACCCACAGGGTTGGCCTGCCTCCTGAGAGTGTGAGCTCCTAACCTCCCACCTTTCATGCAGCAGGGTGATGTGTAGAGTAAATGGACTTTGGCAAACCTGCTTAACTGCCCCATGCCTCATTTCTTCTCCCCATAAAGTCAAAGGAAAGTAGCACCTCATTCCTGCACAGTCCTTGTCCTGACCCAAGGACAACTGAGAGCCTGGGTTCCACACACCTGAGGGCTGCTGACCTGAGGGTCTGGGGGTGAGAGTACAGCAGCCTTGACTCCACATCTTGAGGTTCAGGGGTCTCACTTCACCAAGCTAAGAGTAAGAGTCCTGGAGCTGAGGGCCCCTGGGGCTTGTCACTTGACACAGTGATGTGCTGCCTGAGTGGAAGTCTGCAGCACTGCTGGGAACCCAAGTGGAGGTAGGGGGGTTGCTCTTGCTTGTCCTCTCTCCATTCCCCCTTTCACCTGGCATCCTTTTTTTTTTTATTATACTTTAAGTTTTAGGGTACATGTGCACAACGTGCAGGTTTGTTACATATATATATATATATATATATATATATATACATGTTCCATGTTGGTGTGCTGCACCCATTAACTCGTCATTTACATTAGGTATATCTCCTAATGCTATCCCTCCCCCCACCCCACAACAGGCCCCAGTGTGTGATGTTCCCCTTCCTGTGTCCATGTGTTCTCATTGTTCAGTTCCCACCTATGAGTGAGAACATGCGGTGTTTGGTTTTTTGTCCTTGTGATAGTTTGCTGAGAATGATGGTTTCCAGCTTCATCCATGTCCCTACAAAGGACATGAACTCATCATTTTCTATGGCTGCATAGTATTCCATGGTGTATATGTGCCACATTTTCTTAATCCGGTCTATCATTGTTGGACATTTGGGCTGGTTCCAAGTCTTTGCTATTGTGAATAGTGCCACAATAAACATACGTGTGCATGTGTCTTGATAGCAGCATGATTTATAATCCTTTGGGTATATACCCAGTAATGGGATGGCTGGGTCAAATGGTATTTCTAGTTCTAGATCCCTGAGGAATTGCCACACTGACTTCCACAATGGTTGAACTAGTTTACTGTCCCACCAACAGTGTAAAAGTGTTCCTATTTCTCCACATCCTCGCCAGCACGTGTTGTTCCCTGACTTTTTAATGATCACCATTCTAACTGGTTTGAGATGGTATCTCATTATGGTTTTGATTTGCATTTCTCTGATGGTCACCTGGCATCTTGATGGGGACCTCAGAACATCCATCTGGTACAGAATGTTCCAGTCCTCTGCTTCTGAGAACCACCAGCCCTAAAGGACAGGCTCTTCCCCTTTCTCTTAATCATTGCATCTCTTCCATTAGCAAATTTTCTTCTTCCTTTCTGGATCTACCACTTTACCTCCTATATCTTCTCTTTCTAACCTTCTTCCTCAAATTTTCTGTCTCACTGTTGCACTCAATGTGCATAGCATCCTTTAGCAAACATACAATAAACACACAACTGCACACCTATATACTTCCAATCATAAAAATGCATAACCACATTTGCATTCTTTTACACACAACATGCACACACCACACACACAAAACTTCAAGCTCATACAACCACATGTAATGCAAAACCTCACACAAACACAGCCACGTACAACCTCACTCAGAAAATGCCCCCACACCCACAGAGTTCTCATCTCCTTGCCTGCATCAGCTCCTGGCATAGGGCTGACATGACCAACAGCTCTGCTCTGATGAGCTGTCATACTACAGGCACCAGTCACATCTCCTCCAGTGACACTCCCACCCCCAGCCTGGACCAATTGGGATAGGAGAGAGCACAGGCAGTAGAGCCAGCCAGCTGCAAGCTCATCCAGTATATTCTTGCACAGGGCACCTCAGCAAACACTGGGTCCCCAGCCAAAGGCTCTGATTTCAGGACTAAACCATAATCAGGAGCTGGGCTGAGCTGGCTGAATTAATGGAGTTGAGAGATTTTTACTGAGAGGTTGCTGGTTCAGACCCAGGTCCGGTCAGTAGGAACTGAAAAATATTTTCGTCTGACAGCTTATGGCTGCCCTGCATTAGCTGGCAGAGGTTCTCCTGCGTGACCCACCACGTAGCCGAGGTCATTGCTGGTTTGTGTAACACCTCAGGGTTGGCACAGGGCTGGCATAGAGATTGGCAAACTGATGGATGCTTGGGGCAAATTAGAAAAAGGTAGACCACATACACACACACACACACACACACACACACACACACACACACACACACACACTTCAACCTTCCTCCCCGTCTTCCCCTGTAAGGATAGATTTTTTTAAAGGTGCCCTGTCTGGGGAGATAGCCTTGTGGCTTGGTGCTTCAGTGTGCCACTGCCCCTTCCTCTGCATGGGGCACATAGCTTGGTGAACAGAGCCCTGGCTGGATCCAGCACCCCCTATCCCTACACTTGAGCCTGTGGACAGCACAACTTGTGTAACCCTAACCCTACAAGGCCACCTAGAACAGGCATCCTCCTACCATCTCCCCATCTATCCCCAAGGAGACTCCTCATTGTCCTTATAGTGACAGCTCAGAACCAAAGGGTGACAAACCTCTCTCTGACTTCCCTGTTCCTTTCTCCCTCACAGGGCAGGACATTGGTGAGGTGTGATGTCTGAGCTGTCCCCACTCTGGAAATGACCAGAACAACCCACTTATATAAGGTCATGGCTGTTTCTTTGCTAATGGTGGTGGGATAAGCTGCACTAATAACACTTATTATAATAGTTAGATTACAGATAATACTTCACAGTCTTCAAGGTGCTTTTGCACGAGAGGAACTGTGACCACCAGGACTCCCACAGCACTCATCAGCATCATTCTATTTTAAGGAGCAGCCTAGTGTGGTGGAAAGAGAATGGAGTGAGGAGTCCCACAGATCTGGGTCTGAATGCCAGCTCTTGCCAATTACTACCTAAGTGACAGTATACAGCCTCTCTGAGCCTTAGCTTATCTGCAGACTGAGGATAATGCTGCCTGCCTATAGGCTTATTGCAAAGATTAAATAAATTTTTTTCACTGTTGGAGTTGGACATAGGGTGAATTAATAGGAAAAATTATGGAGTCCAAATAACGAATTAACTTTCGGAAGTAGCAGAGATATCAACAAGGATGGTTTAGAAGAGGCTGAATTGTATTTTTTATTTACCTCCTGGAACATTTGTGGGTACATGTTGCCCTTCAGGTATACATGGGCTGTAACAGTGAACAAGCCACCATCCCCACCCTGCAAGGCCTCAGTAGCAACACAATTCCAGTGCACCATAAAGCTAAATCAGTCCTCAGCGTCAAAACAGAAGCATGGGAGTCAAAGGAGGAAGAGATCACACCCACTTGATAGAAGGGACCTTTTGGGCTGGGCGCAGTGGCTCACGCCTGTAATCCCAGCACTTTGGGAGGCTGAGGTGGGCGGATCACGAGGTCAGGAGATCGAGACCATCCTGGCTAACACGGTGAAACCCTGTCTCTACTAAAAATACAAAAACAAAATTAGCCGGCTGTGGTGGCGGGTGCCTGTAGTCCCAGCTACTCGGGAGGCTGAGGCGGGAGAATGGCGTGAACCCAGGAGGTGGAGCTTGCAGTGAGCTGAGGTCGCGCCACTGCCTGGGCGGCAGAGCGAGACTCCGTCTCCAAAAAAAAAAAAAAAAAAAAAAAAGAAGGGAACTTTTGTTGGAGATAGTGGAAGACATTCACCGAGATAGATTTTTAGAGAGTTTGACAGATGGCAGCTGTGTAGGAGGAAGGAGGATGCATTTCAAGAAGCGAGAAGAACTTAGACAAAGGCACCAAACTTTGAGCAGTGAAATAGTCCAGCTTTGCTGGGTCTTGGGATACCTGTAATGTGTTATGATACTCATTGCCGTGAGCTGGAAAAAATGTGATCCCCACCAAGTCAAGAGACTCCATGGGAGAGCGCGATGTTACCTCTCAAGTCAGGACCCAAGGGCAACATCTTGACCTAGTTTATATAGACCACAAAATCCCCTTCTTTCCAAGATGAAGGGGGGTTAACTTCTTCTGCATTTATGCATTCTTTATGTTATCTATGACAAGTACTACTTTAAATGCCTTCCAAACACCTAGGATTTTCTGCAGCTATAACCAGCATCTTGCTCTTGAAGAATCCAATTGAAACAGTCTTTTGCATGTATATGCCAAAGGGGAATTGGGTGTCTCAAGGCCATGAAAGGCAATAAGCAAGAAGGATTGAGAGGATATTTGCAGAAATACTCTAAAGCCATTGAGGAAGGCACAAAAGGATATGTTGGAGCATCAAACCAGTGTGCTTTAAGATAATAATCAAATCTCCTGGGGTGGAGAAAAGTCACACCTCTCAAGCAGTATTTTGCATGCTGGAGTAAATAAAAATCCCTTGTAGAAAAAGTATTCTTAAGGCCCCCTAATGTTAAATTACTTTTATTATAAATGGTACTTACACAAGCAAAAATGAGGTATATATTCCCAGTGCTTGGAAATAGTATATAATTATAAAACAAAGGAAAATTTAGAAATTAAATAAAAACTAACAAAACCCACATTCAAGTTAATAGCATCAATTTAATGTGATAGTCTGTTAATTTGCTCAGAATAAATCTCTGCTTAGAAAGTGAATAACAAATCTGACTGTATTGAACAATACAGTGCCAATTCTTTTGACTTTGAGATATCTGTATGTGTTCTATAATAACCCAATGTTTCCAACACTTGGCTTTTCTTTCCTATAAACTCAAGATACAGAAAGTTGAATTAATCACATCCTTTAAAATCATGGCAAAATATCATAATTTGTTACTACCAGACCCCTCTCTTGTATTCTTCCACTTTCTTTCTTTCCTTCATTTTCCCTGACTTCCCAGTGTCCTCTTAGCCCTATCAACACCCACTTGAGTGTGTCCTTGGACACCTGCTGTTTTTGTTTTTGTTTTGTTTTAAAATACCATATATAGTGTTGTTTTGAGCTTTGATATGGTGCAATATACTTCACTCTGCTTCTCACTTTCATCATTTACTGCCACGTTGTTAAGAACTGCCCATGTCGCTCCTAAACACTGCTTCTCACTGTGCATGCGGTGTCATGCTATGCGTTGGCTACGTTTTAATCATCTCATTTCCTAGGACAGAACACCTAGATTGACTCCAACTTCCAGCTGCCACAAACAAAGCTATGGCAAATGCCCTCATAGATTTGTATAAAAGTTTCTCTAGAGTATGTCTCCAGGAATGGGCCCAGTGGTTATAAGAAAACTTCATGTACATCATTTCAATGCAGTTGTTCTCCAGAGTCGCTGTGCCCTTTACGCTTCCCATAGGAGTCCATTAGGTTTATTTTCCTCTCCCTGATGGTGTCGGACTTTAAGATGTTTGCCAACTTTATAGGTGTAAAGTAATGTATCATTGTTTTAAGTGGCACTTTTTCCCAAATTAATAGTGACATTGACAGTCTCTTCAAATGGTTATTGTTAGCCAATTTGCTTTCCCTTGCTGTGAATTTTCTACTCACAGCTTTTTCTCACTTTTCTATTGGGTTTCCTGTATTAGTTTATTTTCACACTGCTATAAAGAACTACCTGAGACTGGGTAATTTATGAAGAAAAGAGTTTCAGTTGACTCACAGTTCTGCAGGCTGAACAGGAAGCACGACTGGAAGGCCTCAGGAAACTTACAACCATGGTGGAAGGCAAAGGGGAAGCAGGCACGTCTTACCATGGCAGAGCAGGAGGGAGAGAGCTAACGGGGAAGTGCCATACACTTTTAAACCACCAGATCTCATGAAAATTCACTCACTATCACAAGAACAGCAAGGGGGAAGTCCACCCTCATGATCTGGTCACCTCCCACCAGGCCCCTCTGCCAATTTAACATGAAATTTGGGCAGGGACATAAATCCAAACTATTATCAGTTCCCTTTTTTGTTTATTTTCAGGATTTTTTTTTAAATACAGATAGTAACTTCTTATTGGTTTTATACATTGAAAAATATTTGCCAAGTTTGTATCCTACCTGTGAATTTTGTCTGCCATGGCCACTGGTGAATCAAAATCTTTAATTCTGATGTAGTTGAAACTATTAAGTTTTCACCTTGTCATTTGTGCCCCTTAAGTCTTGCTTCAAAAGTGTTTTCTCAACTCGAGGTGACAAATATGTTCATATATATGTATATATTTGAGAGAATAATATAATATGATAATATATTACATTATATATTATTATATACATAATATATTATATAAAGTATAATATATAATATAATGTATTATACATAATCTATTAGCTTAAAGGTATGAGATTTCCTACAGATTTTTAGTATATAGCTTTTATCAGATTAAAAAAGTTCTATTAGTTTTCTGAAAGTTATTTTAAAATCATAAAGAGAATTATATTCCATCAAATGCCTTTTTTGAATATATTAAAATAATAATATAATTATTCTTATTTCATCCATGAACATAGTAATTTGAACAGATTTCTGATGTTAAACTATCCTTTCTTTTCTGGAATAACTCTTATTTGGTTACGATTTCATAACTGTTGTATTCAGTTAGTTAATATTTGGTCTAGAATTTTTGTTTCTGTGTGCATAAGTGAAATGAACCTATAATTTTTGTTCTTCTTGCACTGTCCTTACGCAGTTTTAGGCTCACAATAATATTAGCCTCATGAAATGAGTTGGGCATCTTTCTTTTTCTGTTTTCTGAAACAACTTGTATGATGTAGGGATTATTTTGTTTGAACACTACCAGAATGTGCCTGTATAAATGACCAGGCCTAGGATTCTCTGGAAGGAGTTCTTCAATTACCATTATAATATCTGTAATAATAATATATTTTATATATTTTTTGAAGTGTATATATTTTATCTGGGTTTTTTTCCAGTTTATTAAAACATATTCACAATTCTTCAATACTATTTTTTTAAAAATGTCTGCTGTGTTTGAATTTCTCCCCTTAGGGCAAAAAACCTTTATGCTTCTCTGTGGATCTGACACTTTCCATCCGCCACTCATCCCTTCCCTCCCCTCAAGGTAACCTTTCCCCTCAAAGAAAACATGCTGAACCCTCTGCCTGGGCCAGGCTCTCTTCCCATAGCTGTGTCTCTTGATCCCAAAAGCCTAGACCTTGTCTCTGTGAGTGTAATGCTGGAAGCTTAGTAATGAGGTTGGGGAGGAGGAGTAATGAGGTGGGGAGGGGTAGTAATGAGGTGGGGAAGGTGGAATAATGAGGTGGGGAGGGGTAGTAATGAAGTAAGGGAGGAGGAGTAATGAGATGGGGAGGGGTAGTAATGAGGTGGGGGGGAGTAATGAGATGGGGAGGGGTAGTAATGAGGTGGGGAGGGGTAGTAATGAGGTGGGGAAGGTGGAATAATGAGGTGGGGAGGGGTAGTAATGAGATGGGGAGGAGTAGTAATGAGGTGGGGGGGAGTAATGAGATGGGGAGGGGTAGTAATGAGGTGGGGAGGGGTAGTAATGAGGTGGGAGAGGGGTAGTAATGAGGTGGGGAGGAGGAGGAATGAGGTGGGAGATGGGTAGTAATGAGGTGGGGGAGGGGTAGTAAGGAGGTGGGGGACAGGTAGTAATGAGATGGGGGAGGAGGAGTAATGAGGTCGGGGAGGAGGAGTAATCAGGTGGGAGAGGGGTAGTAATGAGGCGGGGAGGGGTAGGGGGAGGGGTAGTAATGGGGTAGGGAAAGGTAGTAATAAGGTGGAGGCAGCCTCAATACAGTGGCTGTATTGATGGGTAATATTGAGGTGGGGGAGGAGGAGAAAGGAGGTAGGGAAAGTTTAGTAATCTTGTGGGGGCAAGAGTAGTGGACATATTGTTCCCATATTTAGTGTTTGTTAGCCTGTACCAATTAGACTTCTCTAGTTGTTGCTAATGTTATTATAATGCAAATACAGGCATTGAAGTCTCATCAGAGTGCTTGGTTATAAGATGGTCAACTCAATAATCCAAACTATTCTTAACTAGTTTTTCTTTGTTTGTTTTTTTGTTTGCTTTGAAACCATCTTGCTCTGTCGTCCATGCTGAAGTGCAGTGGCATGATCTTAGCTCACTTCATCCTCCGCCTCCCGGGTTCAAGAGATGCTCGTGCCTCAGCCTCCCAAGTAGCTGGAATTACAGGCATGCTCCACCACACTCAGCTAATTTTTGTATTTTTAGTAGAGATGGGAGTTTCACCATGTTGGCCAGGCTGGTCTTGAACTCCTGGCCTCCCAGGACTTCAAGTGATCTACCTGCCTCAGCCTCCCAATAAACATTGATATCAAAATGAAGAGCACAAATTTTGAAAAATCCCTAGAGTTCTGCTAATCCCAGTTTGAACAGCACAGTTTTTTAAGGATTTCTTCTTGCCTGCATGCTTTGCTCTATTTATTTTTAAGATTAATCTTTTGTCGTTTTAACACATGTTAACATGGGGAAGTTGTAATATTTTGCAAGTTCAAAAAAAAATGAGGGAAACATCTTCCAGGCAGAGGAAACATCACTTGCAAAGATATGGATCAGGAGAATACAGAGGGTGCATGTGAGGAGCCCCAGGTAGAGAAGTTTCTAGAACACATGTTCATGAAGAGTGGGCAGTAAGGGTAGAAAAACAGCTGTGAATGAATGAGGTGCTACGGAGACTCAGAGGAAGATAAGGGCTGCAAGGAGGCCATGGGATGGCAGTTAGGAGCAGCTTCAGGGGAGTGTGAGGAAGGCAGTGGTCTCCCATGGAACCGGGGGCCGGGCTGTGAAGAAGTGATGCCTGGGTGAAGGTAGCAGTGGAAAGCTCACCTCCTGGTGGTCACTCTTGTATTGGGCCCATTCTGTGTGCCGGGCTCTGTGCCGGGCTCTGTGCGAGTACTGTGCTCCATCAAGAAACAAGGAAGATGCTGTCTGCCCCCAAGGAGATGACGGCATTTTGATGAGGACTGGACACTGCATAAGCAAACAGCACAGTGATATCATAAGTTCTGATAACCAGAAATCAGAACTGAGTACTGAGAGGGAAATAAGCACAGTGGCATAATTAAAAGTAACTGCAGGCAGGGGTTCTTTAAATAGGGGGTGAAGGAAAGTGCTCTGAGGAGGTAAAACCAAGCTGCGATCTGAAGGTGGAGAAAGACAGCTTGGGAAAGAGTTTCTGAGGCAGAAGGAACAGCAGATCAATAGCCCTGAGACAGATTTGCTGGGTGTGCTGAAGGCAAAGCTAGGAGGCAGAGCCGCTGAACAGAAGTGAGCGAAGAGTGGGCAGCGCCGGCCTGACCATGGCCGAATTGGTCCTCATGCTGTGGGCAGCCATGGACAGCTCCAAGCAGGGAGGGGCATGGCCTCTCCTGGCTTTGCAATCCCTCCGGCTATGGGGAGGAATCAAGGTCATAGAGGTCAGTGTGGAGGCAAGGATGCAGTTTGGATGCTGCTGAGGTAGTCCAGGCCTGAGATGATGGGTGCCACAGTGTGGAGAGAGACATGGGCAGATCAGGCAGTATTCCCAAGTCAACATGAACCAGGAAGGTGGTGGACGTCCGGGAGATAGCAAGGGTGGCTCCTGAGACTTTAGGCTAAGCATCTGGGTAGACAGCATTGCATTTACTGAGATGGGAAGACTAACGGTGGAGCAGACTGAGGACAGGGCTAGGCAGAGAGCTGTCAGAGGTAAAGAGGAGAACAATGACTTGAAGGAAGCGGGAGACATTTTGTTACTATGGGAGAAGACTGAGTTTGCTGCCACAGAAGGAGAAAGGGCTTCTGGACAGGGAAGGAAAGCCGAACAGGCAAGTGAGAGAAGACAGGCGGGAGGAACTGAGAAGGAGTGAATTGTGTGGGTATGGGGTGAGGCACTCCCTTCTCAGAGATAGACAATCTGAAATGGTGAGAACTAAAATTAGCCCATCTCAGTCTCTTAGATGGGATGCCAAGCCACTTGCTGCCATTTGTTGGTGGTGTGGGGCCTTGGTTGGTTGCCCTTTTAAGATGTTTTAAACTGACTGGGTAGCCTGAGGCTGTGTTCCCATAATTAACTTACTTTCTACCTAGCTGGTATCACATAGGGCCTTCCCATTCCAGCAAAGCAGCTCGTTTTTTAAAATTAGAGTCCTATATCCATTGAGCACGTATTAAGTGCTTACTATAGATAAAAAGCTTGGCAGGTTTGAGGGTAGAAACATAGCTGCGGCATTGTCCTCAGTCTCAAAGAACTCACAGTCTCGTTAGGGACGGTGACAGCTAAACCAGAGCTGTAAATCCAGGCAGAATAAAACAGGACTAGGAAGGGGATCCCAAGCCAGAGGTAGCAGAGAGAAGAGAACGTAAAATATAATTCTGATGGGTGGAGGGTGTGGGAGATCAGAGAAGGCTTCAAGGAGAAGAGAACTTTAGAGAGGGCTGGAATTTTGCCTCAAGCTGAAGGTGGGAAGGGCACGCTAATGGGGAAATAAGGTGAGCCAAAGCTCCTGCCACCTGCACTTGAACACAGTTGAGAAGGGAGTCTGTGAGGATTGAAGTGGGAAAGGCTGGGAAAACAGGGCTTCTGCTTTGGAGAAGAAACCATGCCAATTAATTGAAAGAAGAAACTGATGGGGTCATCTTCCTTTTGGGGTTATTTTGGGTCTTCTTATTGTTGACCCACACCCCTAAATTCACACAGCTTCCAGGTGAGGAAGGCCCCACTGTCAAGAATGCCTGAGAGCTAAAGAAGCTCAAGTCTGCTGAGGACTCCAGGCTTTCCAAAGCACAGTGGGATTGCTGTTAAGACTATTTTCATTATTGTTACCATCATAATTGGCATTTCACACACTACTTGTTATCTCCTTCCCGTGCTTGGTAGCTTGGAAATGTTCTGCCTGTGATTTCTTCATCTAGGCAGAACCATTTCCTCCAGCTTCCCCTCTTCCCTTTACTTTGCTTCTTTCTCTTAAAAGGCAGCCTGAGACACCTGAGACAATGAGGTTTTTTTTTTTTTTGCACCGAATAGTAACAAGCGTATTTTCAAATACTATAACAAAGAAAGGCATGTGGAGGAAAGAAAGGCTCTTAAAGAATTAAATAAAACTCCACCTTCCTAAATTTTAAATCTGTTCCTCCCCCAAGAAAATACACTTGAACCATTTTTTGTGCATGTGGTGAACAATCCTGCTTGTTCATGGGTTAGAAAGAGCTTTCAAGAAAACACGATGCTCCTTTTTTTTGCATATGCCAAATATTTTCACCCAGGGCGAAATCAGTTGCTGTTTTAAACAATTGATTTTTCTGGAGGATGCTGTAAAATATTATTGCAGGCAGAGCCTGCCTGGGGCAAAATTGTGTGAATGGTGTGAAGCTTGTCTGTGGTGCTCTCCGAACTCCTCTGTCCTATTTCAGGGCTGGCCTCTGCTGGTGCCTGCCCCATCCTGCCTGCCGAGGGCAGCTGGGAGCCTGGAAAGATGGGGTCAGCTCCTGGCTCAGCCACTAACCAGATGTGGTACCTTGAGCAAGTCTCTTTCCCTCTTTGGGACGTATTGGATCCCAAAATGTGAGTATTGGATCAAGAGGAATTAAAACTCAAATGGCCACAGAATGAAGCAGGTCATGTAAAATTCCAGTGGACCTGGCAGAAGACAGTAAGGAGTGGTGGAACCTTGGGCAGAATGGAGAAACCCTGCCTGTCATGACTAAGGAGCAGGGACTAGTCCATTGACTGATTGCTGCCGTAAGGTAGACCAGCCTAGTGTTGCCAGAACTTCTAAATGACTCTTCAAGCCAGGCAAACACAGCTGCAGGCCCAATTTGGCCTGTAGGTGGTCAGCCTATGATCTCTGGATCAGATAATGTCTAAGGCCCTTCTGGTTCTGCAAGTTAATCAGTAGAGGATTAAAGTTCTCCTTTCTCTACTGAGTATTTTAACAGCAACGTCTTAAGGGTAAGAAGCCTACAAGAGGGAGTCTCTAATGGTAAAGCTGGAAGCTTTATGAAGCTTTTCCATTGGGAAAGTAATTTTCAGCAAGAATTCTACCTGGCACTGCTCCTGCTCTACTGGCAGACTATGTCATCCTGGAAGCTTGGTGCTCTGCCCACACATAATGCCATCACTATTTATGTGGTTAGCTTCCAGTAAAAAGTGACCCAGTCAATGCAGTCAAATACAGATGCAAAATTGGTGTTAGATCCTGAGTAACATTTTCAGAGTGACTACCTGAGTCAGATGGGAGCCCTTTTAGTGGCCATAGGATGGGAAGTTTGTAGAGATCTAAGTAGAAGGATAAGGAAGAAAGTGTGGGGAGACACTCTGATATAAATGCGTGCAACTAGAATATCTTTATTTTACCTCCCTGCCCCAAACACATTCACCCTTTAATATACTACCCCAAACTTACCTCCTTGCCTTGGCACCTGAGCATTAGGAAAAAATTATCTTTGTCTAAATCCTTTCTTGTGGCCCTTAGTCCAGGCAAGAAAAATTATCAGATTTCCTGACTTTTGTAAAAAATACCGGCTTTGTCTTATATGCAGGGCTTATATCTAAAGCATATGCCTCTGTCTTCACTCAACATTCTAGTATTTGACAGTATTCAGTATTAAAGCAACTGCTTTTTAGTTTCAGACAAAAGCTTAGTTGAGATAATGGATACATTTTAAGTTAGATCAAGGTATATGACAATCATTTATTGCTTAAAGTTAATTAAATTCTCTCCCTGACTCTTGTTGGCTCTTCAAAAAACTATATTCCTGGACCATATTAACTTCATTCCCTGCAGAAATATCTTCACTGAGTCGTGTTGGTTATCACGCCCATGACTTTTATGGAAGGCCATTTTAAGAATCAGCCACATGAAGAACATTTTCACATTTTCTTTAAAAACTGTTGTGGAAGATATTGTCCATTATGTCGTTCAATGTTCCTGATACAAAGATCCACATTATAAATTCCTCTTAGAATTTAATATCAAGAAAATGTTTGCTTCTCTTGGCAAAACAGAATGCTTCCTCTTAAGTAATCACAAAGATCCTAGACCTCAGAATGCTCCCTTTTCTGTTTCACCATGGCTGCCGGGAATCTTAAAGCCTATCTTCATGCTGGTGGCATCAACTATATATCCCTAAATTTGGAGCATAACTGTCCTTCTGCTTCATTTTCTTGGTCTCATCCTGTTGTTTTTATTTTAATTGTTTAATGTATATATGTGTTTTATTGTATGTTGATTAAAATAGTTTTGAAAGTAAGCAGTATGTAAATTATACAGATATTTTGAGGTCATTTAAAAATGTGTCATTTTATTATTGTTTTCAAATTACTTCATTTGTATCTCTTTAATCTTCTCAGCTAAAATTGTAATAAAAAATTCAGTTATACTTAACTCAGAGCTCTACACCCAGTTAGCACTCAATAAATACTTGCTAATTTGTTCATTTCATCATTGACTAATGGCTCATTCCCAAGACTCTGAAAGAAGGAAAAAGCTTAAATCATGTAAAAAAAATTAAAGTTTATTCACAAAGATGAAGTGAGAGAAAGAACAGTTTTCACACACTCTTTCCCTCCTCTGTAAATAAACAGGGCATCTGACACAGAAAGAAGATGTGTGACTTACTCAATGAAGGCTTGGATTCCAGTAGGAACTCCCAGCATGCCACAGCACTTCAAGACCAGAAAATGGATTCTACCTGTTTTAAGATTTCCTGTATTTAGCAAACATGCATCGAGTATTTACTGTGTGCCTGGCCCCATGCCAGGAGAAGGAAGACAGAATTGATGGGGAGTTGCCTAGCCTGGTTGCATAGAAAAGAAGACACAGATCCTCAGTGCCACAATTCACAAAATGGCCCAGGACATTGTCACCTTTCCCTTGGAGTTGTCCAGCTTTGTGGAATTGGATGAGGGCTGCTGAGGAATGGTGACAATGAGGAATTAACCACTGGTCTACTTTATAACATATGTCCTCACACAGTTCAGTTTTTCTTCATCTTCCAACTGTTGGATCCAACTTCCAATACCACCACGTCTGTGGCCTTTCTGCCCACAGCCATAATCTGGTTAGACTGCGGTATAATATAGCTCACATCAAGGATAGAGAAACGTATTCTTGATTGCAGCTGGGGGTTATGAGAAGGTGACACTGATTAGATCTGCAATAAACTGAGACCAGCTACCTCAGAGCTAAACAGCCTGCATTGCCAAGGGAGGAATGGCGTGCTGTTGGACAATGTGTCTGTTGATGCACATTTTCATAAATTGTTTACTGACCCTGTGGGGTAACATAAATACTTAGCAGCTAACACACCCCCTAATTTGTAGTAACAATCTCTCATCACATGCATACTATTAACATATTAGGCAATACACATTTCTGTACTTTGACTTTTTAAAGTAATAATGTTCTTGAGGAAATAGAAAATCATGATCACAATTTATTTCAGAGGGTGTTTAGTAATTTACCATGCATCTGTGAAATGTTACTTAATCCTGGGTGGTCTGTGTGCATAATTATGTTTTAATTTGCACATGATTGCTGACTTTCATATCACTTAAACAATCAGGATGCATCAAATGACTGGTTGTTGTCTTATAACATTTTGTTTTCCCCTTTGGAACTATTGGAAAGAGACCATCACATCCCACAACCATCTGTGATATCGCCTGTGTATTGCTGAATATTGAATAGATATTATGAGTATTGAATTTGGCATCATTTCTGTGGTCATATTTCTATGTGATTTTCATTGCCTACTGAAAAGAAAATGAAAAGAGGAAGGAAAATAATTAAAAGTTCTCTAGGCTCTGCAGAACCACCCTTGCATTTCTAGATTTTTCTTTTTCCTAGATCCTTCAAACAAACCATCCTTTATTTTGTTTTCCCTTCCTATAATAATAACAGCGTCTTGTCTTTGCATAGTATACATATTTTAAAGGCATTGTCCAACAAAGCACCGTGTCTGGTTCTCACATTGACTATGAGGTGGATGAACAGGCCATGGAAATCTCCACTGTGTATATGAAGAAACTGAGGCACAGGGCGTTGGTGACTCATGGAGACAAATACCACTGTGGCCCAGTGATGGTTTAAAAGCCAAAAACTCCTGATTCCTTTCCAAACACTTCCCACTCAGTAGCACTGCCTTCTCATCAGAGGCTGATAAGATGTCACATAAGTCCTCTTACAACTGAGAGGAGCATGGAGCATAACTCCAGGATATCAGGAGTGATTATGGAATTGGGTGTGAGGGACCAACATTATCTGAAAAGAGGTGCAGGCCAGGAATATAGACATGCTTCTCCTTCTGGGTTCCCTCAGTGCATCATCGCTCATGAGAAATGAGAGAAACATCATTGTTTCCTTCACCTCTCACCCAATAGATTATAAAATTCTATTAACGTTTCTCTAGTGATTCTCAAAACTATCACTTGCCCCTCTTTCCAGTTGTCATTATCCTATTTTAGGCTCAATACTTGCTTTTACATATTATATATGTGCATTTCTTATATATGGTTTTAGAGATAGGATGTTGCTCTGTCACCCAGGCTGGAGTGCAATAGTGCAATCATAGCTCACTGCAGCCTCAAACTCCTGGGCTCAAGTGATCCTCCTGCTTCAGCCTCCTGAGTAGCTGGAATTACAGATACATGCCACTGCGCCTGGCTAATTTTTTATTTTTTGTAAAGATGGGGTCTCACTGTGTTGCTCAGACTGGTCTCAAACCCCTGGCCTCAAGTGATCCTCCTATCTTGGCCTCCCAAAGTGCTGGGATTACAGGTGTGAGACACCGCAGCAGGCTGAGGCCCCATCCTTTCTGACAGACATTACAACAGCCTAGCCAGTTCTCCAGGTCTTCACTCTCCCCGCAATCCTTGCACCGCATCCTGGCTGCCAACCTCAGCCCTTCCTCTACTGCACTGCAAGGTTGACATAGACTGTAACTATGACCATGTCACTCCTCAACTTAAACCACTTTAGTAATTCCTCATTGCTTACAAAAAGCCCAAGTTCCTATCATAACCTGGCTTCTGGGTTCTTCTCCAGAAGAATCTCCTGTGACTCCCTGCCTCTAACATTAAGTTTCAGTAACATGCCAAGTTTCCTACAGTTTCATGCTTCCTAGCTTTTGCATATGCTATTTCCTAAGTTTGCAACACTTTTTCTCCCCCACCACAAACACATAGCACGTGTGTGTATGTGTGCACACAATGCCTATACACTTTTCACATACTCTGGTTATCCCTTGTGGACTGGGGGCGGGTGGTGGGGGAAGTGTTCTTCAAGATTCAGTTCACAAATCTTCCCTTCTGGTTGTCATTTCTTATCCATTTGGGCTGAGTTGCAGGCCCCTTCACTTTTCTGGCAGAGTGTCCTTAAAGGATGATATGGTTGTGGATTAGGATTACCGGGTCTGCCTCTCTGTCTCCTCTGATTATGACCTACTTGATAGCAGGGACAGGGTTTTATTAATCATCATAGCATTAGCTTAACAGTATCTAACACCTATTAGATTCCAAATAAATGTCTTTTAAACTGAACCGAAGTACATTGGCATGAAAATTACATTTTCTTCCTGTACTGATAGACTCCAGCACCTCGGATAACTCATTTATTTAACCTGCGCTATGAGGCTTTCCTAGTCAATAATTGACTAACACATCTCCCGCTTTGGTTTAATACAAAGGATCCTCAGCACGATCCTAGATCCTACACCAAGCCCATTTGTAACTTGACTTTATGAACAAAGGGCCATATTAGTGAAAAGTACTTTTTTATTCCAGTGTCAGACTTGGGAAGTTTATTTTCTTTTGTTTTATCCTAGCTAAAGACAAAAATATGTAAGGAGGGTCACTGCACTGTGGAGCAGCCTCCTTCTCCTACAGATAGGGTAAAAACTCTTTGCCCCATGAGCCATTCCATCCCATTGTACCTTCTCCACAGTAATAGAAGATGCCATTGAGTATATTAATCTTTACATTACTATGTCCTCCCTATAAGGACACTTAGGATAATTATTTGGTATTCTCACTTAGATACTTCTAGACAACTCATTTATTTTTATCTTATGAACAATGCAAACCACAAAATTGATGTTCTTTCTCTCTCCCTCACTTTCTTTCTCTCTCTCTTTTTTCTTTTTCCCCTCCTTCTCTCCAACCCTGCCCTCCGTCCCACCATTGGCTGGTAAAAAGCTTGAAATTAAATGTTTGTTTGGCCACTTGCTAGTATGTATGACCCCAGGGTATAAATTTTATGTATTAACCTCATTTTAAGATGCGTTGTTTTCCTACTTTATTTTTATTTAACCAATTTCTCCAAATTTCATGTATTTTATTTTGCTCTATAGTTTATCTTTTTATCAGCACTTTGAGTTCTTTTATTATCGAGGTACAATATCAACACATAAATATGTGTCACAATGACTAAAGTGAGAGTATGTATAATGTAGAAGACAGCTTGATGAGTAATTTCTACATCAACAATCTAGGTTGTTACCTTTTTCCAGCAGCACATAGGCAGTTACATAATCTCATACAAGGCACTTCTATTTGGTAGGACAGGGGTTACACATTTAATTCTTAGAAGGAAAATTTGCTTTTGTTTCTGGTAATTTATAGTTATTTTAAGGCTTATTATCATATATATATATATATATACCCACACACACACACATATATATATTTAGTTGTAACAGGTTATTGATCAGATGAAATGGGTGAACAACTAATACTTAGCCCAGGTACTTTAAAGGGTAGCTGAGGGCATTGTCTTGCATAGGAGAGAATATGCACATGATTTGAGAACTGTCGTGAGCCCAAGGAGATATAAGGGAATGGCAGAAACCTTACCCTGGGTCCTTCCACATAGTAAAGAACCACTAAATATGGGCTCTTCACAAAATCTTTTGAAGTAGGTAGGGCAAAGTAAGCTTTTAGAATAAAGATTCTGAACTAATTGGACAGGCAAGCTTTAAATCAAATGTCTGCCAAAAATTTCTGGCTGGCATTGGTGCTAGAGATAATGGTGCCAGTACATGGCTTAACAACCAAGACACCTTTAAATTCTCCCTCCCAGACAGACGTCCAAATACTTGAGGAGCTCATTGCCCTTACAGTTCATGGTAAATATTCTGAAAGGATGTGCTCAATGTTTGCCTGGCACACAGGCCATATAGAGGAAAGAGAAGAAGGAAATTTGAAGACTTGGATACTCTTATTCTGTGGTCCCAGAACTTTATCTGAATTTAAGCTGTGTAGAAGGCATACAGGGATAAAATCTTCAGGCTCTCCCTTAAAAAAGATCTATCTCTGGAATTACCTATTTACTCATGTCACCTTCCAAATATGCAAGAAGCTTTATGTAACTGATTTTATTCATTCAGGCAACAAATATTTCTTGGGGTAATGCTACCTGTTGGGCACTGTTCTAGCCAGTGGGGTTACAGCAGTAAACAGAAGAAGTCCTTGCACTTCCTGAGTTTACATTCTCATGGAGATTGTCAGGTTCTGCAGAGAAAAATAAGCAAGACAAGGAGGACATGGAGTTCAATGGTTACGGAAGGTTCTGACAGAGGACATTTGAACAGAGACCAAAATGAAGTGAAAAAAGAGAACTATATGAATATCTAGGAGAAGAGCATTCCACGCTGAAGGAAGAGGAAATTCAAAATTCTCAGGCTGGAATGAAGCTGGAAATCAGGTGGCTGGTGAGGACTAAGCTAGAAGTCCTTGGTGAGGCTGGAAAGTTAGCCAGGATGAGGTCATGAAAGGTCTTGTAGATTATGATGAGGTCCTTGTCTTTTACCTCACATGAGCTAGAAAGACACTAAAGGTTTTTGAGCAGAGGAGTGGCTGCCGGGCAAGGTGTCAGAGCCCCAACACTCAGAAGTGGTTGATTCATGGGTTGGTAAAAAGAATTTACTGACAACAGTGTAGGTTTGAAAAAGGAAAGTTTATTAGAAAGGAAGAACACTGCAAGAGGGCATAGAAGGGCACCTCAGTGAGAGCACTCAGCACGCCGTGGTGGATTTTCCTTAGGGGTATTTATGGACCTTAAGGTGGGAACTTAGGATTCTAAAATGAGTTTCAGCATGGCATTCCAGAGATGTATAGAAATTTTACTTATAAAAGTAGAAAGAGTCCTGGAACTACATGCTACCAGGTGGTCTTTTGTTCCCTTCTACATTGCTCAGACAAGAAGTTTTGCCTCCAGATGATCTGTTTGATGGTCACCAGGTAATCTTTGCTCTCCTCAGTGGTGTCATCTGACTTGAGATTTAAACTAATCATTTGGGCCACTATGTAGAATATAGACTATAATGAGGCAGTGAAACAGGGACACCAGCTTCCATGAGAGATGCTGGTTACTTGGAGCAGGGTGCGTGCCATAGAAGTGGAGGAGTGATCAAATCTTGAATATATTCTGAAGATGAAGTTGGTAGACTTTGCCCATAGATTGGATGTGGATGTTGACAGAAAGAGAGAAGTCAAGAAAGATTCTAAGATTTTGGTTTGGGCAACCCAAAGAAAATATTTCATTTAATAAAGTTCTGTATTTTCATAAGAAAGAATAAGAGTTACAAAATAAAATAAGAAAAATTGATACTTCTGTTTGAAAAAAAATTCTAGATGCCAACAAGGACGGATTGTTTAGTTAAATTATGCCACAGGGCATAATTTAGCCCTATGGGTGGATGATTTGTTGGAATTTGGACTTGGTGTTTTTTTAGAGTCATCCAATCATCATGGGAGGGATCCTGTGGAAGATGATTTGGTAACATTCTAATCTCAGCTGGAGGAGTTTGGTACCCTAACTTTCCATTCCCCCAGGATTCTGGTGTGCAGGCCCTTGTTATCTGCAACCAACTAGCTTCAGTACTAGTTTCACCTCTTTCCCTTGCCCTGGTGCAGAGGTCCAGAGCAGTATTTTGCTGGATGGTCATTTGTGCTGAGACCCGGCCTGAAGCCATATGCACGAGTGCCCACTTACCGCGAAGCCATCCGAAGGAAAGTCAGTCCAAATGGGTTTTGGGGCCCTAATCCATGAATGAGAGAGAGCCTGACATTTCCCCCAGGAGGGAGGTTGAACATCCTCTAGAAGCCACTGAGGAGGAGGACCTTGTACCCTGCCCAAGAGTGCCACAGTTGGTTATTGTCAGTGACTAAGAAACTTTTTGTAATTTGTTCTCTTGACCAGTTGAACAAGAGCAGAGTTGTAAGGCATCTCTTCCAGCAGGATTCTGTATAAAAAGAAGCTTGTTCTTGCTATCTCTACTCCTTCTGGAGACCATATCAGCATCAGGTATTAGGGACATTCCTAGAAGTTCTGCACTTCCTGCTCCACAAGAGCCTGACTCACAGGAACCCAGCTGTATGAGGTATGCTTCTGCAGAGAGGAGCAACTAGATGCTTCTATGCAGCTTGTCAAGTAATGGAGGAACCTGGGAAATCCATGAGTCTTTTCTAAAATTCACTGGAGATGGGGGTGGGGAGAAGGAGTTTGTCTTCTCCAGGGATTGATGCTCATTTCCCCCTCATTATATTCAGCATCTCCCTCACTGTGGAGCAGTGACTGATGGTGATCATGAGGCCACATGTACAGATAAGAAGTCTGAGCAAAGAGATCTAATCCAAACTCACAGCTGAGACAAGCTTTAGACAATGAAAAGGAGCCTAGAGGACATTAGATTTGACATTTCCCCCCTAGTGGTAGATTTCTTCTTGGAGCCGCACTGAAGTTCATCCAACACTTAATTATCCAGCCATTGATTAGCTGATACCTGGATTATTTTGGCCCCTTAAGATGAACCTATCATGAAAATGTAGATGTATTACCTCTCATGCATTGTCACCCAGGCATGATTAATCAGGCTGTGGATTACTCAGGGATTCTCTATTTTTTTTCTTTTGCTACTTTCTGTATTTTGATGATTTTATAAATCAGTCCTATCTCCCCTCAACCATAGGGTGGGTATGAGTCCAAAGAAGAGGGGCAGCTCAATGTAGTCTGTGCATTTGTGAGTTAGGAGATAAGATTTGGTGTTGGAGAAACTAAATGGCTTAAAAATGATATTGAATTCTCTTTAAGTTTTAATTATCCATGTTATCTCTACTTTCATTATTATGGATCCCTGAACATCAGTAGTAATGGCTGTACAGCTGACAACTGCACCATGTAATAACAAAGTCTGCTCTGTTATCATATTCTAGCATGCTATTTATCAGGGATCATTAGAACTCAGGATACTGGAGAGCAACAAAAATAAACAAAAGGCAAGCCCAGAGAGCTGTCTTGAATTCTCAGCCATCTTTCTTTTTCTCTTAATTTCTTAAACATCAGATTCATAAGGACTAAGTCTATAGGGACTAACTGGCTGATATTGCAAGCAAATGTTAAAACCAGGACAAATCCCAACTAGAGAATTTCCAAACTGCCATAAAATTTCAAAATCAAATCTGTAAGATCCATGCTGGAACTGCACTATCACTTTCTTCATTATTGGTATAAATTGAGTTGGCTTAGTCATATCTAATGCATGTTAGTTATGGAGGTCGCAAAGGGAACTCATTATTGAATAGTGTTGTTGACATATTGTCATTCTTTTTTCAAGACTCTTGCCTGAGGCATCAGGTAAAGACCTAGCATGGACCTACAACCACCAAACATGAGTTTGTTGAGGTTTGTGAGTCTTGGTGTCCAAACAGAGAGACCACCTCTGTCAAGACTCACATAGCAGAGAGCACTGGAATTCTAAGGACAGGGAACTGGGCTCCAGCAAAGACTGCACAGAGGAATTATAGAAATCAGGCAGATTTGAGGGGACAGTTGGTCATTCTCTGGGAGTTCTGTCCATGGGTGACTGGTCATAGCCCTTAAATTGGGATTTGGGGAAGATCTTTAGTCTACAAGAGAATCTAGGAAAAGCAAGAGAATTGGCAATTGGTAAAGAATCAAAGGAGCCTGGGACCTGGGGCATGGATGTCAGGGGCTTCTCAGGGAGAAACTATGACTCAGAGGCTCTCAAGGAAAGACTATGAGTCAGGGGCATGGAGAAGAGGGCAGGGGGCTCTCAGGGAGAAACTATGACTGAGACTTAACTATTAAGTCTGTGGGAAACTTAAATGTGCTTATATGTGTAAAGGACTTAGAACAAAGTAAACCATCTGTAGGTGTTAGCTATTTTTATTATCACCACTATCATCCTGATTCTGAGGACAGAGGAGGTAGTAGTTAATATTGGACAGCTGGATGTCAGTTCAGTAAGGTGACCAATGCTAATCTCAACTGCTGGGGGCGAGGCTATTTAGATACTGCCTTAGACATCTCTGGATAGTCACATCTGGGAAATAACATAAGGATGATCCATCAGGTAGAGGGAATAGTAGGTCCAGTTTGGGGACCTGGATACAGAGAAAATTAGGGGTGGAGCTGGCACCCATGGTATGGCCTGAGACTAGCCTAATTATTTGACTCTGGAGCAGTTACATGTAATAAATAGCTCTCCAAAACTGAGTATGTATGATATCTGTGTAGGGAAACATAAATCCTCTTGAATTGAAATGGATTTTCATATTTCTAAAGTATGGATTTTTCATATTTCTAAAACACTCAGGAATCCAAATGTAGGTAATGCTAACTCTCTTCTCTGTAATCTGTGGGGCTCGATGGACTGTAATAGTCCAAGATGAATGTGTGCTATTGTTTAATTGAGGGTCTTCTGTGGCAGGGGTAGAACATAGCATCACACAGGAGTGTAGATAATGGGATGATTGCTGAGGACTCCTGCAATGAATTCAGTCTCTATAGAGTCAATTCCATCTGAAGCACACACTACCAATTCCATCTGTCTTGGTGCAACTGGATTTGGGGGAGTTTTTATTAAAAATTCTCAAATCAGTGCAATACAAGATAATTACCTCCTTGCTACTTCGTATCTCCTGCCAAGCACTTGATAAAATGTGTTCTACAAATGTAGATATGGAGTCATGATAAGAAAACTCACTCTTGCCGAATATTGGAATTATCTGGCTGATGTTGCAGGCAAATGTTAAAACCAGGACAAATCCCAACTGGAGAATTTCCAAACTACTAGAGGTCATTCACTGCCCTGGGGCAAAGTTTAAAGAGAAAAATTAGAGACCTTTTGTTTGCACACATGTTGGTGAACACACTCGAGATGGAGCTGCTCCAGCTGCTCAAAGTCGAAAACCTTCCAGATATGCCCAGGTGCAATGAAAGCTTCTAAGTCAGAGCTGGCCTCTAAGTCAGACCTGTTGGGCCAGCTCCTTGCAGGGTGACCCTCACACATGGCTTTAGCTTCTGGGTGTATGTGAGGATGGAGCAGCCCTCTTGTTTTCTGGGATATACCTTATTAACTGTCTAACAAACTAGAGATCCTGTCCCTGTGCCCCTGGCCAGCCTCTGTAGCACCCCACAAAGGAGCAGAGGAGGGGCTAGGTAGGGACCCGTGGCTTTAGGATATTGGTTTGGGAACCTTTGCCATTAAGAGAATGAGGAGGGCTGGGGCAACTTTGAATAGCCATGACAACCTCTTTTAGTTTTTTGTTTGTTTTGAGGGGGCGGTTGGTAATAAGTAGCACTGTATAAATTATAATGTGCTATGAAAAGACAGTGTGGTTTATCAAAAAAGCATATCGATTAGGAGTGGCAACTTGGGACTGACTTCTGGTGCTACAGGAGTTCTGTGAGCACAACAAGCAAGTCATTTTCCATTTCCATGCCTCGGTGTCCATACTTGGAACTTAGGATGGTGGAGACAGGGAATATTGGGGGATGTGTTAAGGGCCCTTCCAACTCTAATATTTCAAGCCCATGAGTCCTGTCTTGTGCTCCCACATACTAAGTCCCAAACAACGCCCACATTTTCACTCTACTGACTTACATTTCCTCTCTGATATATTCCATTCTTCACACGCACTTGGGTTATTGAGATAAGCCACTCATCTGAGATAGTCAGACAATCATTTAGCCAAGAAAACAAAATGTGAAAGATGATAAAGGCCCATCAGCAGAATAGATGGCTCCACACACAAGGCAGAGTTATCCACAGGTGAGACAGAGGGCAAGGCTGATGGGGATGTGGGATAAGAGATGTTGGCAGCTGGCTGGATGAAATGGAGGGAAGGCGGCAGAGCTGGTGACAAGAGAAGTGAGCATTTCATCAGCATCTGCATTGTCTTACACAGAAAGACAATCATTCAGGGGAACTGAAACATGGGGGCACACAGCTCTGCCCTCCTCCCCATCTTCCTCCCTGCCACTGATATAAACAGCAAACGTTTTTCAAAATCAGAGCAAGAAATTGACAATCACTGAGTGTCCCAGGGGCCATTCATTGTGTCAAGTGGTTACATAGATTAGCTTATTTCATCTGACAGTGACTTCATGGGGTTGGCCTTATCATCATCATCATCGTCATCATCATCATCATCATCCCAGTCCTACGAAAGAAAAAAGCAAAGTCAGGGAAGTCTACTCATCTAGTAACTGCCAGTGCTGGGCTGAACTTGGGTTTGTCTGACTCTTGAGCCCACAGCCTTTTTGCTGTCCCCTGCTGTTGCCAGAACCATATCTGGTCTATGGAAGATGTGAACACAATTCCCTAATATTCTTCCTTTCCTCCCTCCACCTCTCCCATTCTGAGACAAAAATGTCAGCGGATTGGAGCATAAGCAAGCATTATCTCACTCTTTCTCTTCTTCTCTCTGCTTTCCTCCTCCCTTTCCTGGCCGAAAGTTCTATTTATAATATGGAATGTACTAAGAGGCCATCCATTCACCACTTCCCTAATTTTTATGGCATTTGCGATTAAATCAACTCAGGCTGTGAGATTTGGTAATTAAATAATTTAGGTAGCAGAATATTTAATTAATTGTAATTACATATGCCACCTTGAAAGCCATTTCTATTTTAATTTTAGCACAAACTGGATTGTCCAAAATGTGTTTTCTTTGTCACCAAAACCTCTTGTCCCATAGCTATAATTTCTTTCCTTCTTCCCCACCATTCCTCTAATCCTCTGATCTTTATTTTTTTTTCTTTCCTTGTAATTTGACACATAGGCTCTCAAAGGGGGCCAGCCATACCTCAGTTCTGCGTGCTAAGGGCAGTGGAAACAAAAAAAGAACATAAGACCAAGTCTTGGCCTACAAGATGCATACAGTCTAATTAAGGAGAAAATCCATAAAGACACTAAAGTATGAATAATAGAAAGACCCCACAGATGATAATTGCATATGCAGTGGATTGAAGAGGATGGATGTAGGTTTGAACCAGGCCTGGATGTATGTGTAGCACTAACTCAGTTTGGGGAGTTGAGCCAGGTCTTGAGATGAGTAGTAAATAGTTGTAAAGCAGGGAAGAGGGGGTGGGTATTCCAGATAGAGGGGACAGTGTATACAAGGTATGGAGACAGGAGCTTGGGGAATGGTGGAAGTTTCTTCCCTACAGTGAGCTGTATATGGCCAAGAACTCCACCAAAGACTATTTGTTCCTTTAGGGGAAGAGACATCATAACCTTGTATAGGGAGGCAGTGTGGTACAGTGAGAGAGTCTCAGTTTAATGTTGAGGTTCTGGATTTGAGTCATGGATACCAGATGCTCTGGGTTTCAGTTCTAGCTTTCCCATGTACCATCGGTATGGTCCTAGGCAGGTCGCCAACTTCCCATCTCGTTTTTTTCATCTGGAAAATAGGCACAATAAGACCTTGCAGGGCCATTCTCAGGATTGAAAGAGATAAGGTACACAGTGCTAAATAGGTATTTAATAAAGGTTGATATTAATGTTATTTTGTTTTTAACACCAAAACTTATTGTAAATTATTAGATACTTTACAAATATACAGAAGTACTTGGTCTCTGCAGGATCTAACCAAAAGTCAATCCTTAATTCATGGTTACCAGCATTTTCAAATCTCAGATAGTTTTGTTGTTTAGCCTTGTCTACCCATATAGACTCTATTTTCTAAGTGAAATAAAATAATCTGATGTTGAAATAATAGTTTCTGTTGGAGCAAGGGTGACCTCAATGATCATGTGGTGAGATGAGAGCCTGGGTGTTCCACTTTTTCATCCCACACTGATGCCCTACAGAGTCCTCCGTTGTTGACAACAGTGCACGGGGGAGCCTTGGGAACAGAGAGAAACTGGTTCTCTTCACACCATCTCTAAGAATCACATTTGCCAAGTACTTTTGCCAAAGCTGCTTTTCTTTTGTTTGCAAAATTTCTACCAGGTGCAGCAACCCTGTGGATAATGAAACTGCATGAGTATCCTCATTAAATGGCCCCTCTGCAAGGGCTTGGGTGACATGGGCCCTGAAGGCCCAGGCTGAGATCTTCCACAGAGCTAAGGTTCCTTCTCCCAGTGCCCCTTGGGGCACTTTGATGGTATTTACTTCCTCCTACCCATCTCCTCTAATGCAAAAATTGTACTAGTTAGTCAAACATTGCTATTGTTAGCAATGATAGATGCCTCCTGGTTTTTCTAAACATACTTAAACATGATTTTAAAATTCCATTTTTAGTCAAAAAGCATTACATGCTGTTTATGACATATAAAGCAGTGTAGAGAAGCATAAAGAAAGAGCTAATATCTTTCTGCTCCCCCAATTCCTCTTGACTGAGAAAACCAATGTTTAGAGTTTGGTGTGTGTCCTTTCCATGGTTTTCTCTATGTTTACACATACACAACACACACATCACACACACAAACACACACACCCTCACACTCACACACACTCATACACATGCATATATTTTTCTGTCTGATTTGGCAAATGGAATCATTCACTACACATTACCCTGCAAACTGACCCCCAATATATAGGCCACAGGTGTTCAATCTTTTAGCTTCCTTAGGCCACATTGGAAGAAGAAGAATTGTCTTGGGCCACACATAAAATACACTAACACTAATAACAGCTGGTGAGCTAAAAAAAAATCACCAAAGAAAAAAATCTCATAATGTTTCAAGAAAGTTTACAAATTTGGGTTGGACTGCATTCAAAACTGTCCTGGGCCATGTGGGCCAAGGATTGAACAAGCTTGCTATAGACCTGTAGATGTAATTTATTTTTAAATAGCTATATAACATTCCATTGTAAGGATGTATCAAAATGTATTTGACAATTCTCTGCATAATCTGAATTCAATTGTTTCTAGTTTTCTTTTATCTTAACAAATAAGGCCAGAAGAAATATTCCTATATATGCATTTCATGTATGTAGGTGCATATGTGTTTATAGATCTGCATGCACACATATATATTTCTGTATTAAAGTCTCACAATGAGGGATGACTGATTGGACTTGGGCATTTTTTATTTTCATAGGACATTCCAGGTCCTATTTCACAAAGATTGCGCCGTTGAAATTTGAGAACACCCGCTGACCCACATCCTTCCCAGTCCTGGGTAGTACCAGTCTTTTTATTTTTTGTGAATCAGATAAAGCCGAAATTAATTAAATGAATCTCCTTGCCCCTGCTTTTCTCTCCAGAGCAGCTGGATGACCAGTCTGGATAGACCATGCAGAGGCCTGGGCCCTGCCCTGCTCCCCTTGTTTGGTGCGAATTCAGCCTGTTATTCATAAGCTGTCCGGCTTCCTTTTTTTTTGCAAGCAGAGCTCAGCTGGATTCTCAGGTAGTTTTAGGAGCACAAGTAAATTTAGTGTGAAATAGCCCTGACAGTTATAAAAGGTTGTGTTTTATTCATTAAAAGGATGCCTAACAGTGAAGCTAAATACTGTGGTAGGAAAGGGATTCTCCTAAACACCTGAAGAAGTATATTTGAAACAGAGGCCAAAACCCTCCTATCTGCCAAACTCTTCTATTTGCTAAAGATAAAAGAGAAAGAAAGGGAGGAAGGGAGGAAAAGAGAGAGAGAACGAGTGGAGTCACATCCTGAACCCTTGCAGATTGCTGTAGACCAGTAGTGAAGTATGTACAGCGCCTAACCCCATGCCTGCTACATGGCGGCTGCTTAATCAATTGTGATTGCTGTTATCATTATCAAATAACTGAACAACATAATTGTTTTCAACTTGTGATTTGCTACTGATAGACACACACTCAATGAACCATGATTTCAGGAAAGTTTCTATTAAAAGACTTTACTTATCTGTAGCTTCTAGGGATAAGACAAGAGTTCCTCTTTTCTGCAGGCCTGAAGTAAAGGCTCTTCTCTCTAAAGCAGAATGGGACCTTGCTACTCTTCAGATCTCTTCTTGGAGTCCAGAGCATAAAAGTAACCTATCGCTCTTGATATTTTTTCAGCATGGAGCCCCTGGAGTCTTCCACCTGCAAAGCCCTTGTTCCTAGACTTGGGCCTGCACTTCAGCAGCCGTGGCAGGCAGGTCTCCAGACCCCAGAGAGCTCTGTGTGCTTTAGGGAGTGTCCTGGGAAATGACCCTGGGCAGAGGACACACCAGAAAGTCCCTCCCCAGGACTCAGTATGGGTCTGAGGTTCAGCCTAAAGAGCTGATAATAACTTATTTGTACAATGAAGAGCCGTGCCTCAACTATCACCGCTTTTATTTTCTATAGGTATTATGTCCATATCTCCATTCATTTACCTACTAATGATTGTGTCTGTCCCATTCTAGCTCTTTAAGAACAATCCAAGGATAAAAGTGAGCTTCAGACCCCTCAAGGCTATTTTGTAGCAATTATCTGGCAATTGCCTCTAACCCTATTTCCACTGGTAAAATTCTTGGCTTCCAAATCTCCACTTTGACCATGGTGTTGGCTTTGATCTCTCAGTACTGACTCTGAGGCCGCACCAGGCCCTCAGGTTCCTGCAACCCCTTGCAGCCTTCTAGCTCCTAGCTCCACCCCTCTGATGCTCAGGGTTTGACGCCAGCCTGGTGACTGCAGATGCTTAGTGAGGCCAGTCCCACCTGTCCCCTCTTCTCACCCCTCCCCCACATCTCTATACAGAAAAAAAAATTGTTCTCAGCAATGCCACGCACTGGCTGTTTAATTGCATTCCAGTCTCTGCAGGCCTGCCCTCCACATTTCTGCATTTTTAATGTTCATGAGCTGCTTGTCTTGGCCTGACATTCCTGCCTACTCTTGGAAGCCTAGTATGAGGCTATGATCCTGGCATCATTTTCTCCCAGTGGCTAGAAAAGTTTAAAACAATCTGGTTTCCCCTGAGATCCTGTGATAGAAACATCGTAGCCTGGGGTCCTATGATAGAAACATCTTAGCCTGGATCTGTAGGACATTTTCAGTGCCTCAGTACCTCTGGCCATATGTTAAAGCAGAGAGACAAGATCAGTTGCTGGAGATGGAGAGGAGGCGAATCATCTCCTACGCTCTCAGAAGCCCAGTGCACCGCAGACAGCTGAGGCAGGATGTGCCTGCCACATGGGAGCTCTCAGGTGCTATAGAAAATCCAATCTGATCCACTCCAATGGGGCTATTACACTCCAGCCCTGATAGGATCACACTCTCAGAGCACAAGGTAAAATTAAATTTGAGAGAAAATGAGATTTCTTTTGTTTTCTACAGAGTCCCAGAGATAAGTGTCCTTCATGACTTAACCTCGATGGCCACAAGAAGCCCCACTGCAGGCCCAGAGGGATCTGATAGACAAGTGGAATGAATTGGCACCACCATTGAAGACGATGGATGGGCTTCTCTTTCCATCTCCCTCCAGGCTGGCACTGGGCCAACTTGCAAAGTGCTGTAGAGGAAGTTTGTCCCCAGCACTTCTTCATTCTTTCTCTGCTGCTCCTCTTCCCTTTGTCTGTCCCTGCTCCTCAGCTGCCCAGTGTTGGCACAAGCTTCAAACCCAGTGACACTGGGTTTCTCCAGCTCTCAGCTGGAAACCACCCAATGAGCTCATATGAGCTAAAATATTAACAATGGCGCAAAAAAAGGTGCCATTCTTTTTTTTTTTAATTTTATTATTATTATACTTTACGTTTTAGGGTACACGTGCACAATGTGCAGGTTTGTTACATATGTATACATGTGCCATGCTGGTGTGCTGCACCCATTAACTCGTCATTTAGCATTAGGTATATCTCCTAAAAGGTGCCACTCTTTACCCCTTCCCCATAGGTCCCTTTAAGTGGCCTTCAAGCAAAGTACTATCTAAGCCACAGATTTCAGAGATCCTAAAAAGGCTCTAGGAACCTGTAGGAGAGGTTCCCTCCACACCAAATCACAGCTCTGGGACTTGATACCCTGGGGAGAAAGATAAACCCTGAAAACACATTTTCCTTGCTGCCTTATGGCAACATTTCTCAGAGTGTGGTCTGCAGACAATGGCATCAGAATCACCTGGAATGCTGGTAAAGAGCATATTTTTAGTTCCCTGCCCAGAATTACTAAATCAGAATCTCTGCCATGGCTTCCAAGGAAATAAGCTTTTTCACCTGCCTTCTGTGAGATTCTAAGGCACAGTTTGAGAGCCACTGGCTATAATTTGGAGGTGTTTCTCCCAGTGGTCCTGGCTCATTCTGACTATCGTGGATTGGGGCAGCTGAGACTGCTGGCTTCTTCGGCTTTTACAGACCTCTCATTACTCTCAGTGGCTATTATGGTAAAGGCCAAAGTCTTCTTAGAAATTTGCAGCTTCCTCCAAGACAGCTCTCTTGAGCTCTCTCCAATAGGAAAAGTTGTGTTTCCAAAGAACACATCTGATTGTGTAAAAACGTTAGGAGAGCCTCAGATTAACTTGAAAGTAGAACTGATCTTAGTCATTTTGGGGGTGGGGTGGGTAAGGATGGGGGATGGCAATTATGATGATCATTACAATTAGAGCTATAATTTATTGATGGCCTATCAAGTTCTAAGCCTGGTGCAAACTACTCGTAATTTCATTTAATCTTTACAATGTTCCGATATGATGAGTATCATTATGCCATTTTTACCAGATGAGAAATTTGTGGTTCAAAATCACATAACTAGTAACTGATATAATAATAGAATTTGAACTCCGTCTTTCTGAAGCTAGTAACTCCTTTTCAAGTATATGGAAATTTATAAAGCTAAAGCCCATCCCCATCCACTGTTCTGTTTTGATGTTTACACCAATGCTGTGAGGCAGACAGAACAAGTTTTATAAATGAGAACAAGTTTTATAAACTCTGATCTAAGGATCAGAGTTTTTCATCCCAGCTTGTGCACTGGTAAGAAACAGTCAAAGTTTGAACAACACAGGGCATTTACTCTCAATCCAGGGCTTTTTATTCCATGAGATTCTGCTTTGTCCTCTTGCCATGTCAATCACAAGTTATATGCCCAAGAGGCAGCAATACTGTTAGTTTAGATTAACAAGTGTATGAGTTTGGTGGGGTTGGCACAGCAAATTACTTTGTGGCTTAAAACAAGACAATTTTATGTTCTCAGAGTTCTGGAGGCCAGAAGTCCAAAATCAAGGTGATAACAGGATCTAGGTTCCTCTGAAGGATCTAGGGGAAAAATCTTTTCTTGCTCTTCCAGCTTCTGGGGGCTCCAGGCATTCCTTGGCTTGTGGTGACATCACTGCAATCTTAACTTCTGTCATGGCCTTCACCTCTGTGTTTTTCTTCTCTTCTGCCTTTTATCACTTGTCATTAGATTGAGGCTTCACCTGGATAATCCTGCATGATTTCATCTCAAGATCCTTAACTTAATTACATCTGCAAAGACCCTTTTCTAAACAAGGTCACATTCACAAGTTCTGAGGGTTAAAACATAGACATATCTTCTGGGGCCCAGCATTGAATCTACCACAATAGGTAACTAGTATTTTAAGACACAAATATAAATAAGACATATGTATAAATACACAAAGCTCATTAGAAAACATATACGGTTTATTTCAATTTCTCTCTCAGTTGCTTTCTTCTCAATTACTAACTGAAGGCTGCCATGAAGAATGGTTTTTGTTGAGAATTAGGGACAGGGAGGGATTGTTTTAGAGCAAAAGGGTATTGAGGTTAGGGCAACCCAAGAAGGTAGCTATGAAATGCAAGAGCCCACCCAGAAGGCAGAAGAGAGAGGATAGCAGCTCAGCACTGAGGGAGCAGCAGAAAGAGAGCTGGAGGTGGGTGATATGGTTCTGGAAGCAGCTACTTCACAGTCATGACCTGCTTGGGTGAGATTTTAATGACCTTTGCACGATCATAGTTATCAAAACCTACTTCTGGATTGGGGAATGGTAGAAGAGAGGGAAGACGAACAGGAATGTATTAGTGCATTTTCACACTGCTGATAAAGACATACCCGAGACCGGGCAATTTACAAAAGGAAGAGGTTTAATTGGACTTACAGTTCCACATGGCTGGAGAATGTCTCAGAATCATGGTGAAGGGTGAAAGGCACTTCTTACATGGCAGTGGCAAGAGAGAATGAGGAAGAAGCAAAAGTGGAAACCCCTGATAAGCCCATCAGACCTCGTGAAACTTATTCACTATCATGAGAATAGCACAGGAAAGACAGGCCCCCATGATTCAATTACCTCCCCCCCGGGTCCCTCCCACAACACTTGGGAATTCTGGGAGATACAATTCAAGTTGAGATTTGGGTGGGGTCAGAGCCAAGCCATATCCAGGAGCATCTTGTCCTTGTTTGGTTTGATATCATTTCAGCCTGTGGGGAGATGTGCAGATGGCTGGGGGTAGGAGGGGATGGGCTAGAAGGCTCAGAGACCCTTGCTGACCATGAAATCAGGCCCTCTGCAGAAAGTGGACCAGTCTCAGTCCCGTCTGCTCTGATGCTGCTGTTGCAATCAACTTCTGCAGTGCCTGCTCTCACAGGCGAAGGCTGGAAGTAGTGGGGAGCCCTTTAACAGCAGCAGAAACATTCTCTATTGAGAACAGGGTGGTGAATCCCATGGGAAGGCTCTGCTCAGAGTCACTCTTACTTCCTACAGCAACTGTGGAGCACACAGGCCTGGCTGAGCCAGTCTGGAGCTCAGGCCTCTGGGAATTCCGCTACACTAGGGCTTTTGCAAGGAGCAGTGGCAGCCTACAGGCCAAAAAAGCACATTTCCCCAGATGCTGCTAACAGACCCAGTGCAAGCTAGTGCCAGCGAGCCAACACCACTCCTGTGTCCCCCTTTACCAGCCATTACATATTCGCTTTGACAGGGCCCAACATCTAGTTCTGCTACAGTCTTTGCGTTCATGATATTCTGTTTCTCTGGCACTTAGGAAGGGATATTTTACAGAAAGAATGGGCAGAAAAATCACACTGTTGTTTTTCACAGTTGAGGGTTATTTGAAAAGAAAGGAAAAAAACATCAGAAAGGACTATCACAGCTGACTTGGGAATCGTAGAAGCCAAATTTGTGGCTATTCAAGGCTCTTGGGAGCTTTTTCAGGTAAGTAGAGGTCCCTTCTTCCCTAGAGTTCTTAAGCTGCAATGGATGCTAGCTCCTTGGTGCTGGAGCACCAGTACTTCTGGCCAAGCTTAGGATGAGGCCCTAGAGGTGCAATTGAGCTTCCTCATCTAGCAGCTCCCCAGAAAACCGGGCAAGTGGGAAATCTGAAGCAGGAGGTGCTCAGCTGAAGGCTGGTCTTCCCTTAGTACTGAAGAAGGGGGCCCCATCCTCTAGTGACCCCATGGTGAAATAGAATACGATTGTCTTTGGAACTCTATCTTCTCTGCACGTTGCTCCATCTGCCTCTTGGTGGCTGTCCATTCCCTACCCCAGGAGCCCACCATTCCCTTAGGCTGTCTGTATGAGTTTCCCAGGGCTACAGTAATGAAGTGCCATAAACTGAGCAGCTTAAAACGACAGAAATTATATTGTCTGACAGTTCTGGAGGCTAGAAGCGCAAAATCAAGGCATCAGCAGGGCCAAGATTTCTTTGAAACCTGTAGTGGGACTACCTCTTCACCTCGTCCCAGCTTCTGGTGGTTTGCAGACACTCCTTAGCATTTCTTGGCTTGCTTTTGAAACCTCTGCTTCCCTCAATCTCTGTCTCTGTTGTTACATGGAGTTCTTCTCCATGTATGTCTCTGTATCTGTCTCATCTCCTTTTTTTATAAAGATACCAGTCATAATGAATTATGGGCCCACTGTACTTCAGTGTGACCTAACTAGCTAATATATCTGCAAAGATCCTTTTTCCAAATAAGGTCACATTCTGAAGCTCCAGGAATAACATGAATTGGGGGATGGAGGGAAGGGACATGATCAACCCAGCACACACTCTCTATCATCTATTTCCAGGAAAGAATTGTATAATCTTATTCTCAATATAGTGAGGATGACAGATGAGCCTGGGTGTACCAAAAGATACATTAAGAGGTACCACCATGTAAGCTAGGAGAGGAGAAGCAATTGGTGGAGAGGGAAGATTTTCTATGAATGAATCTCTGAAGGTGGAATTCTATACACTGGGAAGGCCTGAGGACCAGATTAATCCAGGTGGGTGTGTGCCCACTCTTCCTAATCTTGTTGAGTGGCTCTCATCATCATGCTAGCATTTTTATATAGATGGAAATAAAACATCAGGGCATTCTTAGAAAAAATAAGAGTCAGAAAACCAGGGTAGCATAGAGGAAACAGCCCCTTGACTTGTGTCAGGAGACCTGGGCCCAAGCCTTGGCTTCACCTGTAACCAGTGTGGGCCCCGGAGCACTTCAGTGGCCTCAGGCTCCTCTGTAGTATGGGGGGATAGGACCAGAAGACTCCTATGTCAATTCTTCCCCTAGCATTTTATCATCATACATGTGGGTAAATTAGCTCACTCTAATCCTCTGCTGGTTTCCTCCCTGTCACCTCTTCTCTGCAAAGAGGAGTTGGCAAAGGACAGGGTGTGAGTGGCACGTGGATATCGGGCTACAGGGTGTTCCATGGAAAGGAAACAGTATATACAAATGCCTGGGGAAGAAAGCCTGGTTAGGTAGAGGTTAGTGTGGGTGTCCCACGGGGCTTGATGTGGAATGAAAAGCAATGTGGCCAGAAAAAGAAGGAGGGACCAGGTCACCTGCAGGCAATAGTCCTGTGAGCAAACATCACCTCCTGCACCTCCAACAAATTGGGATGCCCAGAGCAAGAGGGCTGATTCACAGCATTAGGAACAACTAGGAGGCTACATTTTGGGTAAGAAACTGTTTTCTGGGAGTCTTTTATTTATTATCCAAAGACTGTATCAGGTACTAGATATATATTATACTGTGTAGGTATATAGAGAAATGTGTAATAGTAATACCTAATATTTACCCAACATATATATGCACACACACAATAGTGGTGAATTTGGCAGATGATGTCTTTGTATACACAGAGTTTATGATCAACCAGGTCAATTTAGGTCAATTGATCCTTTAGAAAGGTAAGCCAATAGTACTTTCGGATCCCATGAGAGACAAGTTGAAGAGCACTGTTATAGGTTGAATTTGTCTTCCAAAAAATGTACGTTGAAATCTTAACCCTCAGTACCTCAAAATGTAACCTTATTTGGAAATAGGATCTTTGCAGATGTAATTAGGATGGGGTCATACTGGAGTAGGGTGGGTTCTTAATCCAATGTGGCTGGTGTCCTTATAAAACAGACATGGGGAAACAGAGGCACCAGGGACAACCCCATGTAAATATGAAGACAGATGGGCTTAAGAAGCTTTAAGTTAAGGCATGCCAGAGAGTGCCCATAAATCACCAGGAGCTAGGAAGAGGCAAGAAAATATTCTCCCTATAGGTTTCAGAGGCATCATAGCCCTGCTAATACCTTGATTTAGGACTTTTAGCTTCCATAACTATCAGATGACAAATTTCTGTTGTTTTAAGATACTCAGTTGTTGTACTTCGTTACAACCTTAAGAAACCAATACAGGCATCTAAAGCAGTCTAGAGAGTTCTGGGAAAGCTTCCCAGAGGAAGAGATGCCCATACTGGGGCCTTAAACATGCGTAGGAGTTGGCAAAGGACAGGGTGTGAGTGGCACGTGGATATCGGGCTAGAGGGTGTTCCATGGAAAGGAAACAGTATATACAAATGCCTGCGGAAGAAAGCCTGGTTAGATAGAGGTTAGTGTGGGCATCCCACGGGGCTTGATGTGGAATGAAAAGCAATGTGGCCAGAAAAAGAAGGAGGGACCAGGTCACCTGCTTCTGTTGAGGTAGTTCTCCAAAACTGGCATGAGTGCTATGGGTGCCTGGTGCCCCAGCTCTGCCATGTACCTGCAAACACCTGATTCCCTGCTGCAGAGGAGTATCAGTCAGGGATTCAATAGGAAATGAGGGCCTGTAAGGCTTTTTTGCCTACAGTGCTCCTTCCAGATTCAGAGTCTCCAAGACTCATTTATTTCCCAAATATTTATTTAGTGTTCAAAGTTCTACATTCAATATGTAAGATACAGAAATGTATAACAATAATACCTAACATTTACCCAACATATATTATGTACAAAGCACTCTGCTTAGTGCTTTACATGGATTATCTCACTCAATGCTCTTAACATCCTCACAGAGTGAATAACGTTATTATCCCTCTTTCAAAGAGACGGAACTAAACCTGCAGAGATAAAATAACTTGCAAAAGTGTTTCAGCCAGGAAGCTGTGGAGCTGAGATGTGAACCAGGGTAGGCTCAATCTAGGGCCATACCCTTAACCTTTGTGCGATACAAATCCTTGCCTCTATGGTGCTTATAATCAAGTAGGAAAGGTAGGACAGCCATAATTCAAAACATGTTGAATGTTGATAGTTTCTAAGTGCTTAGAGAAGGTATAAGATGGATGGGATATAAAGGCAGAGAGGAAGGAGGGAGGAGCAGGAAAGTTCCAAGTGAGGAAGTGAAATTTGAGCTGGACATTGAAGGGTAGGTAGCTAATAATATTGACAAGAGTTTATCAAGCAAGTGCTAGCTGTGAAACTGTGTCAATGCTTTATACAACAACCCTATGAGATAGGTACTACTATTAACCCATTTAATACATTAGGAAATTGGAGGCACAGGAAAGTGGAGTATAATTTAGATAGATACATCTGGCAGTGAGGATAATGGCCAGAGGAAGAAAGCGTCCTGAAATGTACCTCAGGGGTGAGTTTGGGGCAGTGAGTAGCTGAGTGTGGTGGGGGTGTCAGATCCATGAAGGGAAGCAAGGAGGGTCAGATGGGGCCAGGTCATGACAAGTGGGGAATTCAAGGTAAGGATTTGGACTTGATTCAGCAGGCAGTAAGGAGGCATTAGAAGATTTTGATCAGGAAGATTAGTCTGGCAGCAGAATTCAGGCTAGAGCGCAGATAGATGTAGACAGTGAGATGAGCAGGGGTCCTATTACAGTACATCATGCCCATCAGTTGGTCACAATACATGTTGAGTGCCTGCCATGTGCCAGAACAGAGCGGTCAGCTGGAAAGAAGAGGTCTCCACCCTCCTGCAGTTAACAGTCAAGGACGATGGCAATGCCGTCCTGAATCAAGGCAAGAGCGATAGCAAAGGGAAGAGGGGTGCGTGGTCATAGCATTTCGCATTTAGAATTAACAGGACATGGCAATGGAGGCATTCAGAGTGCTCTCAGCACTCTGGAAACTATGCCTGTGGGTCAGGGGCCAGCCCAACTGGCAGGTAAGTATGAGACTAAACAGAACAACCGAGCTTATAAAGCAAGTTGGAGTTTAGAAAAGCTTCTCTCTCTCTTTTTTTTTTCTACTCACACAAACTCATTTGAGATCGAGCTTCCATGAAAGAGCATCCCATACACCTGCTCACCCTGGTGAGGGGCTCTTCAGCTGTGACTGTTGCAGTGCTGGACACCAGAGGCCAGCCCAGTGCACAGCATGACTGGTGTGACTAAATTCAGGAGCGCATCCTAGGTCCTCAGTCTTTGAACCACCTACTCGCCACTGCTCTGCCCAATCATACAGGCTTGGCTAGCTCAGCCCCTCTGCTTCTTTTCTCTCTGCCTCCTGCTGCCAGCCTTTGGGCTGTGTTCTGCTTGTTAGCAGCTCTGCTGGAGGTGGGCGAAGGGATGGAAAGCCTCCAGAACTTGGACTAGTTTCTCTGGCTCATTGTTAACAGCTCAGATAAAAGCCAGGTTAAGGGAAAGGCGGTTGAGGTTACTGGGTCAAAATTTTCCTACCAATACTCCAGCCTGGTTGTTATGTTTCGTCTACCCAGTTCTCTCTGCCTATTCCAATTCTATCAGGCTTCCAAGCTCAGCTCACACCCAGCAGAAGCTCAATAACTGTGGGGTTGGTAATAAAACTGAGAGCAATCCGTCTAGCTGAAAGTGCACACTCATTGCTCTGAGCTCACTAAGCACTTTGTCTATCCTGCCTATTACTCTCTTAAAAACCAGGGAGAAAGAGTTCTGTGCCAGAATTTACCTCTGGGCCCCTGAAATCACTTCTTGGACTTCCTTGCCCAAGGAAGAGCCAGATGGAGATTTATTAACAGAGATGACTGCATCTATGTGAAATTACGCATTATAACAATTACACAGCACTTTACCTTCCATTTAATTCTCCCCTTCCATTTAATTGGTGAGGTAGGTTTTATTAATCCCATTTTATAGATGGGTAAGTTTCAGTGATTTACACAAGAGGCCATGCCACTAGGGTAAAAACAAGTTGGAGCAAATGCTTTCTTATTCTGAAGTCCTCCTTGTTTTCATTCCAACACACAACCTCTGTGTTTGCACTGTTTTAGTGGTGATTGGCTGTATGTATTATGCTTTTTTCCTCTGGGGAAAAGCAGGAAAATATTTGATTACTACCAATTTCCTGAGCATCATGACCTGGGTACTTTTCCTGGCTCTGCTCTGGCGAGTATTGGGTCTTGGGAACAAGTGTCACAACATCTCTGGAACTCTATTACCTCATCTATAAGACGGTGGGTTTGGATTGAATAATTTCCCAAGACTTGTGTTCTAATTCTGTACATCCATGGCTGGTATTGGTTTACTCTTTTTTCAGGTCCAAAGCGAGCTGTGGAGGATACTTGTTTTCTCCCCAGCCAGGTTGGCACTTGATAGACTAATGAGCCTGCTTAGCTTTGTTCTACTCAATACATCAGGTGGGTTATCTGTGTGACTTTTCTGGTCTCCTGAAACTGGAATCATTCTGCATTGAAATGGTTCCATAATGTACCTCCTGCTCTGGGCCATTGTCCTGGGAGGCCATCCTAGACTGACATTCTGCACGAAGTTTTATGTGTTGCAAGCTGGTAAAGGGCTCTATAAATACTAGATGTTCCTTTTGGTCCTTTGGACAGGAATGGACAATGCTCTCATGGTCCATTGCTCTCATGGTTGCCCAGCTTTCTAATGGAACTGTCTTTTTCCATTAGCAAGCTAGGCAACTTGAGATGGCCTAGGAGGGATGTGGAGGAGTAGACCGTGATAGAGGAGGAGACTGGAGAGAACAGGCACTCAGTCACTAATGGAGACCCTCCTAGCACCCCAGGGCAGCAAGGTCTCTTTTCATGGAGGCCATTTGCTCTTTAGTTGCAGAAGTTGCCCTGCCAGCCCTTCACCCACCTGGGCAATGAGGCCAGGGAGGCACAGCTGTGCCCTAATGAACAGCCAGATGGAAAACCAAATAGGCACATTAGGTTAGTGGCCAACCAAATCCTCAGTCTTCTCAAATGAATCACAACCTGTGTGCCAGGTGCTCCTGGGCAGAAGGCAAGGGCAGTGTTTGATCAATGGCATTGCCTAAAGTAGAAGCTCCAATAGTCCCAGCACCCAGGTTAACCCTCTTTCCAGTGTGTTCCTGGAGGTGACAAACAGGATGTGGGTTCCTCTGTAGATTATAAAGCTGGCGTATTCAGGCCAACCAGGTTGGGGGATTCCACTCCCTGCTGTAAGCAACGGCCCTATGGCTTTCTGTATGGTTCTCCTGAGCAAAGCAGTGCCCTACTCCTAGGGCTAAGGAGAGTGTCTACCAGCAGGGTGGGCAGAGGGAACAAATGGTTTCATCTTAGCCAGTTGGGGCAGAGACTCCCCATGTGAAAAAGAACTGCAGTTTAATAGCATGGAACAAAAGCAGCTAAGTGGCTGCCAATATGCATTCAGTTGAGTCCAGGAACTGTAGTAAAATTAAAGGGGAGAGGGGAAAAATAACCAGCCCTGCCAGGTTGATTTGTACTGTCTGCATTGATGCTACATTTGTATTCTAGGTTTCTCTGAATAGGAGGTGGGCTCTAATGATATCACTTTAAACCTCAGGGCCAGAGATATAATCACATGCCATTACTCCTTAATCACATGGTAACTACTATGCCATTACTTTCTAACTTCAGTCTAATTGCAACTTACTTCTGATTAGTGGGCAATAAACATTTACAAACAGGGTCCAGATCTATTTCCATACAATTTACTCAGCTTAAGAGAAGGAATGAAAATATATAAATTGGGTGAATGCAGGGAGCCTGCCCCAATACTGTAGTTATCATAAGGAATGTTGGTTGAGCTTGAATGACCCTCCCAATTAAGTAACAAAAGAGATTTTAGGGGAAAAGTAGGTACTTCTACCTAGGAGTGATGCAGGAAGTCAAGTTTGAAGTCCAGAGTCTTGAGTTCATGTTCTTGCTTTTATTTACTGGCCGCATGATCTTGGTCAAGAACTAAACCTTTCTGAGTATCAGTTTCCTGATCTAAAATGGGTAAAATGAAAACTACTTTGAAAAGATAAAGATTTTTTAAAAGATCGTATTTGTGTGAAACTTCTGTGAAATAAAAAAAGATGTTGTGTAGTTATTAACTATTACTATTATTCTCAGGGTGAGGAACATTCTTTGATACTGAAAGAAAGTGAAACTGTTATTATCAATATTCCAAAGGCTTCAGCCAGTACTTCTCAGACTTTAACGCACAAACAAATCACTGAGGATCTTAGATTTCGATTCAGCAGGTCTGGAATGGGACCTTAGGTTCTGCTTTCTTAGAAGTTCCCAGGTAATGCTGATGTGGCTGGTCTCACACCACACTATGAATAGAAGGCTTTAGGCCATCCCGATGCAAGAATCCTGCTGTGGAAGGTAATGGGACATAGGGCAGAGGGATCGCATTGTCACCAAATCGTCTCTACCCCGCTGACTGGAGCCAGTGCCGACCTTAGCTCCCAGACCTCCTGGTGCAGACAGTGGTAATTGAAATGCAAGCTGTGTCTGGGAAGGCTGGCACATAGAGGCACCCAGACACTCACGTCTGACTAAGGGTCAGGTCTTCAGTGCAAGGGACCAACACCTAAAAGGGTAAATCTCCATGGGGAGAGGACATAGGAAGATTCTGAGGAAGAGATATTTTTGTGTAATGATCAGTAAAGGTGTTCCGGTATCAGAAAACTCTCAGCGAATATGGCAGCAAGCACGGTCCTGGACAGGGACTCTAACCATGCCATTGAATCCTCACAATTGGCTTGTGGAAGGGGCTCAGCTACTCCTTAATAGAAGAAAGAGGAGAAAGAAGGGCTGATGGAAGGAAGAAGCAGAGTGGGAGGAATGAATTTATTTTGGGAGTGGTGGAAAGAGTAGACATTGTCAACTTCACATATTTGTTAATGGCTGGCACCAAAAATAATACCAGAATTATAGATGGCTGAAGCTGGAAGGCATCTTCGAAATTATCTTTTTCAACCTCTCATTTCACAGTCCAAGAAACTGAGACTTAGTGCCTGTCCTACAGCCACACAGGGAGTTGGTGGCAAAGCTGCATGCAGTCAGCCACACAGGAGGTTGGTAGCAAAAGTCACACAGGGAGTAGCTGGGAACACTAGAGCCCAGTTTTCCCAGTTCTCAACTCTGTCTTCTTTCCTATGCTCCTCATGCCAGATAAATGAAACTTGCTTCCTGAAATATCTACATGCCAACGCCCAGACAGTGGGAGCATGGCCAGCGGGGACCACCAAGGAGCACAGCCCTCCTTGCCTGTGCTGAGCCCCGTGATCCCCTCAGCTCTGAACACCACCTGTTTGATTTCCAGAGAAGAGATTTTGTTTCCTCTGCCCCCATCCTGCAACAGGGAGAAACCAGGCTACACCAGACCCCCAAGCCTTCAAATTTCTGCTTCAGAGAGGTGGCCACTTTCACATGTCTGGATCCCAGAGCACACCTAGCATCACCCGCCAGCTGCCAGGAGGTTGTGGGTGCCTGCAGAGGGCTAAGGATCAGTGTCACTTTCTCAAGGAGACATGTGACATCTCCTGAGGGCTGTAATGCCTGCATGCCAAGGCAGGTGGGGGACATCCCAGACACTGAGGGCTATAGAGGGGAGGCTTTGGTCATGAACACAGGGCCATGAGCAGGGTGAAGGGCAAAGAGATCAGATAAAATGCATCCCCCAGAGAATACTTCTGAACAGAACCCCTGGAATCTAGAAATGCCCTTTAGGGTCGCATGGGGAAACGTAGCTGACCTGGAAGCCTATTTGGCCCCTGGCACATCTCCTGGTAGATGGTTTGTCCCACGCAGAAAGAACAGAGCCTATGCACATGCCATTCTCTCAGTTATTTTTAAAAATTACCTTAATGTAGCTATTTTAGGTATGTACTTTAGGTAAACACATTTAATATCTACCTACATTACAGTATTGCTTTTGAAACTCCTAGCATTGAGCATGGAACGTCATTAAATATCTTTTGAGCACAGGCTTCAGTGAGATTCTTAACTACTATGCAAAGTAAAACCTAAATATATGTGGATGTGGGATGTTTTAGAAGCCTAACTGAAAGGTGCAAGCTATGTTTGTGATGCAGACTGTAAATAAGTGTGTTTAGAGCTCCAGTTTGGTTTCTTGTCTCCATTCAGTACCACTGCACAATTGGAAGGCTCCGCTTAATCTCCATGCTCCTCTCTACACTCTAATTCCTGAAGCAGGAGGACGCTGAAGTCCTGAGGGGTCAGGAGACCGGCCAAAGTGAGTCAGGAACAGGATTAGAGCTCACACTCATCTGAGTTTACACCGTAAGGAGACACATAGGCTCTGTGACCTCGAAGCCTCAGGGCGGGGCCTTGATGTGGCCCTCAGACCCCTACTCCTCCAGGCATTGGATCCCTGCCTGTGTAAGGGGCAGGACGTGGAGTCCTCAACATCACCGAAGCATCTCCAGGCCTGCAGACTAAGCCTGATCCCTCCTCTCCCAATACATGTTTAAAATCCAGTTTCTGAAAAAGGAGGAGTTACTGTTTAATCACCTGCCCAGACTGAAGTCCAGGCTTGGTGCTCAACATCCCTTTATGGAAAAGCTCATAGAGCAAACTTTAAGGAGAAAAGAAGGTCCAAGAATCCTCCCTCCCCTTCAGCTGGGAGACACACACCAGTTAAAAATAGAATTTGGTTGTACTCTCTTCAGGCTCTGACCACACCAGCCACATCCAAAGATGAAAGGTTTATAATTCTTTCAGCAGCCCTCTTAGCCTTTATTGTCCACCCTCGATTTATCTCCACTAATGTAACTGAGCCATTTCCCTTCCTTCCTTCCTTCCTCCCTCAGGAAGAAAGCTATTTCACCAGCCCCACTCAGGTGGGGGGATCCCCATGAGTCCAGATGGCTGCATAGCAGCCCTCCAGGCTGTGGGCTAGAGGAAGGGAGTTCCACGGCTTTTTCTTCCTCAGTATTTTTGCTCATTGCTTCATTGTCACCTTTATGACACCCAAATGCCCTGCCATTGAACAGCCGGTCACCCACTGTGTGGAAGAACCTGAGTGCTGAGACGTCTCTGTGTGTGCTCATACAGGTCAGGATGAGACCACAGTTACCCCAAGGAGCCCCTGGTTACAAAATTCCCCTTCCAAGAAGCTGTAAATACCAAGGAGGAGTGTTTGGAGAGGAACACGGCAGGGGAGCCCTGGGGGACACTAAGGTCACCAAGGGAACTGCCCAGCTTCTTGCCTGAAGTGCATATCCATAGTGTATGCTACAAAGAGTCAGGCTTCCTTTTAACAATTTGAGATGATGATGATATGTTCCCAGAAAGGAGGGATGAAATAATCAAGGAAAACAGTCATAAAAAGATGCCTAGAAAGTGGAAAAAGTCAGACATTCTGCCAAGAAGGTGGTAAGAGGTGAGACAGAGCAGGGACTTCTCTTAAGTGTCTGCTAGGCATACCTCCCAAGCCAGGTGGGCAGATTCCAGTTTGGTTCAATAACAGAGAGGACACAGGTGGGAGAGGAAAGGAAAGAAAACCCTCTCCCTCCTGACCTAGGGTGCCTGGCTCACTTAAAGCCCATGTGTCAATATCAGCTCAGCCTTGCTTCCCTCTTCACCTTGCTCCACACCATACATAGGTATCATAATCTTTTCCCCACACCTCTCTCTCTCTTCCTACCATATTCCAATTTGACAACAATAGAATTTTGATGGCATGCACTCAGTTCTTTAATAAGAAAAATTAAATATTAACACATAAGCAAGATGTAATAGCTAAAACTTGTTGAACATCTACTATGTACATCATCTCTAATAATAACAGTAACCATGCAAGGTAAATACTATTGCCCTTAATTTATAGATAAAGAAACGGAGGCTTAGAAAAGTTAAGTAACTTGCCTAGGACCACATAGCTAGTAAATGGCTGGGCTAGGATTTGACCGGGTTCATATTTCTCCAGAGCACATCCTTTCTCAGGATACCATAAAATCTCTCTGATTGAGGGGATGGGATTTAAATTGTGACACTCCTTGAGCACAGACGGCATCATGTTCATCTTATAGGAGGCATTTAATAAAGATTTGATGTAGACTGGATATGCAGGAGGCCAAATTCTGATGCAGGCTCCCTTGGCTTTGCTGACAGTGTTTTCCTGAAGAAGGGAGAGGGCAGTAACTTGATAGGACAAGAGAATTCTGGTGTCCACTGGCCAAAGTGGAGGCCAGAAGACCATCTGTTCAGTAGATGGTAATAATGACACACCCACAGCACCAAGGGAAGGAACAGGGCAGAGCAACAGGTCCTCTGGAATCAGAGGGCAGGAGGAGAAGCCAGGCTACAGAGGGCAGGCTCCAATCATGCCAGTGAGATTAGCTGCAGGCGAGAAGAACCAGGCAGGGAATGCTGATAAACTGGCTCTGGGGTGGGATGGGGTGGGGTTGATGGAGGGGGATATGGGTGCTAACTTGTAGGATTTGCCAGTTCCCAAGGTGTAAATGCTCCCAACATGGCCAATTTAAAGCTACCAATGTGATGTTGACTGGCTCACAAAATACCCCAGATTTGGACAAGGAGCCTTTACCATTAGAACAAGGATGCACTGTGGGAAGGATTTGGGCCCTGGCTAGCAAAATAGGACCTAGCTACAGAGACTCAGAAGCCTAGAGAGAATCACAGGAATTTAGAGAGATTATGTCTTTGCCCTGTAGCACCCTTCTAGAAAGATAGCTCTGCTTACAGAATACCCAGAGGAGACCCTGCAAAGTCTCTCCTGGCAACCTTTCACTGCTTTCTAACTCTCCTAAACATACAGCTTTAGGGATCTGGACCAAAAACCACTAGTCACAAGGTAATGATTCATCCATTCATTTATCAAACATTTTTTAAGGTCTTTCAAGGTACCAGGTGCTGTGTTGAAACCATAGACCTTCATTGCCTCTTAACTGTAGATACCTTGAGGGAAAGGGGGGCTGTGTTCCTACACCAGCACCTAGCACAATGCCAGACACATGAAAAACATTTGAATATTTGTTGAGTAAATGATTGGAATCAAGTTCACTAATGGAAAAAGAATATTAAAGAAAGTCAACATATCTTCAGAAAACTTGGAGGAGTTTACATTCCCACAGTATGATTTTCTTCTCTTTCCCAGCCTTTTTCTCATCTCATAAGTGGTTTGGGATTTTAAAGACATCACAGAAAGATTAAGGATACGTTTGTCAAGGTTAGAAGGTCCTTATTTCATTTGTAAAACTGCTGCATTATTTTATATGTGAAGAAAAGTGGGGGGTTTTGGGTAATAGAAATAAAAATCTATCAAGTTCTCAGGGGGAAGAAAAATCCTAGTATTTAGCACTGCCTGTGGGCCCAGCCTTTCAATAACAGAGTGGAGGCCTGACCCATTGACTGATGCCTGTCCCTGCAGGGCATTTCTGAAATAGAAGGTCATTGCCCACAACCTGAATTTCCTCTGCAACAAGAGGAATTCCTATAAAGTTCACCAGATATGCAAAGACAAGGGGCTGCCTTTGCAAGAAAGAGACTCAGATATCCCCAGCAAAACCACATGGGTCATTGAGAGCTTTGAGGGCTACCGTTGCTGGAACACCTTTTAGCCCCAGGCAGTGTAGGAGAAACCTAGGGGTGGGATAGGGCCCACTCACATCTCTGTAACCTCTGAGATTAACAGAGGAGGTGCTCTGAGTGACTGTGGAAAGGCAAGGGCAAGGGAATCCAGGCCAGTGCTCCCCCAAAAACCCAACCTGTGGGCTGCTTCTCCAAAATCAAGACAGGGTTTATCATACTGCATCCTAGAAAGGACTCTGTGGCAGGTACCTAAAAGATTAAAATCCTTATATTCCAGTCTGTGAACTCTAAGCCACATGTCATCTAACCAGCCTGGAAGGAGATTGAGTATTTGATTAAAAAAAGGAAACATTTTCAACTGTTACTTGTCGGTTCTTTGTTTTTCCACCCATTGATTTACATTCGGTCTACAGCACTTTATTTTTCTTTTATATCTCCATTACAGGATTAATCATGTTGTGCTATATTACTTTATAGGTCTGTTTCCTTTGCTCTTTGTGAGCTTCTTGATGGTAGAGACTATGCGTCTGTGAGTTTCCAGTGCCTAGAATAACCCTGGATATATAGTCAGTGTTCCATAGGCACTTGTTTAGCTAGTGAACACATTAATTAATTTCTCAGTGGGTCAACATGAGGGAAAAGAAAGAGATGGAGATCAAGAGAGAGCAGAAATGGCCAGGCATAGAGGCTCATGCCTGTAATCCCAGCACTTTGAGAAGCCAAGGAGGGTGGATTGCTTGAGGCCAGGAGTTGCAGAACAGCCTGAGCAACATAGCAAGACCCCATCTCTTTAAAAATTTTAAAAACTTAGCCAGGCATGGTGGCGAGTGCCTGTAGTCCCAGCTACTTGGGAGGCTGAGACAGGAGGGTTGATTAAGTCCAGTAGTTTGAGACTGCAGTGAGCCATGATTATACCACTGCACTCCAGGCTGGGCAACAGAGCAAGACCCCATGTCTTTAAAAAAAAGAGTAGAAACGAAGGAAATGGAGACCAGGATAGGTGCCTAGAAAAATAAAAAAATAAACATTTGTAGAGAAGGGACCTGGGTGGACATCATTTCCCTGATGTGATAAAATAAAGAGCGATTCCCAGATGAACACAAGCCTCCAGTGATCAAAAGCTTTATGGCTTTCTTCCCAAATGAAGGAACGGGTTAAATTAGCCTGCAATTTTTTAAGGTTTTTGAAGAATATATATCAGTGAAGAACCAAGCAAAGGGCAAGGGGGAGGAAAGAATTTTTCACAGAAACATCAAGAGGTAACTTTTAAAGTAGAAGGTAGGCAACAGCATCCGGACAGGTTAGATTTCCCTGCCAACAGGGCACACCAAACTGGCTCAGTGATCAAGCCATGTAATATTATTTACGTTAGTAAAAAACTCTACTGTGGCATGAATGCATAGTAGGCCCTACAGAATGTATTCTTTCTCTCCCCTTCTCTCTTACTGCAGTGGTGGCATCTCCTCCAGGAGTGTCAGAGAAGTTAGAGGGCATGGTCTATGATGTGTGTCAAATCGAAGAACATTTCTGGACTTAGTAAGGAGAGGTTTTATTAGAAAGAATGGTTGCGAGGGATAAAAGGAGCTATTGCAATAGTGGGACTGCGGTGACCATAAGATCTGCAAGCATCTCAAGGGACAGGCAAAAATAACTTTCCTTTATAGGGAGGAGTAAACAAGACTGGAAAGAACCAGGTGTGGGGAGATGGGGTGAAAGTCTGCCATGATGGGCTAATAGATCAGAGTGTTTGACCCTGAGGCCAGCTGCTTCCCAGGAGGGGCTGTTAAAGGGGAGTTGTATGCTCACCAAAGTTCAGATAACTGGGAGCAGAAGAGAAGCTTAACTAAAGTTTGGTTAACAAGCATTTTTGTTTCAATTGGCCAGGAATGAAGAGCTGTTTAGCTAATCCTTCATGAAGCAATGCATGGGAATTTGGAGAGTCTGAGTCTGGCCTTGCCATGGGTAAACAAAGGGGCATCCATGAGTCTTAGCTAAGTCACAGGGTAACAGTGGTTCTTCGTAGTAAGCCATTTCCCAGAACAAAAGAGGGGGGTTATTTCTTAACCTTCTCTGTTTTCCAGGATCATGTGTCTTAGGTAAAACTCAACATTCCCATGTGTGAGAAGGCTTTCTTGCATTTATTCATTTATTCCTTACAGTCTGCAGAGACCAGGGAAGATTTGTTCTGAGATATATTTTTCCTGAGGTGGCTGGTTATATTATCTGTCTTGAATCAGGTTTCTGCTTATGTTCAAAATTGTTTAGGCCCCAATCTTCATCCTATCTTTCTTTCTAATTAGTTGTATTTAATTAGATGTTTTTTATGTGCCCAAACTCCAACATGTTTGTAATTCCAATATCACATTCCCATTATTAGCAAGACTATTTGTGTCCTGGAACAATCCCTCAAACTGTCTCAGTTGAGTGGCTTTTTATAAGATCATCTAAATTTCTTTTGCTTCATCTCTGTTCTTGTCCTTCTGATTATGATTTGGCTTCCTATGTAGTTTGACTACAAGAAGAGAATGCACTAATCAGGCAGCTTTTAGTGCTCTGGTTGTATGACAATTACTTCTTATTGTAACTTATCAGTTGGCCTTCTGACATCTACCTGTCTCACATGCATCTCAGCACAGGTGGGTCCCCAGGGTCTCATGGCCAATGACAGCTTGTCTCTAGCCCTGCAAAGTCAAAACCAAGTCCAAGAGTACAGGGGCATCTGCAGGGTGCCCCCTAAGGATGACACCTTGGATATCACCTCAGATGACACCACTACTATGTCCAGCTACCATTTTATAAAACCCTCTAGTCTCTGCAACAGACTGTCAGAAAGATCGATCTCCCAAGTCACTTTGATCTCAGCAGCCACTGAAGAATGAGAGAAAACATGGACCCCATCCTCAATATTTTTTTCTTCTTTTTATTGATTTATTGCTGTTTATCTTCAGTCCCTGCTCCCATGCTCTTACCCCAATAGGCAAGCATTCTAATGTGCTTGATGTATATATGTATACATTCTTGCAAATTATTGATTATTGATTTGTGTTTAATATTTATATAAGTCAAACTGGGTTACAGATGTCATTCAACTTCCTTCTTTCTCTTCTTCCCACTATGTTTGAAAGCTCCATCTGTGTCAGTATTTGTGCATCCAGTATTTAGCTCCTTTCTGCTGCAAAGTGCTCCATGATGTGCACATGCCATGCCTGGCTTATCCATTCCCCAGGGACAGACACTCAGAGAACCACTACCACACTTCTCAACACACAGTGCTGTGAGGAGTATTCCCTTTTGTGCCTCTTATGGGCCTGTGGAAGGACAGTTTCTTGGGATATTTGCCCAGGATCAGAATTTCTGGGTTCCTGCTTGTGTGCACTCAAGTTGACTGAGGGCTGCACTCCTGCCTGCAGGCCTGGGGGTTTCTATAGTCCACATCCCTGCCTGGCAGCATCCAGCTTTCTAATTTTTGATACTCCC